>NC_000005.10:158791627-159094657 GCF_000001405.40 Homo sapiens
TGATAAAATAAAAGGGTCATGAGAGCCTAACATACCTAACACAGAGCTACATCCATATGTAAGAGGAACTTGATTGGTCATTCAAACCATCTACTTCTGACTACACCACTCTCTCTGCTTTCCAGAACTTAGCGTGAATTGTAAACTACCAATTTAATACTAGATTATATAAATATATTATGTAACTCTCTAATTTGCTGCATGGAAGCAAGTTGTCTTTCCAAATAAAACACCAGATCCCACAAAGCCCAACTTTAATTACCCATGGTACCTATCCCAGTGCTAGACACCCAGCAGGCAAGCCAACCAGTGCTCACTCTTTAGAAATTGGAGGAATTCAGAGGAGATATTAAACTAACAATTAGTTCTGCACACCAGAAGCAGGAGCCCCTCCCTGCTCCAAATCACATGTTGGTAGAAAAGCAAAACAACCAAGTGCGGCTCTGGTCAAGAAAAATAATCTCACCCCACATTAAACATCACACATCAACCCTGCTAGTTTTCCTAGATTTGTATATAAAATACTAAAACAATTTTTTAAAAGACTTTTAGAGTAGGACAGGGCAAGGAGCACAAGAATAAGAGTAAAATAATTTACTTTCTAAAAAGAGGGAGAGGAGAAATCGCAAGAAACAATAAAGAAAGAGGAAGGGGGCAAATCAAATTCACAAGAACGCCATGTGAACTTGGGAGCTCGCAGAAGGCAGAGCTGAGTTAGGAGCAATAAAGTGCCCCTTTCTTCTTCCCACCCCTCAGGGGGTGATCCATGAGCTAAACTGAACTACTCATTGGCAGAAGATTGGATTGGTAGGGAAAGAGCACAGATTAGAGTCTGTTAAGCCAGCCTGATTTTCTCTGGCTCTTTAAAAAATTCTTTAGCTAAAAAAAGACTCTAAATAATGGCATTAGCTGCTAATCTAAAATGTTATCCACTTGTCCTAGCCTGCCAGCCTGCTTCCTGGGTGTGTTGGGTATAGAGTAAGGAAATGCAGAAGTGATAAAAGTCTACTTAAAATTAGAAGGCCTGGATCTTAGACATGGCACAAACCTCAAGATCATGTGGTCTGGGGCAAAGACTTTGGATGGACAGGGATCCAGCTCTAGAGATGAGGCTAAACAGGTGAACTGTCTTGCCCTAGCGTAGGCATGTATCCTTTACTTCATAAAGATAAATTCTACCTAGAATCCAGTGGTGCCGATCACAAACATATACAACTGGAAGATGAAGGGAAGCCCTCTTACCTCTCTGAGTCTGTACATGCCAATTCTACCTGACCTTGGAAGGTAACAGCAACTGTTAAGGCACCCCCAGCACAAGACATCATGGCAATGTGAGCCTATCACCCTGATCTGATAACACCCTATGATAAAAATGGTGGCACAGGCTAAATTATGAAAGTTAAGAAGGTAAGCCCTGGGGTTGGACTGTTTGGGTTCAAGTCCCATCTCTCTACCACTTGGCAACTGAACCACTTACTTATTTAACTTCCCCAAGCTTCAATTTCCTCATCAGTAAAATGAGAACAACATCATACGCAGTGGTGAGAATCCCACAAGAGCACTACCAAACATTTATCATATTGCCTGGCAGGAACTAAGTGCTCAGTGAATGAATGTTAGCTAATATTAGTCACACTCTGCATTTTCTGTAGCTTTTTCTTAGATGTCTTCTGATCAAATTCTGATTCTGTACAATGCAAGCCTTGACAAATGGCCTCAAACTTGGTTAATATTTTTCTGCTTCTACAAAAATAAAAGGCACTCATGTAATTTTATTCGATTAAAAACAACCATCATCACTACTACAATTACTATTACTACTTTCTACTACTATACCACCTGGCTTATGAAACCTCATTTTTTTTCTTTCTTTCCTCTTTCTGTCATTCTTCCCTCTCTCAAGATTGCATGTGCTCTCTTATTAACTAGGACTTTTCCTTCCTTTATAAAAAAAATATGGTATAGTTCAAATCCAGTCTCTAGTCCTATCTGGCTGTGTAACCTTGGGCAAGCTTTTTAACCTCTCTGAAACTCAGTTTACTCATATGTAAAATTAGAATAACAGGAGTATTGCATACAAGCCTATTGTGAGGCTTAAAGTAATACCCATAAAGTGCCTACACATGATGAACCCTTAGCAAGTCTGAGCTATTTCTCCATTCCCACCATTATACAATGGATTTCTTTATTTGGGGCAGTATCAAATTCTCTCCCTGCATGAAAAGGCAGAGAAAATTGTGTGTGCCAAGTAGCCTGTACGAAAACCTAAATATAGAAATAGTTTAGAATATTACAAAAAAGGGTTCACTTCTACAAGGATCATTCTTCTGAACATCAGGACAATCATGATGATAACAGCCCAATTTAAAGTCCTACATCCAGGTACCCAACTGCTAATGCAGTTGGATTTGCTTGTTTTAAAAGAAGATCTGCACAAATATTTTGGGAAACAGTTTGCACCAGGACAGGGTCATAGTTGATTTATGACATAGCTACAACCAAGAGCAGCACGAAAGCAGGGGCTGGACAATGAAGGAGCATGCATCCTCCACCCTCAGCTCCTGGCTGGACCCACCCTGACCCCTGGGACAGAGTGAAGAGGGGCTCCTGGCACACACAAGGCAGTGGCACTGGAGGGACAGAGGAGGGAGGAGGACAAAGATATTACATTAATGGGTTTTCCTTCCTATGACTTTCATCAATTTTGTTATATAGAAACAGATCCTTTAAAGCAATTTGGATAAATCCAAGTTACATGCTAACCTCCCTTTGCTGTTCCCAAAACAGGTCAAGAAAGTAGGAAAGTGAGAAAAAATGGAGGGACCTTGATTAAGCGTAAGGCAGAGGTGCAAATGCATGATTTCCTGATGTGTCCTTATTCCATATTCAATGGAGTCCACTTGGGTTAAGAAGGCACAAGGTTTTACAGGAAGCTTCAGACTAACCCACCTCCTTCTCAAAGGGTCAGTAATTTTTAATGCCAATTTTGAGCTCCACTTTGACTACAATGACATGAAACAAGGAGTCCGTATTATATTTACTCTTCCCATCTCTCAACTTCCTTGATAAGCAACAGAAAGAAAGATGGAAAAGGTAGAAGATACAGCCCACAAGACCTGGGACAGTCTGTCCTCATGAGGACTGCTGTCTCCAGCAGGAGGAAGACAGCAGGCTGGCAGCAAAACATGCCATGAATTTGATGCTTCTAATTTACAACCCAATAGTTTCAACAAAACATAGAGTACAGTTGGCAAGGGGAAGTTACTCCACCTTTCATACCTGAAATGTTCCATCTTGCCTAAAAATTAGTTGAGTGGGCTGGGAAGCTCATCTCTGATTTGGCTTTATGAGAACTTTGATTCTACGACCAAATGCATACCCCTTGTTTGCTGAGTAGAAAATACCAAGGCAGCAGCAGCACAAGCTAGCAAGGGGCCTGCCTGAGTGGGTTACTGGCAGTAAGCAGTATACACAGAAGGCTTACAAAGAACAGCGTCTGTTCTGGAAAGACAAACATACCCAAGTATCACAGTCTTAACTTTCTGCTCATCTGCATGGCCCCTCTAGAGAGAAAACAACACAAAGAAATAGGCTAAACCAGTGTCACGGGAGCACAGCTAGAAATGGAAATCTTTGTGTGGCCATATACAAATCACTTACATTCTATAGGCTTTGGGCAGCTGCTCTCTGGCTATGTAACTATTTGTCTTGGAGCTTCACTATCCTTATCAAGAAAAGAAATATGCTACGAGTATCTACCTCGTAGTGTAGAAAGAAGGGTGAGATGATCTACCTCAAGGTTTAGCACATTGCCTAGCATATGGTAAGTCTCAGTAAGTTAGGATGACTACATGCTTACAAAGCAAATGGGGTGAATGAACCCTATGGTACCTTGTAACCCTAACATTGTTTTTATTCTAAACTTTAGTGAAGTGAAAGAGAGAGTGCTCGGAGCATGCTGGCTAAGAAACTGGGGCTCAGAACTGAGAACACAATGGCAGATTTGCCACGGCATCTATATAACGGGATGCATGTTTTGTAATCTTGAGCTGATGCTGATGGTTGCCAGACAAGTCAACTGGTAGGTTAAAAGAACAATCACAGTGCTTGGACAGTACTGCACAATTAGAACATAGTCATTTTCATGGGGTTGCAGTCACACACTGAGATGCTTGAGAGCTGTAAATTCCTAGAGCTAGAAAAAGCCCTTTGTGGTTCTAGGTTCTCCCAGCAAATCACTCTGTCTGATGAATAGTCACCAAATAAGTCAAGAACCACCTACACCTGGATTATGCTGCCATTGAATGATGTTCCTTGAAGATCAGGCTACCGTAGACTCTTTCTGCAAAATAGTCACAGATTACACCCTTGCTAAAACTTGAATGGGCTTTTTCTATACATCTTGTGACTTTGCATCTCCTCTTCAATTCCCAACATACAATAGGACCTCCACACCATGGCAAGCCCAAGAAGACAAACTGCAAAACAGAAGCTCTCCCATTGCTTATGGGCCAAAGAAAGGAAGTCATTCCAGTAGTAACTGTTGCCTCCTGGTAAACCCAAACCAACTCTTCTAGTTTCCCCAAATTCTGTAGACTGAAGCTGGCCCACCCAGAGCGGCACCACTAGAGTCTACACATTCTATTAGAAATTCAAGTATAGACAGTATCTTCAACTAGATCAAGCTATTAGATATTAATGTTCAGACAACACCTACCTCACTCCAGACCAGCATGGTACCGAATATGACCTGTAACCCATCAAAGAAATTGTCCCCTATGATGATCACAGTCGCACCTCCCGTCGTCCATCCTTCACTCGGGCTGATGGCTTTGATACAGGGAGTAGCTGCTTTTCAACACACATGAAAAAGAGAAGGAGTCTGCTGTTAGAACCAAACTTTAATGATGAAGACTTGAGAAAAAGGAAAAAAAAAATCTTTTATCTTTTCACTAACAGAAAGTCCCTCAAGATCTCAGCATTTCCCAGCCACATTAGGACCTGAAACTTCAGGGTGCAACTTCAGTTTTTAAAAGCATTCTTTTCATTGTTTCTATTAAGATACATATATTTTACCCAAATCTTTATCAAACCTGAAACTTTATGAAATAAAACACAAAGCAAATTTTAATTTGTGAAATGCTAAGGATTTTTTTCTTATTAAATATGGGTGACTTTCTGGAATATATTGGAAACCTTACAGAATTGCTTCATAGTTAAATATATCTCCTGAAAAGAAAACTTACGTTTTTTTAGATAAACATTACCATCCAATAGGAAACTAAGAAAGAGAGGAGCCTGGAGCGGGAAATGATTCTTGCTCCATGCCTTCTGTCTGAAACACTAACATTGCAACATGTCTCATTAAAAATCATTACGATTTTTTTTCAAATAAATGTCATAGATCCCATTTTACAGATGTGAAGAATGCAGGTCACTCGGGGTGAATTATGTAACCAAATAGCTGAGTCAGGGCTCAACCACAGAGTTTTCCATGACCTTTGCTTTGCTGTCTTTCCCAGGCATAAAACCCTAGAATTGACTTTTTCAAAATTTCATATCTCTTTTCTTTCCATTATAAATGGCCCTTGGAGATGGGAAATAATTTGCAAATACTGTGATTCCAAATAGACTGGAGGTGGTTTGTTTAATGAGCATGGCATACTTTCAACAGAATTGCTGGGCATAAATGTAATTCTTGGATTGTTTTTAAAATCTCTCAGGGTGCACCTTCGTGCCACTGAGGGTTTTTAACTCTACAGTGTCATGCTTCTGTTCTCATGATTATTTTTATGAACAACAAGAAAGCAACATCCTAAAGGGAGATATTGTTCAAGGAGAGAAAATGGGACCCTCATCTTTAATAAAAAGTTTATTAAGTATCCAAGACTGACTTTCTGAGCATTGAAGCCAATGAGAGCACTAGTTAATTTTAACGGGAAAAAACTGGCAAAAAAATATTTGGACTTTGTCAAATTTGGCAAAATGTCATGCTTTAACTTTTGCAAGAAGGAAAGAAAATATTAAGTCCAGCCCGGTGGGACCATTGCTCACGTGCCACCACACAAACAAATAGAATGGGTTTGATTTTGATTCAAATTAATCTTAAAAATTTGCACAGAGAAATTTGGAAATATCCAAACTAAACATTTCATGTTGGCTGAACTCATAGCAATGCATTTACAACTAAAACTGGGCAGTTCAGATGACTTTTCTCTTCTCTACTTTCTCCCAAAAACAAAATAATTAATCAAGAAGATGTAAATGATTCGTGACTTGACATTTCTTGTCTGATTTTTTAACATACATAGAGGTTGTGATCAGTGTTCCACAACTATAGGGCTTTTTCTTAAACAAAAGTGACCTTTAAAAGTAAAAAATGTTTAAATGCATGATTAAGTACTCCCAAACCAGTGGTACCATATGATGTATGATTTGAAGCAAGTTATAAGAGAAATAAACTATATTTAACAACTACATAAAGTTCTAAAAATATATGCAGTTTGGAAACATTTTGTTAATGTCCCCAAATATCAATTCTTAATTTATAACTCAGTCTACTTAGTTGCTAGAATGGAGTACAAAAGGTGTTATGATATCCCTAGTACTTCTGAGAAGAACAGGTTATTGGTTTAACTGAATTGGTCTTGAGAGTCCTGACTGAGTCAAACTGTGGAATCCAATGGGGTCATTAATTGCTGACCCTGAGATTACCCACACAGATCACAAAATGGTCTTTGTGTTTATTATCAGTTTTAGCTTTGGAATTTCTGTTAATTTTTATTTTTTTAATCACACACACATATTTCTTTAGCTAAATACGGTCTCCTGCAGGCTTTCTCATCATTGCACAAAGGGAGGTGGAAGGGGGTGTTTCTGTGTCTTTGAGAAACCCTCCTACAGGAAAGGCCTTAAAATAGCATGGCCAAGACCTGCTGGTTTTGAACTTGACCCCTTCCCTCTTTTTTCCCACTTGTTATACGTAGGATACAGAAGTCACGTGGGTGTACATGCATGCGTGTGTATGTGCTTTCAAACACTTCCCAAGGAAAGTTGCAATGTTTTCAAATACTGTGAGCAATTTTCCAGAAGCAAAGCTATATGTCAATGCCTCAGAGGCAAGAAAGAGCATCAAGCTTCCAGAGATAACCAGGTGAGGAAACAATATTTGACACCATTGTCTTAGTTTTAGAGAAATAAAGCCTTAAAGGAAGTACCCCAGGAAGAATGACACACCCCTCAGTCCCTCCTACCTCTACACTCAGCACCATCCACCATCCCTGCTTCGAGACTATATGCCATTCTTAGAGCAGGTAAGTCATTCAGACCTTTCTAAGTTTAGACCTCTAAGGGTTCCAAAGCTCCTCCTATACATCTGTTATAACATATTAGTCTTGAGGGGAAGCTCTGTGACACCTCCCCACTGACAAATTTCAAAAATATGTAAAGGAATCATGAGCTATCCCAGAGAGAGAGGATGAGGAGGGGAAGCTAGTAGTATTTAGTAACTGGAGGTCAAACTGGGTATAGTGGCTCACACCTGTAAACCCAGCACTTTGGGAAGCCAAGGTGAAAGGATCTCTTGTGGTCAAGAGTTCAAGACTGGCCCAGGCAACACAGTAAGACTCTGTCTCTTGAAAGGTTTTTTAAAAACTAGCCAGGTGCAAGCCTGTCATACTAGCTACTGGGGAGGCTGAGGCAGAAGGATTGCTTGAGCCCAGGAGTTCAAGGCTGCAGTGAGCTATGACTGCACCACTGTACTCCAGACAGAGTGAGACTCTGTCTCTTAAAATAAATAAATAAATTAATTAATTAAATTAAATTAAAGAATGCTAAGTATCCAACAATGCATGAATGCATGGGATAGTCCCCATAAATGAAGAACCCCAACATGTCAATAATGCAATGTAGAAAACCCTGTGACCAGCAAAAGAGAATCAGGCCCAAGAGCTATTGTTAAGAATTCACAGACCCATGTAGACCAAGGCAAGACATACAAACGAATGCAGCAGCTCAGGATCTCAGAACAAGCATGAGATTAATGGCCACTGTTTCTCAACATCTGTAATGCAACGGGAAGGTGCTGGTGAATTGCACGTGCCCCAGGGAAAGGTGACAGCACTGCTCAGCTTCAGCCTTTGGTGACCCCATAAAAATGCAGGCCTAGCATCGTCTGGGTTTCTGGTGATCTTTCCAAAGAAGCCAGGAAGCCACATTTTTATGTCAAATTTTTCAATCTTTCAATGTTGGAAACGAATTCAGTATTTTTTTAATGCGTAGGCCAAACAAAATGTTTGTGGGCTGGCTTTAACTCACAGGCTGCTATTTTACATTTTAACCCTACTCACAACACAACTGCCAGGCTAAAAGAAGACCTGGAAATACTTGCAATTGTGGCTAAAACTATAGGTACCCAAATGTTCATTGCGGTATTGACAGCAAAAAATTCAGATGTCTAGGTGCTCCCAGTAGGGGGTGGTTAAAGAAATTATGGTATATTCACACGATAGAATACTAGGAGTGTCATTAAAATACACAAAACAATTCTATAAACTGATATGGAAAGATTTCAAAATAGGTTAGCAGGTGAAAAAAACAATTTGCAAACTAAAGGACAGTGTAATTAAGTTGATTTTTAAATGATATATATGAACCTGTATATGAACCAGTATGAGTATGCATGCAGTTATATGTGAACAAGTATGATGGACAAAGGCCTGGAAGGAAGGATATGTATAACTGTCCCCAGCAGGTCCTTATAAAAAGAACTAGACTGGGGTTGACAGAAAAGGAGGACTATTAACATTTATTCCCTATATATTTGTATGATTTAAATTTTTTCAATGTGTACAAATAAGGTACTATGTAATAATAATTTAAAAAATTAAGTAGCAGCAGAACATTTAATTCTATGAGAGCAAACAGTTGTACTTTTTAGAGCAAAATTACATTTTAAAAAAGGAAAATAAAACAAACAAAACAGCTGCGCTGACCCTGAGCCTCCCCTTCTCTCCTCATTTTGGATATGTTTTCTCTGAGAAAGCTCAGACAACATGCAAAGCAGCCAAGGACTTGTTTCTTACATTTGGGATACCCAGAGAGAAACAGAGGGGAGACAGGGAAAAATCACTTTTAATAGTCACAGTGGATGGATTCAGTGGAATTTGACTGTGAAAAGATTTATGAAAGAGTTCAATTCAGCACAGGGATGTGATAATCAATACAAGTCTATCTCCAAGCAAATATTATGGAATGTGGGGGCGGTGTTTGAATACAAAACCACTTTTACCAGCAAATTTTTGATTTAATTAATACAAGATTCTTTCTTCCTCTCCAATGAATTTTCACACTCATAAGTATCCGCAAGGCCAGTGACCCAATTTCTGGTTTTAAATCTCATTAAAAATAAAAGTTTAGGGTTAGGGGGTGGGGTTTGCCTCTTTTTTTAAATCCCTTCCCCCACCCCTCACCAGCCACGAAAGTAGAGGAGATTTTCCTTCCTTCAAACTATGACAATAACATGATTACCCTACCACAGTTTAGCATAATGGCTCTGAAATGCTCATGGCACATTGCAGAGTTAAAATGGAAATTATTAGGTAGCTCTTCTTTGTTATAATAATGATCACTCCACAAATAAAAGCTCTTCTCCCAAAGGTACTGCAAGGCACAAAATGCTAATTCTGAAGATTATGTGTGTGCTTTTATTAAATATTACTATGCCCTGCCTGTTTGAGGGCTTCTCTGCTCTGATTGTTTTATGAGTACCATGTTAATGTCATTCCCATCTTGCTAGCAGCAGGCACACATTTTAGCGTTTGTATGAGAGTTGATCAAAGGCCACGTGCTGGGGGAATTGCTGAGAAAACACGGACAAGCGATAAAAATCTAACAGATTAATTGGTTTAAATTTCATTTCAGGGTGTTGAACTTTGGCTCAGGACTCTAATACTACACCGTGAGTCAGGGCCTAATTACCAGATTTCCAATTTGCTTCTTGAACAATGGTCATGGTGAGAAGGAAAAGAGAGGGAAGAATTAAAAAAAAAAAAAAAAGAAAGAAAGAAATCGTTCAGCTCCAGTACGTATTTAACAACTAATGTTCTGTGTGCAGACAACTGCACCAGGGGACATTTGCTATCACCTACTCTATCTCCCGAGCATTTATATTTCCTTCGAACAGCCACAGAAGGCAGAAGAAATCAGAGATGCCCTCGGTAGTTTAAAATTTTCTGATTTACAGAATAAGTGTTACATGATTCAAGTGCCTGCACACTCGCACTGGGAGCATCAGTCTCTTTATTAGCAAGGTGAATTTATAAGCTGGAATCGCACTTCAGCCTCCAATAGAAATGATCTATTTCTTTGATAGAAAGCAAGGGCCAGGAGAGCCATGTTTACCTCGGGTTTTATGGGTAGCCTTGGGAATAAGGGTTAATTGAGCTCAGAGGTGCCTGCCCATTGAGGTGAATTAGTGGTGTGTGCAGCTATCAGCAGGGCCCTAGGGCTGCTCTTATTTTTCCTTCTGAAATCTCTCTGTGCTGTGATCAATACCTCACTTGTTTGGGGTAGCCATATAGATGACCCAGGTTCAGCATTTATCATATCTTATCCCCAAAATGAGGCATTTGTGACAATCGATGTGACATTATGAAAGCCTAATTAGAGATATATTGTTTGGCTTTTTTCTCCATTCCTGTATCTAAATACACTGGAGAAACAACACTCTGTGAGTTGATAAAATGTACAAATTTAGAAATTTTCTAATCTAAATCTAAATCTAAATCTCAAGGTGATATAAGGTTCTTTTCCATTCCCATTACATATGGTGTAGGAAAACGTGCACACTCTCCTTTTCCAGAATTCTATTAACCAGAACTCTCTATTAGTGAGCATTTCTACAAAGCAGACCACTGATGCTTACAGTGGAGGTGAAAATACTGGCACTAGCCTTTACTGGCTTCTGAGTAAAGACAGAAATATGAAATTATGTTAAGTTGATTTTAACATTTGGAGTATGACTGTATTTGAAAATGGGCAAGAGCTCCAGTTGTTCAAATTCCACATCTAGCACCTAGTGCAACCTTGAAACAGTCTCTTACCTTCTTTAAGTTGTAGTTTCCATAAGGGCACTCACCTCACAGAGTTCCAGCAAAATACACAGAAAATGCCTACTTGTGTTTTGTTGCTTTACTATGCACCACATAGTATGCTA
Organism: Homo sapiens; assembly: GCF_000001405.40. Taxonomy (NCBI): domain Eukaryota; kingdom Metazoa; phylum Chordata; class Mammalia; order Primates; family Hominidae; genus Homo; species Homo sapiens. The sequence continues at coordinate 158,802,843 of NC_000005.10, forward strand.
GTTGCTGCTATAATAATTACCATCAGCTCCCCATTAACTAGAGTTTATTTACGAGAATACCCTATACTCTCATCAGTTCAGATTATGTATTTTATTGTAAGACTTTCCTAAGAACTCCCAGTTCAGCTGCTTGCTAACATATCCAACTAAATGTACTGAGTAGGTGGAACTGGCAACAGTCCCTCCAAAGTAGAATGTTTTTTTAAGGATCTCATTTGCCTGGAATGAATATTAATGGGAAACTTTTCAGAAATGAGGAATCGACTTTAATGTTATTGTCCCAAATTTTTGAGACTTGGCAGAAAACATAAAACCCATGAGCTCAGCTCATTTCTACGGGATACTTGTGACCTCGTAAAACTCATGCTTTTCTCCCTTTTATCTCCTTAATTTTGGTGATGTTGTACTTGGGAGAAACGGAGAGACTATTGAGGGCACAAAATATTCCACTTGGACTCAGCGCACAGATATCTCTTCCTCCTGCTCGATCTGAATGCTTGTTTTTGCTGGTGTTTTTTTTTTTTTTTTTTCAGTGAATGATGACCTTCCTGCTCACAGCTCCTTAGCACTACAACCTGCCTTCTTTGATCCTGAAACTAGCAGCTACTGGACAGGCAAGAGGACAAACAGAAGGTTTTCTTCCAGCTGGAAGACTGGACCTCTGTATTTTCACCATGCACAGGAGGCAAATCTATTCTTTGTTTATCCATTCTCCAACTGGATGCTTTAGAAACCAGAAGCAATTAGAATGCCTGACCTGAACCATGGTACCAGAGTATGCAAACTTCACTTTCAGAATGCTAACTCCAAATAAACAAATAAACTCAGCCAATAAACAAACAAACAAATTTGACAGTTTCCTCATGCAAGGTGTAGCAGCCTTTATAACACTTATGCTGTTGCTTTAACTTGTGTTACTAGGGATTTGTTTCTGCCTTACTTTATTTTCTTCAGTAATTGCATTATGCAGTTAAGCATTTTATTGTTTATTAGGGTTTTTATTTCATTTTGTTATTTGTCTGCATTTATTGTCCTGTCCACTAGCATATCTAGATAATACTTGGCAAAGATTCATGTATTATATATGAAAAAGAGTCGTGTGTGTGTCTGTGTGTGTGTGTGTGTGTGTGTGTGTGTGTGATGTTTGTCACTTTAAGGAGAAATGTAACCCATGATACAGAGATCTCTCCATACTAGATGCAATTAAACCTATTAAATATTAAATGAGGAGATTGAGAATTTCAAGTGATTTTCATCCTTTATTCCAAAGTGACTTCATTTGGCAAGAATGCCCTTTGCTTTGACAGCATTAATGGCTCTCGCAGAAAAGAAGAAAAGGAAAAATTCACAGGCACTATTTGGAAATGTAGCTCCAATGTCCATCTACATTAAGGCAGTGTTAGCTTAGTGGTGAATATCTAGATGTACCTAAACTTAGCAAAATAGTGTCTAAGTTCCAATTTATGCCATTTGCTAATTATAGACTAAGCCCAAATTATATTCTCTTCCTATTTTGCAGCTTTCTTATTTTATTCTGAATTAGCAAAATTTTTCAACAATCAATGGACATAGCACCTGAGCAAGGGAAGGACAAAAATGCTGGTGCAACAACTGTAATCCAAAACATTCCAGGGCAAGCGCTTTTGGATTCCTGAGTTTGTCTGTCGGAGATCTGGAACTGTGTGCAGGTTCATTACACGGGGTTATTTGACAATTTAGCAGTAAGAAATCTTGACATTTTGATGTACCTGTAACTTCTAAATTGCACTTGAAAGACTTGTTGAAGGCTTTTTGATTTAATGACACACAACATAGCATTGTTTCATAATATGCAAAAATTGTTTGTTAACTACACTGCAGCTCAGAATTTTATAACTCAAGGTGTGACTACACTGTTTTCCACCTCATGTTTGATCTGCCAAATCCAAAATTAAAATGTACAAAATATTAATCCTAGAGCAGCCAAAGGCAAATATTGTCATCAGTTCTTTGGGTTTCTTTCCCACCTCTTATTCTATGACTGTCAGTCACTCCATTGCAAAGCAATGGGGAAAAATTGTCATGGAGGGTAAGAGAATTTTCAAAATGAATTATTCATGGATCCAATTGTGATATTTGTTGCAACAATAGTACATTCACGTGCCTCTGATTATACAATAAGTAAATAACTCTCTTCATCCTGACAAGGAGAACTTTTATGCACAAAATTATTTTTAGTCCAATTCTCCTTATTGTCCTGTTGTAAGAAAAGTTTGGGAAATGAAAGCCAAGGGGAAAAAAGGAAATGAAAATAACCTTCCAAAAATGGACACCCAATATTGTGAAAAGGGGAAACAATTTTCAGGTTAAAAAAATATGCAACTGCTTCTTCAAGGACTATTTAAGTCTTTATTCACAAGCAGTCTTCCTGGGCCTGGAAAATCATAAAGCCAAATATGAGCAAGTCTAGTGGAAAATCTGTGACGCTAATCTTGGCTGGAGTCGTATTTTTAACAGGCCTTGAATGTGTGTGCCGGATTATCCAGATGGCCATACAGGAATCGGCCTGATAGGATTAAACCTTTATGCTGAACTCTGCTCCATCTGTTCGCCAAGGTTTGCCTTTCCTTATCTGAATATGAATTTTTAGCCTCCTTATGTCTGGAGGCAGGACCAAATTCAGCAATAAAAACATAGATGCGTGCAGATAATTTAGCATTTCATTAGTTACTCTCAGTTCATATTACCTTGGTCTTTTTCTAGGAAATGTTTTTGCTATGAATTTTGCTAAGAAGAAATTTTAAAACATGTAGAATCTACTTTTTTGTTAGAGGGTTTTGTCTTTCTCTTCCTATTGAATTCTAGGAATCATTCAATTCACTATTGTAATAGGAGTTTACGTTGATGTTTGCCCACAAAGATAAAAAAGATATGGTATCCTCTTAGCAGAATTTGACTGTAAGATTAGATGATGTATAATTCCAATTGGATGAATGATCCAAGCAGAAGATAGTCACATGTGTTTTCTTCTTTTTTTTTCTATTACAAGAGGATCGGTAATAGTCATCACTTAACAAAATTAGCTACAACACTGTTTCTATCATTTTCATTAAGATTTCTATGTTTTAAGGAGGCATGTTTTTTTTTGCTGGGGCAGGGGTATGGGTGTGGGAGCAGAAGCTATAATTTGAGCTTAAACTGGAGTGAAAAAAGCAGACATCTGTTTTGTCCTCCATGTATATATCCCTAGAAGCAGTGAAGTCATTTATTGATCAACTGGAAAAGTTGGCTTATGGCAGGCAGGTTTCAGGAAAAAGGCCAGTGGGTTGCCATTAAGCCAGAGCTTGGTAGATGGCTCTGGGTTTCAACTCTATGACAAAGACAAATGGAGGGCTCTGACTACCAGGCACGGTGGAGAGGGCCAGTGACAAGTTTCCCAGGCAAACAAGGTGCGAACGAAAGAAAAAGTTGCATGAGAGAGGGATCTTTTAGAATCCTACTTGTGAGCTGGTTTATAGCAACATGATCATTAGATGTGCTCAGTGTGTTCACGATGGAAATCTCAAGAGATGGCAGCCTGTGTGCCCTTGGCCCTAAGAAGAGAGGATCCCTCCAGCAGTCTAGCAGGATTCCACAGGCTTCCTTCTCACAGTACCCTCACTCACCCTGGCTCTTGGCTCTATGCTGTCGTGAATGTGGGAGTCAAGCAGCTCATCAAATAATGTAGGCTTTTCCACTCACAAGTACAGTTATTATACTTAAGTAGTACCCTTAACTGAACATTTAGGGGACAGAGAACAGTCAGACTTCCTATTTAAGCTTAAGATGACTTACACTTATTGCTATGAATGTGCACATAAACATTTTGTAAAACACATGTCTTAGGCTCCTGAAATTGACAACAATTCTAGCCAGGTAGTGGTTCCCACTTTGGAAGTAGATGCCCCTAGGTGATGAAGCCTATTATAAGTCATCTCTTGTAAGATGGGCAAGTTCACACACACAACCCTACTGTCTATCTTCCACATTCTATCCTAAATGAGGACAGCTGACTGGATGTTTGATCCCATTACTCAATCTGCTTTTGCTTTGCCCATTACAGTAGCCACTAGCTACACGCAGCTATTTACATTTAATTTTCAATTAATTAATATGAAATACAAATTATTTCCTCAGTCATACCAGCCACATTTCAAGTAGTCAATAGTTATAGTGGCTAGTAGCTATCATATTGGACAGCACAGAGATAGGACACTTCCATCATCACAGGAAGTTCAATTGGATACCGCTGATCTCAGGATCAAGTTTTCATAACTCAGCCTATAACTGATAAAGACTAATCAGAGCTACAATATAGGGGGTGCCCTCCATAGACTAGGAACTGTGCTAGGAACAACGATTAATCTCCAATCCCTCCAATGAGGAGCACAAAATCAAATGCTCACAGGGCTAGGCAGGAAGGTAAGTCAATGAAATGGGATGAGGAGATGCAATGGGATTGGTGGGGATTGTGGCTAAATGTAGAGTATGTGCTTCATCCAAAAGGAAGATGATTTCTGAGTTTTCCCTACCCGTTGCCATTTGAGAATGTGGATCCAGCACTACCAGCTCTTCTGATTATAAAAGACATTAGTAAATCCAGGTTTTCATATAATCTCTCTATCTTCAATTGCCAGCAACTAATACATAATTTCTGAAGGTGCCATGCAACCCAAACATAAATATGGCTGAAGGCTGGATTCAGTTCATGATCTACCACTGTGCAACTTATATAAATCCTCAGAGGGCTCAGAGTCATCTTTTACTGATTATTAATTTCTGCAATCATTGAACTAATACTGTCACTGACTTACCAAACAATAAACATAATCATGGCCAATTCTGCTCCTGATCTTTACGTCTTCTCCCAAAACACACGGAAGTCCCCCAGTTGGCCTTTCTTTGCTATGCAGAAGATTTTCTATACGCAGTTTGAGAGATGAGCTCCTGTTCCTGAAGGATTTTTATTGTCATGCAAGACAGCATAGATAGTGACTTTTTAAGAAAACCATGTTTTGAATGTGAGCAGCATTTTGAAACCAACCTTGCCCAACCTTTAATAATGCACAAGTCCTGCTTTGTGCTTTTCGGAATAGTTCTGCTTATATTTCTCTCCACAACCGAGGCTGCCATTGCTAACATATTTCAGTGAACTTTCATTATTCAGAGCCTTATCATTTTGAGCCAGTTTCCTCTCCTCCCTGACACATTTAGTGACACTGCAATCCAGCGTTTGTTACAGCACAGATGTTTCCGTGGTGATGATCTGTGATGTCATAAGCACAGGAATATGTATCATTGACTTTGCCCACATAAGCCATGCAAAGAATGGGAAGTCCACTTTCATCTCAACTCTATGATGTACTGACTCAACTTCCTCAAAAATTACTCTTTGGGGTCTGGGCTGTTCTGTCTGGACATCAAAGAGCAAATACTCGCACTTGCCTGTTTGTGATTCATTTCTACTACATAATTATTAGTTATATGCAAAGTCCAGTCTACCTATCAAAACCCAGATTAACCTTCCTCAAATACCAGCTTTCAAAACTTAGCCAGCGGGATCAAGTCCACCCTCATGAGTCTGGCCCATTCTCCCTTTCTAGCCTCATTTTCAGCCTCAGCAGCAGTTAAGAGCACCAGCTCTGGATTCAGGGGGCCTCAGCTAGCCCACATTTCAGCTTCACCATTTACCAGCTTGGGCAAATTACTTCACTTTTTGAAATCCTCAGTTTCTACCACTTTAATTGAGGACAATAATTATAAGACAGCCCACCTCATAGGATTGTTGTAAGGTTTGAATGAGTTAATCTATGTGAAGAGTTCAGTACAGAGTGGGCAAAAATTGTGAGATGATGACGAAGAGGAGGAGGAAGAAGAGAAGTTGCTGTAGGAGAAGGAGAAGGAAAATAGGGAAGAAGAAAAGAAAGATGGTAATGACCAGCTTCCCAAATCCACTGTCTCCAAACATCCTTTGCATGTTCCCAGCATATTTTTTTATGAAAGATATACCACTTACTTCCATCACCCAAACAGTTACTTGCCAAAAAGATCCATCTTTTGCATGAAGGTGTCTCTTTCTATCCCAGTCTACAAAACACTAACCCTTTAGTGAACTCTTCCTATCTTTCCCATTTATTATTTACTGCACTTTTCCTTGAACTCATCTTGATATATGCATGTGTTTATAGCTGGGCATGTATATACATAGGCAAATCACCCCAACTAGTCAACGCATCCCTTGCAGACAGGGACCTCATTCATTTACAAACTGGGTAGACAGTACTCTGCACTCAACCCATACCTGACAATTAACTAGCATTGTTAAGTTTTTAAAGGGTTTTACCATACATTATCTTAATTATTCTTTATATCAACCTTGAGCAGTAGGCAAACAGACCATGTTCCTCATTCCACTTTACAAATGACATAGCTGAATCTCAGGGATTCAACTGGACTTGAGACTTTGAGAATCCATGTTGATTGATATAGTCAAATGTTTAAAACACCCAAACTACGCTTCAACTTTGGTGTTTATCTGAAATTTCTGTTCAGTTTGGCTAAAATATTCACTTCAATCATACAAATACAGCCAAAGTCCCATAAAATCTTAAGTTGTGCAATTTCTTATCCCCAAGATAGAGGGTGGATATTTATTAACTTTACAGAATATTACTACTCTATTTCCAAGTAAAGTTATTTTCCCCCTAAGACTCAGACCCACATATGAATTACAGTAAAATCTCTCTCCACCTTCTTCTATTTCCAAGTTCAGAAAATGGCATCCTAATATAATAGCACAGGTGCCAATTTAAATACAGGAACATTGAAAATACTGCCAAACTTCCAGGCTTAGAAGCTTTTCTGTTGTTACATGTTGGGCTGCTAAACACACACTGAGTCTGAACATCTAACACAAACGATAGCAACACTATGAGAAACATTTTTAAAGTATCAGGCAGTTCCTTTTAACTTTCATTTTTAATCTGGACATTGTCCATTCCAATGGTCTTCACTATAGAATGTTGCACGTATCATGAAAATAATAACAATTTACTAACAAATAGACTATTCTAAAATAGTACCTTAATAACACTTTCCCCCAACTCTCTTTTTCTTTTAAACAGCAAAGATTGGATTCCACAGGCCTTTAGCTAACCAAATCAAGGAGAGTTTCTAGGATTCTGCCAAAGTTGAAAGGTAGAGGAATATGAGGTTTGACTTTATAGATTTGTTGCACATAATAGTTACTGGAAAAGCACAGCTGGTTTGATGATTCCGCCAGAAGATTTTGGCAAAGAAAGACCAAAGATATATTTTCTTCCTCTATCAAGAAATGATCCAATACATTGGAACTGGCTGGGATATATCCCCCTCACCCACCAGCCCACGGATAATACACCCAACAGCATTTGCCTCAGGCCCAGCACATAGTAGGTGCTCAGTATCTGTTGGCTTCTCCAGCTATGTTCAAAAGAGAAACAGATAAAAAACAATGAAGAATTAAAGATCTCAATTTGTACCAACTACGTTCATTTTAATTATCATTCTTCTAAATAGTAGCCCAAGTACATTGCTCTCTGTTCATATTCAACATTTGCACTATCTTGAAATTTTTATTACTTTGCCCCAAGGACGATGAAAGAAACTGAAGGGTTGAGAAGAGGCCTCAAATCTGACACTGTCTGTGTCCCTGTTCCCTGGGTCCCCTGCTGCATTTCTCCCCAGAACTGTGGATGAAAAATGTGGGTTTGAACAACTGGTATCCTGCTGATTGCAACTGTCAATTAAATAAGCCAGCAACACAGGAGCATATGTTCGCATATAAAATATTGATTAATTTCACAGATTGGGATAAAAATATATTAGTACTTGGGTTCTGCTTTCATGCTTAGCGTTCAGATATGCACTCAGTCCATTCAGATCTATTTCTGCACCCTGTGGGCTCAAGAGTGTTACTTTTGTGTTTCGCTTTTCTTATCTTTCTCTGGTTGCCCATGTTAGTGCTTCTGTTATAACTGACCAGCAGCATACGTTTAAGCAGGATTTTAATTACTAGGTCATCTCCCAGCCGACTTGCCCACGGCAGGCCGGCAGAAAAGCCACAATCCTGCAATCCATGCTTCAGATTTTCTCTTGTGTCCCTCCAGGTAAATCTCTTTTTTTTGAGGATGCTAAAATCATGCTGATGGCATCATATTCATCTGATAACAATGATGACCACCTAATTTCTATAAAGTATCATTTCTGTCCACTGAGTATTTCAAGTTGCAGGGCTGGCACAGGGAGTTTGAGATGGGGTGCCTGATAGTGTGACGTGATACCAGGACTTTTTATCTTAACCCAGAAAAGCACCTTCCCATATATCACTGCACATGCCAACTAACTTACCCTTGGGATTTAGCATAGATCTGGCTTTTCAATTTGCCTTTGAGTAATGTCGTCAATTTGTTTCAATTGAAGCAAGTATTATATTACATGCTCAAATAGCAGGAGAATTTCTCTCCACGTCTGAAGTCCAATGTGGAGGGGAGGTTAGCACTGACTAAACAATAAGAAAAAACAGTGGTGAGGACCCCTGTGTCAACTACTTGGAGATTCAAAAGCTGCAGATAAAAACCTAACTTTGGCCACGACCAAATCCTTAAAGGATGGCCTCAGTTTCCCAAATGTGTTTAGTAAAACTAATAATACTAGTGCCCTCCCATGGCTGTTAAGAGCATTAAAAGAGATCATACAAAGTGCTCAGCACTGAACTTGATGCAGAGAAAGTACTTAACAACCGCTATCGTAACAGTAAGGCCATGATCACCCAAAACACTGCTCTAAATGCTACCATTTTATGGACACTGAGTTCTGTTAGCTCATGATTAAGAAACTGCAATGGAACCACATCTCAAAGTCAAAGAGTAAACAACCTATGGAAATTTTCCAAGTTTAGTTTCTCAAAAATGGATCTCAGACCTAACCTACCTTCCCTATTTGCCCTCCCTACAGCTTCTAATGTTTTATCCCCACGTGGAATTTTGAATATGTGTTCCCCTCTCCTGTTCATTCTCATTGAAAATTTTAAAAGTTTCCCTGATTCTTCAGACTTGGCTGAGTCCCCCAGTTCTAAGCTCTCTTAGGAGTCTGTATTTGTACCTTATAGCACTTAACCATCATTGCAGTTTAAATCATTCCGTGTGCCATTATTTGTCTAATATCGGCACATAAATACTTACACTCATGTGACAGTCTACGTCATAATGCTAACAACTGTCCCTGCCTTATCACCTCTGTAGCCCTATTGTCTGATATAATTGGCAGTCAGTCAATAAACATGTGTTAGTGTTAAATAGATGAATGATTGAATGAATAAGCAAATGAACTAAAGAGGAATCACTGGTGTTATTAAGATGTTAAGGAACTAAACAGAGTAGCTGAAAAGTTAAGAATTCTTCCAAAAGTTATTAACAATTGCCACTACACCCACAATGGGCTTCTTAGGTTGACAACTGGTGGCTACGTGGAGTCCCATTTCCTGGGTCGACCTAGCCCCCATTTCAGCAGCAGGCACTCTATTCTCTTGGGGGTTAAAATTAGCACCAGTAAGCTCCCCCTTTAGTGGGCTCTAATCATGCAAGGACCCAGGTGGATCTTGCTGACAGATGTTAAGGTTAGAAGGAAGGGTAGCAGCCAGATGAGAAAACAGAGCCACCCCCTTCCGGAGGTACCAGGACTTCCTGCCTTTAGACCCGGTGGTTCCTGCCTGCCTGCCCCTCCCCCATGCATCAGTTTCAACACAGTTGCTGCTCTTTCTGTCATCTGAACTCAAATTCTATCTCAGAAATTGATGGGCGATCCTGCCCTTGACAACACAATGTCAGCCTTGCTCAGTGTCCAGCTGGTTCCGTATGTATTATCATAATGCGCTGCCTGGGTGGACCCTGGCTGATTTTCTCTCCTGATGCAAGTCCTCTTTCCAAACTAATTTCTGCTCTCTGACATGCAGACCCTACTTGTTTAAAAATAAAAAAACAGCAGCTTGGGAGTTTTATTTTTTAAAATCCTGTTAGGATATTTAAGTCTATTCTAACAGTAAACTGAGCCTAAAGGACTTTCTTTTAAAAATGATTTGACTCAAAAAAAGAATGTTTCCCAGGGTCCTACACTGTTTCCTGGTGACTTGAAAGAATTATTACTTCCCCCAACCCTTACAGCCCTCTCTAACAGCATTTCCCAAACTTCAGTCCTGATTTTCCTCTATCCCTGTACCACTTACACTATTATTTACTTAATAGTATTTAGCTGCTATGTTTGTTTAGATCAACTTTTTCTTTAACTTTAGTCTTGCCCTAAGCAATAATAGCTGTGAGATCATGATTTTGAAGTTGGAGTTATTGTTTTGTTTACGCATTAACATAAACACACAACCATTAAAAATGTTTAAATGTTTATCCTCCATTTTCTAAAATTATCTCACCTACTGCATGGGAAATAGTGGTCTGAAAGCTCACTGCAAACTATCAAGCCGCTTGTACACAACACCTTCCCAGCTGAAGAAATCCAGGGAGAAGAATGCAGGGTGAGAGCTACCTAAGGCACAATGGCTATGTATGCCACATTTCTATGGCTTTTCCAGGCCTCCTAGAACCAACTGTTAACCTCCTGCAGAGATGGCCAAGGTGGAGGGAAATTGGATCCTTTCACCTGGGCATTTTGGTAGCCACTTTTCCAAGGCTGCAGGTGTGTAGCCCCTCAAGACATAAAAGAACCTCTCACAGAATTAGCTGGGTTCAAAAAACAAATCATCAGAGCTTGAAGGGCTCTTCCAAGACCCACCTTAATTGATGAGGAAACAGAGGCCCAGAGAAATCAAAGTACATACTCAAAGTCATGTAGTAAGGTAGTGGCAGAGCTTGGTTTTAATTTATTTCTGCACATATAACTGAAAATGGTCAAACAAAAATATTTCAAAATCAACCCCTGGCCACTGCTTCTAAATATCTCATCTTAAGAAGGGTTTATGAACAGCACATCAAAGCTTCCACTTGCCCATAAACATCATTTGAAGCCTCTGAAATTCTCAAGTGAGGGGAGCTCCTGTGACAGATAAGTATAGAGACAGCTTGGTTTGAAACAATCAATTAGGCAAATCAATGCAATTGGAATTATGATGCTTTTGTAACCAAATATAAGACAAAAAAAATTAGGCTTAAAAAAGTTCTGACCAGGCTGGCTCATACCTGTAATGCCAGCACTTTGGGAGACCAAGGGGATGTAATTGCTTAAGCCCGGGCATTGAAGACCAGCCTGAGCAACATAGGAACCCTGTCTCTACAAAATCAAAATAATTAGCCTGATGTGATGGAGTGCACCTGTAGTCCCAGCTACTTGGGAAGCTGAGGTGAGAGGATAGCTTGAGTGCAGGAGTTTGAGGCTAAAGTGAGCTATGATTGCACCACTGCACTTCATAGCCTGGGCAACAGAGCAAGGCCCTGTCTCATTAAAAAAAAAGTTTTTACATAAAGTCCTGTCATTTCTGGCCAAAATATAAGTAGAAAGCAACAATCTTTCCTCCCCAAATCTCCCCTACAACACACAACACACCACACTTTGTGCTTATTAAAATTAGTAAGGTGTGACTCACTCATTTATTAGCTCAACCAACCAAATACTGGAAATTTCCCACAGTTTACAGGTTTGTCAAGAAATTCATATAAGAAACTAGCCTCCCTATATCCAAATCGGTTTCCCATGTTATTTCTAGCATGAGGTTTACAAACTCTTCAGTATCCTAACGGTTGTTTAACTCATCATCTCATCATTTTCTCATGGACTCCTTCCTCCACACCTTGTACACGTGCCAGAGAGCCCATATGGTCAACAAATGATTTCTAGGGAGATGAGTTAGGACATTCTTGCAAATAAATAAAATATTACCAGCATCCTTATTATCTTGCCAGCCCCACAGAAAATATACTAGTCATCGAATAAAATCAGCATTTTTTAAAATTCAACTAGCAGAATGTGTCCCAGCCATGGGAAAAATTTCCTTCAGGTTTCTGAAGGAAAATCAACTATAAAGTAAATATACATGATGTGCCCCATTTTTTAAAAAGATATGCTCTGGGCTAACTTTTGAAAAGTCTGTTGAAGATACCAGCACAATTGCCTTGCTTGTGTTAAGAAAAAAATAAGAACAATAGGATAGGAGATGGAAGGAATTTCTCATACTGTAATGTAACAGAGCAGTAGATTAGAGTGCAGACTTCAGCATCAAGCTTCCTGGATTTGAACCCTGGGTCTACTACTTAATTGCTGTGTGACTTTAGGCTAGTTATTGACCCTCTCTTTAGCCTTGGTTTTCTCCTCTTTACAACAGGGTACTTATAGCACTCTGTGCCTGTCATAGTAGGGCTCAGGGAATGTTTATTGTTATTATTCTTAGCACTGTTATTAGGCAGACCTAAGGTCAAATTCCAGGTCCAATTCTAATTAGTTCTGCAGCTTTGAGTAAGTTATTGATTCTTTCTAAACCTCAGTTTTCTCATCTGTAAAATGGTGATAATAATTATTATATATCATGAGATTTGTTGGAAGACTTGATGAGATGATAAGTAAAATAGTTAGCATGGTGCTGGCATATATAGTAAATGATCCATAAATGCTAATAGTTTAAAAAAACAACAATAGTGGTAGTAAATAATAATAGAGTAATAAATATTATTACCTGGCCTGGTTACTGTCAAGTATGGCAAAAAAGTCTGAGCACTATTTCTCATTTGTTATCAGTGCTATTGGTGGTGCCATGGTCAAATGAGCAGAACATAGATCACCTGCTCATGAACCCTTCAGTCTGTCTGATGCTGAGATCCTGCTGGCTACCATATCCCCAGTGTTAGGATTTCCGGTGTTACCTGCTTTATGAATTACTCAGGGAATACACTGGAAATCAGTCTTCACTCACATCGTTGTGCATTATCTTGACCACTTACCACATCCTTTCTATTTCAAGGAAAGACAAAAGGCATCTTCTCAACTGCACAAAGTAAAAGCCCTGATTTGATACCTGAAAATCTGGGGTCTCAGTGCTCTATTTTATGACACAGCTGGATATTCTTAGCCCTAATGTTTTGCTCTTACACCTGTCTTCTTTTCTCAAATAGGGAAATCAATTGGTAAATTGTAACATGCCACCCTCAGTCACAAAAGATGACACCAATATTTTTCTACTTAGCCTGGGCCCTTCACCAAGATGATCTTGCCTTAGTGGGCTTGGCTGGGATTCTGCATCAAAACTAGCCACAGAAGGGCTGTTGGCTATGTGGGAAGCTATGCATCATCCATCATCTGCCCTTGAATGTACATTTCTGTCAGGAAGCTGGATTTATTTTACAGACATTCTTCTCAGCATCCTGGGAATCCCAGAAAGACTGGAGGCAAGGCTAGGCCAATATGAAATGGATAGGCATTGGGGTGGACCCCAAATCCTCTGGCATGTTTATCCAGTGACCAGGAAACTATGCAAACCCTGAAATGCACATGGACAAGTACAAAGAGTGCTGAATGGATTTTGAGAGAAACAAGCTATGTTTAAGCTTGAGCAGATTATATCCCCTCTCTGGGTCTCTGTAAAATGAGGAAGAGTGAAAGAAATGACCTTCCATCCTTCACTGACTTCACTCAGTGTGAGCTGTGGCTCAGGCATTGCCCCTGGTGGGAGGGGAGAGAGAAATTTGGGAGGGTATATTTTTCTCTGTTGTTTTAGTTTATTTTCACTCACTAAGTTTTGGTGGGGTAATATACATTTTAATGGGTCAAATAATGCAGCAGTCCTCTACTCTAAAGACCATGAAAAGGTGAGGGTCTCCACAAATTTAAAAAGATGCCAAAAGGTACACTCTTTCTAAGCCACTTACGAAAAACTAAATCAATAATACGAAGCCATCTGAAAAAAAAAGAGGAGAAAGGACTCTTAAAATGTTTGACTTTCTATGAAGAACACATGCCCTATTGATACAATAAGGAGTAATTAGGGGGACAGCTCCAAAGCACAGCCAACTCCCTGGTGAGTTTCCAAAGTCCAGCAGCGAAGAGCAAAGTTATAAGTAGGTCTGAGCAAACTTGCCCTGGGCTTTCACCGGATCTGAGGAGCCCATGTAATTGAAACTGAGTTCATCAAAGCCCTGCTTGACCTCCTCCCCACTTCGCAATTGCCACCAAGACCATGGCCTGACCAGCCCACTTTGGCCTGCATGATGTAGCCCTCACAGCCACCCTAGTCTCATCTCCTGCCACTCCTCCCTTGCCTGGGCGCAACAGGAGCCCTCTCAGTCTCCTTTTGTTCCTGGAATTCACCTAAGCAAAACAACCCTTGCACACAGTTTCCTATACCTGGCAATTTTTTTTTTTGTCCCCTTTGCCTAGTGCTATGGTTTGAATAGATGAATGGTTCAATGTCCCTACTAAAATTCATGTTGAAATGTAATTGCAGTTTCAACAGTATTACGAGGTAGGACCTTTAAGAAGTGATTAGGTCATGGGGGCTCTACCTTCCTGAACAAACTAATTCCATTATTGTGGGAGTGGGTTAGTTATAAAAGTGAGCTCTCTTCACCCACACTTGCTTGCCTTTTCACCTTTCCACAATAGGATGATGCAGCCTGGAAGCCCTCACCAGTGCTGGCATCATGCCCTTGGACTTCCCAGCCTCCAGAACCGTAAGACATAAACTCCTTTTCCTCAAAAATTACCCAGTCTGTTAAAGCAACAGAAAACAGACTAAGACACCTAGTAAAAACCTACTCATCTCTTCGGTTTTGGCATAAATGAGATTTCCTGAAACAAGGCTTCCCTGACACTTCATTACTCTCCTCTGCTTTTGTGGTCCCCCTTTGATGCACCACTCTAATTTTGCTTAGTACCTCTCCTCTCTATTCACATCATATATTCTGTGAAGACAAGGACTGAGTCTGCATTATCCTACTGCACCTAGCTTAATGTCTGGCATGTAGTGCCTGCTTAGTATGAATGAGCGATTTCAAGTCCACCTTATTGACACCTTATCCCTTGGCTGGAGATCCAGAGGAAGGGTTCTATTAGAAAATGCCAGTGGATTTCTCTGTTCCCAGGAAGCTCTATTTCTCCAAAGTCACCTCCTGCAGAAAGTCATGTGCCAATAGCTTTAGTTCAGAGCACCATAAAATAGTACATGCTAAAAGGAAGCCTAGAGAGGACCCCACCTGGCTCTCACTGGACATACAAAACTGAGGCCCACAGAAGCAAAGTGACCTTCCCAGGGCCACTTCAGCCAGAGAGCCTGATCCTCCTTCTATCCTCTTGTTAGGACCATATTATACAGAAGGGAAAAGAGACAGGCTCAATTTGAGGTAGTCTCTCCAAGCTCAAACCATCTTTCTCCACATTTCCGTAAAAACATGAAAACAAACAAACAAAAAAACCAAACAAATGAAAAACACATTTAAATGCAGCTGGTCACAGGAAGTCAATGGTGCTGGACACCCAGGGGCAACTGACAGAAGCAAAAACTGCCTCTGTCTGGATCAAAAGGATTATAGAAGGTCATATGCTAAAGATCAAGAACACCACCATATTGTCAGGGACAGTTGTAATGTGACACTGCAACCAAAAGGTCAGAATTCACTGGTGGTGGTGAACACCTGACTCTATTTCTCCAAAGCTATAATTACAGCCAGGAGATGGGCCCAGTGAGTCTATCATCAGTATTTATTCTTCAAAATACTTTGAGTGTGACCAAACTCCACTATTGTTTTTATTTATCTTGAAATCTTGGCACATTTATGTTTTATGTTGCAGTCTTTATTATAACTTTGAAGGGAAATTTAATTGATTTGTATCTGATGCCCACAAAAGCTAAATTTCAATCATTTTCCATTTTTAAAAACTGAGTATGTTTTAAAGAATCTATCTTCAATCTAAAAAAATAAGTAGGACCCCAGGTCAGAGCTCATGAACACTAACATGTTTATATTCTAAAAACTCTTGACTAATAGTTCCATTGTTTTTTTTTCCAAATAAATATGAAGGATGCACATATTCAAAACAATAACAAAAAAAAAAAAAACTAGATCTAAAGAATACCCTACTGGGGACTTAATCCCACTCCTGGAAATGGCTCCTACTGGTGGGTGAGCTCTAGAACGTGCTCACATTTCTCTAGTCACCATGGAGGAGGCAAGTCCTCCAAAAGCCCAAAAAGGGGAGAAGGGAAAGAAAAAGAAGAGAGGAAAGGAGAAAAACACATGCACACCAAAATAAAAAAATACATATATCCCCTTTAAAAAAATGAGCATTTAAACTGCTTGTCAGATGGTTTCCTGACAAAGCCACTAGAGTGTATTCACAGGCATTTGCATAAATGCTGCCTGTGAGTTCACCATAGCTGCAAGCGCTAATGGTACATAAAGTAATTTAGTCACTTCTCCCGGCATTCTATGTCAGAATGATGAGCACGGGCACTTTGCCTTGTTGCATATTAGATCATTAGATAATAAAGTGTTAGCGCATGCAAGCTGACAGGGGCTCTGCACCACAGTGTTGTGAGGGCACCGCATTTTGCCACAGGGGGAAGAAACAGAGAAACTGATGCCACAGTTGGCCTTGAATTCAAGTAAACACAACCTGGAACTCAGGGGAACAACAATGCCAATAGCAACACTCCTCAGGCCCCTCAATGACTCCCCAGAACACAGTCTTCATGAACTTGCCCAAATGACTGGAAGACAAGGCAAGTACACAGGGTAGCGCTGAACATAGCCTTGTGGCAGCCACTCAGCTCCTTTCATCCCGAGCTCATGCTTTTTCAAAAATTGGAACTGAGAGAGCAGTTACATTTTGAGGCTGCCTGTCTCCACGACTGTACATCTTCCATAAAGCTATTGCTTAAAGAAGAAACCTCACTAGGCTAAATGGTCCCATAAATATCCAGCCAAAGAAAATCTTGGTATTTATGAATGAAGAGAAAGTACGGGGGAAGACCATTTTCCACGATCTATAGCATGCCAGGATTCACTATCTTTGGACCATGCAAGAGTCTATGAAATAAATTTGCCTTTGTCAACTCTCATACTTGAATTACAGGGTCATTTATCAGAGCACAGGGGTTTGCGAGTCCATGGGTCACATAAGAAAGCCCATGCATGAATGTAAAGCACGATCTCTGTCTCTACTTATACACAGAAAGGTGAGCCACAAAAGGAAACTTCCTCCAACAGTCTGACAAGCAGGATATAAATAGAGATTTGCAGAATAGCCCAAAATAATTCAGGCTACCTGTAAATTAGATGGTAAAAAGTCCAGAATGGGGGAGAACGTAGGTTCCCACAGGTCACAAGAGGAGAACATGCTTTGCCGTCTCACCATGCGGTAGCTGTTTGAAGGCGGTGGGGGGTGGGAGCGGAGACACAGAGGGATGAGGGTGTATGATTCTCAAAGTCTTTTAAACAGAGCATTTTGAAATAGGACTTTTCAACAGCAAAATAAAGTATTACCCTCACATCAACATGAATTAGCATCTAGGTCCACTCCCACACATTACCAATGAAAGAGTTCAATAGTCATCCTTTGCTGAGTAGATATTTATGTGTCAGCCTGAAGTGTCTAAATGAGTGGGTGGTTTTGTGTGGTTGGTTGACTCACTCTGCAGAGAAGCAGATTTCTATGCTATTGTCATTACTAAGAATTTGAACATGTCTACCCTTTCTTTCCACTGGAGAGAAGTGAAATAAGGCTTCGGTGAAGGCAAAGCCCCTTGCTGAAGGAAATAGGACATACCTATGTCCCCAAGGATGGCCAACCACTTACACAGTGAAATGTCACCATTTTTTGAAAAATATAGTAATATGGCCATCTGTGGACTCATAAACTGAAGCAGGTGAATAAAATGCTGACTTTAAAACTTAGAATAATATGACACCCCAACTGAAATATTAACACTCTTAGAAGAGGGAATATCTGAGCTGGGAGGAAGCTTAGAGCTGTGTTGATCCAGAGGTCTCAAACTGTTGACCTGTGGCTGCATTCTTCCTAAGTGGCTTTTTTCCCCCTCTCCTCCCTTCAGTGTCCAAAAATTTTGTAATTAGTTACCAACAATTAAAAATTCACTGTTGCCAAACTGGAACATCTGGCCCCACTTGGGCTCTCATTCCCCTTAGCAACAACTGGCTGGGGCCGAGGGGCACCAGAGCGTGTACTTGCCTGTCTTCTCAGCCTCCACCCAGCCCACTTCCCTATCTACATTACCTGCCCCCACCCAAAGCACAGATTTTTTTTTAAACTCTCCTACAGATCATCACCTTCATTTTAACAAGGAGGAAATCAAGGATCCCAAAAGCTAAAGCGATTTGTCCAAGGTCAAATAGAGGCCAGAGTGAAACTAAATTGAATTTGGGGTTCCTGGTACCTATTTCAAGACCTAGTCCTTTATCATGCTGCAAAATAACGTTACTGATCCTCATTGCCTAGAGGGATCCTTTAGAGAAGGCTATATTCTATGTTTGCTTTTGGTTTTTGTTGGAGGGATAATTTGCCTGGTGTCAGGAGCTTTCTCACTGGCTTCCCAAGAGCAGAAATAGGAGCTGGGTGTGGCCTGAGCATATTTTGAAAGTGTGAACCCAGATTTCAAACTGACAGTCAAGTCTGTCACCAGACTGGGCAGTACCTATTGCAACTAACCACCCACAGTCAAAAACATAACTTCAATCCTTAAGCAGCACTCTCCAAATCATGCCCACTGAGTATTTCCCTAATTTTTTCTTCCTCCTTTCACCTAAACACCTCTAGTCACACAATGCCTTAAGTGACTCCAAGGGTATTATAAAGACAACATTACTGTAAAGTGAGGATCAGAATAATTTTAAGTACAGAAATGGAACTAGGAATGTAATCATGAGCAGGTGTTTGAAATGGCCTCCTGCAAAATGTAATATCCATCCATCTCAGCACTAATGAAACCATAAAGAAGCAGCTTTTGAAAGATGATGGTTTACTTTAAAAAGACTGTAAAACTGGATGTGGTGAAGAATCCCTTCTAAGAGCATTACATCTGGCTAATTAATAAAAAGTACAGTTCGTGTGTTCCATAAGCACAGGGGAAAAAGCCAGGCAAAAATGATGAGAGTGGCGTGTTTATTAAATTGGGATGCTGGCAGAGAAGGGAGTTTTCTACCTTGTAAATTATGGGCAACTCCTGGCCCATGGAAAAAAGCAGGCAATCAGGTGATCATTTGTGTGGTAGTGTTCTGAAAAGAATCTTGCTGACCCTAGCAAACTGGAAAGGGAAGTGAGGGAAATGGGTTGAGAGTTTGAGGCAATTGAAGAAAGTCTAATATGGTGACTGGTATCCAGCAGAGCCTCAGTCACTCATTCTTGGATGGACGGATGGACGGATGGATGGATGGATGGATGGATGGATGGATGGATGGATGGATGGATAGATGGATAGATGGATAGATAGATGAACGGATGGATGGATGAGTGGAGAGGAGGAAGAGTGGATATATTACACACACACATGCAGCACTGAAAAATTCAGGCGTGCCCCTAACCCAACCCATGGTTCTTCTGAGTGGCATTCACTTTCCTTGATTCAAATTTTTATCTGGTTTCCTTCAGTCCTCTCAAAGGCACCACTGATTAGCCATAATTCTCAAGACAAATGGGATTTCTCCCTACCAAAGTCTACTTACAGACAGCAAGTTCTATCACATGGTGAAGAGGTAAGAGTTAGGTACAGGGCACAGGAGGGACATTTGGTCTGGGCTTCATATTCAGAAAGCACCTCCAACCTCGACATTGAACCTGATCTCCAAATGAAGTTCAACAGGTGGTCACAGAGATACACCAGGAGGGTGGTAAAGAGGATGGGTTCATTATAAAACCTCAATGGTCAATTATAAACATGTCAAATATATCACAATTTTAGTGATACCAAATTGTGTGGCCTTTCCTTATTTTTCCCTTGGATTGGCCTTTCCTTATTTTGTAATCCAGTGGGAGCTTAGAATAAAGCAATGGTCCAGGCCTCCTTCTTTCTCTCAACCTGAAAGGAGGCAATATCAGCCATTTCCAGAGTAGAGAGTGGTCCCACAAGAAAGGTGGGCCTCAGAGATATTTTCCTGTCTTTAAATATTTGCCACCATATGTTGAAGAGAAAAAACCCTAGAGGACCAATCTTATTCAAAAAGACTTTTGAAATTTGAAACAGAATAGAACATGTGGTGGAGTGGAAGAAAGAAACCAAATATATTCACAGTTAAAGTAGCAATGCCAACCAATGAAAATGATTCGCCTACCATGTTCCAGATAAGAGGGCGTACCTTCCGAGGGGTCAAGCCTCCGAGCCCTCCGCCCATGCTTGGAATTATTATGGACAAACATGTTATCAGAGACTGCCAGGACATGGCCATCCACATTGACTGTCGTAGACACCACGACCTGGAGACATAAGAAAGAAATGAATGAACATTTTAATATAAAAGCGTGGTGGGTAATAAACTCAAGTTAAATAAATAACAGCTGGGAGCTGAAGAAAATTGCATAGCTATTTCACATAATAACTGGTGCTTATGCTGTACAAGTCTAACAAGAGGAGCTATTGATGAGTGGGTCTTTGGCATGGAACGCTTTTGATGCAGTTTTAAGTAAAATTGCACAGTTTATAGTTATACAGCAGAAGGTACACTGTTAACCATAATTTTAACAAGAGGATCTTTATTAGCATATTTTTTTACACAAGGGTGGTTGTGTTTCACCTAAATTACCCTTCAGTTTAGACACTGAAGCATATATCACAGTTGATCATGCAAATAAAAATCTTTTGAATCTTTAAAATATTTCTCCCCACTGTGTCAGGGTTAAGAGGATAGAGAAATGAAAAAGATTTCAGTAAGAGCAGGGATGCATTTTTCTCTCCTGGATGTCTTTTTGAGATTTCTTGTACGTTTTTCTTTCCACATTAGTTTGGTTCATCAGACCAAAGTCCCCCTCACTACTATTACCATCACCCCACCCCAAAAAATTCCTGCTAATTAAGGGTCTTAGATCTGTTTCAAATTAAAAAAAAAACTGGTGGGAATGGCCCAAGACATAATTTAGACACTGAAACCATCTCATAAAGTGACTGTGAACCCAGTTTGCCAGAAGAGACACAGGCAAAGATGTTGTCTCAGAGAACTTTGACTAAAACAATGAGAAGAAATGACCTACGCTTCTCCTTATATTAAATGGGGAAAGGGATTAAAACTGAAACCCACAGAGATATGTTTATTCATGCGACCTCTTACAACCAAATATAATAATTGTCTGTAATTGCAGCTTCAGCTCCCACCTCATGCTTTGACATGGGAAACAGCAATCAGCCCGCTCCCGTTTAATCCACCTATTATGTTGACTAATTAACTTTGCTCGACAGTTTATTTCTTCCTCCATTATCAGCCCCTGTCAGCCGCAAGCACCCTGCAGCATAGGGGAAACCTCAGGCTCTTTGATTGATCACCGATAGATTGACATGCAGATTAATTTAATTAGAATCACCTCACTTGAGAAATGAAAGACAATGGCAAGAGGGCTAATAGATCTGCTCTCATAATGAGGCGAGCCTCCAGAGCGAAGGCTGAGGATTTCTGATTTATTTTGCTCAATTCCCCAGTTGCTTGGAAAGACTCTCGCTTTAATTGTTCTTGGTTTTGAGAGGCATTAGCCTCTGAAGAGGTGAACCGCTTTACAAGGGTTGGCACAGATGGAGGCCTCAGTTTCTGAGGAAGCCTTTTCTCCAAGTTGGCTGAAGGGGGCATCGACTTCTGAAGAGTCTTGTGTAACACTCTTTCATCAGCTAAGCTGGGCAGAGGGGAAAACGCCAGGCCCTGGCCTATGCCTGTGAATTGTCAGCTTGGACGCCAGTCCCCACAGTCTTCCCATACTTAAAAGTTCCACTGTCCTCCTCGTTGACCTAAGTGCATCCTGGCAAAATACGATGAATTTCCTTTCCCAGAGCCTCAAAGATGCCCACGAATTGCAGGCTATGAACACATCACCCATACTAGTAGCATAAGGTTGATTTTGTTTTCTAAATCTACTTAATTAAAATGCATAGGAAACAGTTGAGAGTTCAATCAGGGAATCAGAGTATTCTCCTTAGCCACTGTGAAACCCCAAATTCCATCTAGAACAAATCATTTGGGGGATGACATGTAAGTTTGATGCAGAAGTTTGCAGAGTGGTTCTTCTCTTTATTCATGATTGACCAACCAGATCTGACACAGCCTTATGTGTAAACACAGCTTGTATGTTTACAGGTTAATTTAAAAGAAAGAAGAAGAGAAGAAAACGGTCTACTATTTTGCCTTCAAAAACTATCATATGCAGTGGCAAAGTCAATATTATTTAAGGCAACAGAAATTCACTTTTCTTTTTAGAGAGACGACTTCTTAGGACTTACAATTACATAACAGAGCTGGGTCTTTCAAAGAAATTTTGATTTACTATGAGACCACAATTGAGCGGTCACTGGAGTCGTTAGCTGAAGAAACTATAAAAGGAATCCCAAACCATATCTGTTTTCAGTGTCAGGAAATACAGAAAGTGGTTATTCTAGATGTCTGTCTTAGGAGGAAAAAAAAAAAACAATGACAATTCACCATGCACCTGTAAGACACAAGCTCTACAAACTTAAGGCTTAAAATATTCAGTATGTTTCAAAGACACTGTCATCTAATCCTACATTGAACAAAAATGTCAAAAACGGTTAAGGAAAAAAAAACTACACCCCATATGTTTTTCTTTTCTTGGCAAGAGAAGAACCACCAGGGCCACATGTGTGATAGAATCATTTGGCTGAAATGCCAATCAAAATTGGAAAAAAGATAATACAGAGAATCTTTATACTTTTAATTTCTAGAAAATAAGCAGCTAATACGTTCCTCAAAAACTCACAGCACAACTTCCCTACCACAAAACAATTTCTCCCATTTCAATTTGGAAATATTCAGGATATATTTAAATAAAACATATGCTAAAATTAATCCACAGAGCGACTTGTAAATTAAAAAAAAAAAAACACTGTGAGATGCAAAAGGGGTACTGAAGTGTCCTTTAAAAATAGGCCCATGGTAGGAGGGAAAAGGGCCTTTACAGTTTACCACATAATTAATAAGGTGCTGACACATTCACACAGGCAAGGGGACAGACAAGCCTGCCAAATCTTCAACCTTCCTAAATTTTGTCAATAAAACACAGCCTAAATTTGAGACAGATAAACATTAAAAATGATTTTACCTTTGGACACAACAACACTTTCCTTCTTTCTCCCCTTTTCCACTCCCCTGCCCAGAGAAACAGATGATGAGAATACGAAGGAAAAGATATGTTTAGAATTTCACGATATCTGTTATAATTACACCTTTACTTTCTAGAACTGCACTGTCCAATACAGAAGCCAAATGCCTGGCTATTTAAATTTAAACTAAACGACATTTTAGATTCCCTTTCTGAGCCTCAATAGCCACACTGAGCGTTTCATAGCCATAGGCGACTATTGCCTACTGCATTGGACACGGTGAACAGGGAATTTTTTTATCATTGCAGAATGTTCTATAGGATGGCACTGCTCTAGAATGGTTTTGAAATAAATTGTGCACTTGATTCTTGAAGATGTCCAAGTTATATCTCCTGAAATAAATATCAGCCTATGTAAACAGGTTTAGATTTATACATATATGCTTTAATCACTATATTTTTGGAATGAAATTTCTATTAGGGGGCTTTGCTTCTTAATGTGGCAATCTAGAGATATGCTGATTAACACTCAGCATGTTCCAGGGTACTTTTCATCTGGGCCTTCCTTTCTAGTTGAGAGTATTCGTTATAAGAGAACGAGAAGGGCAAAAAAGAAGTTTCTAGCTACCCATGGACTTTGGATATTTTACACTGATGTTTTCAATTTCTTGGCTCATATCAGTGGTTCAGAATCTCCTCTGTTATATCCTTTTCTGGATAGATATCCCTAAAAGGTATTATTCCAATCCCCCTCTATTTAGAATTTGAAAGAACTAGACACAAAATTTCATCCTTGGCTCTCAAGCTTTCCTGGTTGATGTGACTTTGGCCAGGTTAACTTCTCTGAGTCCCAGTGTCCCTGACTCTCAATGGGAATAACCACCATACTTAACTCATAAGGTAACTGTGAGGCTTAAATTAATTAAAGTGGCCAGCATGGTTCCTGGTTCACATGGAGCACTCAATAAACATTAGTAGCAGTAATAGAGTAGTAGTTGTCAATTTGTGGGTGATGTTAAACAAGAAGTTCAAAAGAATGTGTCGGGTTGATAACCTGAAGTATCTTAATGACCGTAAAGAAGACCCAGCATACACTGTAATTTTAAATAAAAGGATACAGAAAGTGTTTCTTCTATGTCCACTGCTCAACACAAACGTACAATTTTAAAGACCTTTGTGCTAGTAACACATTATTACACATTTAGGCCTTGCATGAATTGCGGTTTTCATTGGTTTATATAATGTCGCTTTCTAGACCCTATCTGTATCTTAGCCTCTTACATTTGAGGCTTTATTATAACTAAATGAAACCTTACTATTCTGAAAATAGTCTGTAAATGAGATGTCTCATCAGTTCAGTCTAGTTTTCCCAATATTTCCCATCAATGAGGATTTCTCAGGAGTTTTGTTATTGGTGAGTACTTCCTCACCATCACTTCTCAGGCAGCCCCTCTTCCCTTCATGTCAGGCAGGAGACCTTGTATGTCCTAACTCTATTATCTAAGATTCATGAAGCATAACCTCTGTCTCATGAGCAGATTTTCAAAAAGACACAAGCAGCTAAATTCAATCATGAGTGGAAGATCACATTAACAAAAGTAGCAGTTTGTGGGGAAGAAGGGGTTATGACAAAAGCAACCCAACATGTTGAAATTTGTATCTTTAAGCATTTCTCCAACAAACACAGAATCAGAGCAAAGATTAGACCATAAATATATTTTTGTAATTTAAATTTAGAATATTGTGACAGTTAAGTATTTCCTTCCAAAAAATAAACTCTTCCTCACGTTAATTTTGAATGATTATTTAAAAATTCCAAATCTTGGTTTTCAGTGCTGATACATGGTAACTCAGTAAAAGGAAATCAGTGTTAAAGTTAGTCTGTTCTATGCTTCCTAACCTCTCTGTTTTTTGCTTGTTGTACTTTTGCATTAATTTAGGGCCCCTAATCACAAAGCTTTAAAAATATTAACTTGAAGTACACTAAATGAAAAGCACTGGGCAGCATTTCATGGAATAATACTCAGCAATAAAAAGGAACAAACTATTGATATCCCAGGGAATTATGTTGAGGGTAAAAAGCCAGTAACCAGGGGATACATACTGCATGTTAAGGGCTGAATTGTTCCTCCCCCAGAAATTCATGCATTGAAGGCCTGATCTCCAGTACCTTAGAATGTGACTGTATTTTCAGATAGGGCTTTGATTACTTTAAAATGAGGCCATTAGAGAGGTCTCTAATCCAATCCTCACAGGAGGAAATTTGGACACACAGAGAAGGTGAGTATGATTACTAAAAAAGGACAAGATGAGGGATCCTTGTGGTGATGAAAATTCCCTATATAAGGACTGTGGTGTTAGACAAAGCTAGACACATGATACAATTTTATAGAACTAAAAATACACCCACACAAACAAGTACTAGTAAAACAAGGGAAACCTGAATAAGATGGTAGATTACATGAATGTCCATATTCTGGTTGTCATATTGTAAAATAACTTTGCAAAATGTTACTGAGGAAGACTGGGTAATGGGTACATGGGATCATTCTGTATTACTTCTATAACTGCATGTAAACCTAAAATTATGTGAATAAAAATCTCAACTAAATAAAAGGCATTGGCAACCAAGATGTCCTTCAATGGATGAATGGAAAAACAAACTGGTAATCCATATAATAGAATATCATTTTGCAATTTAAGAAAATGAGCTATCAAGCCACAGACAGTCATAGAGGGGTCTTAAATGCATATTACTAAATAAGAAAAAGTGAATCTCAAGAGTCTATATACTGTATGATTCCAACTATACGATATTCTGGAAAAGGCAAAACTATGAAGACAGTGAAAAGATCAGTGGTTGCCAGGAGTCTGGGAGAAGAGAGGGAGGAATGGGTGAAGGATAGGGGATTTTTAGAGCAGTGAAACCATTCTGTATAATACTGTAATGATGTATATGTCCATGCTTTTGTCTAAACCTATAGAATGTACACACAAACAGTGAACTCTAGTGTAAACTTTAAATTGATGTTGATTTTTGAGACAGGGTCCTGCTCTGTCACCCAGACTGGAGGGCAGTGGTGTGATCTCAGCTTACTGCAACCTCTGCGTCCCGGGCTCAACTGGTCCTCCCACCTCAGCTCCTGAGTAGCTGGAACTAGAGGCATGCACCACCACACTCAGCCTTTTTTTTTTTTTTGTATTTTTTTTGTGAAAACAGGGTTTCACCATGTTGCCCAGACTGGTCTCAAACTCCTGGGCTCATGTGATCTACCCATGTCAGTCTCCCAAAGTGCTGGGATTATAGTCATGAGCCACCACACCCGGCCCACAAAACTATGGATTTTAATAACATATTAATATTGGCACATCAATTGTAACATGTATCACACTAATGCAAGATGTTAATAATAGGGGAAACTGGGGGTTAGGGGATGGGGATGGGGTTGAGAAGGTATTATATTTCTGTAAACCTAAAACTGCTCTACAAAATAAACTCTCTATATTTTTTAAAAGGTATTGATCACACTTCTACCCTCAACCCCCTATAGTCTACATTCTACATTCTACCTGTCAGCTGAACTACTTTGCAGACTCGTCAAATGTTAGAGTCACAAGAGACTCCAGAGATCAGCTAATCTAGTGGCTCCTAACTAAGAGTTTTTGACTGTAATAATGGGTGACATTATTGCACAGAGGGAATCATAAAAGCATCCACAGTAAGGCTGCATACTGAAATATTCAGTTAACTTTCCCTTGTCTGGGACCCTATCAACTCCATGTGGAAACTCTGGTTATCTCATCTACATGAGAAGCTCTCAACTAGCAGTTTTACATGGCTTTAAAGAACTCTAAAGAGAACGTGATTCTTAATAAATGCAATTTGATTGAAAAATATGTCATCATAGGAGGTTCATAGGAGAAAATGATAAAAGGAGTCCTCAATATAAGTTATGGCAGTCCAGATTTGTCCAACACCTCCTTTTACAGCTTGGAAAACTAAGGCCCAGGAGTTTAAAAAAACAACTTCAAGATCATAGGACAAATTAAGAGCAGAGGCAAGCCTGAAGGGAAACCTGTAGACTCACAGTGCAGTTCTCACCCACCCTCAGTTCTGGCCTTTCATTTTTTTTTTGAGATGGAGTCTTGCTCTGTCACCAGGCCGGACTGCAGGGCGTAATCTCGGCTCACAGCAACCTCTGCCACCCAGATTCAAGTAATTCTCCTGCCTCAGCCTCCTGACTAGCTGGGACTAGAGGGGCACACCACCACACCCAGCTAATTTTTATATTTTTAGTAGAGACGGTGTTTCACCATGTTGGCTAGGATGGTCTCGATCTCTTGAGCTCGTGATCCGTCCATCTCGGCCTCCCAAAAGTGCTGGGATTACAGGTGTAAGCCAACACAGTTGGCCTCTGGCCTTTCAGTACACAGTCCTGGCTTACATCCTCTCTCTGGACTCTCCTAATACTTCCAGTACAAATCTATGGTGCCTGTGTGACCGACTACAGTTTGAGTATTATTTACATAAAAATAGTTTGCAGCAGTTAGGTCTTCATTAACTTTGTCCTTTAAAATATCCTTGGCTGATATGAATGCGATATTCTCAGAAATGTTCCTGATTGCTAGCTTCTATCTGGTTGAAAGATTCCAAATAACTCATTAAAAATTATGGAGGACGCGTGAACCTACAGGATGTCATGGAGTGGAACTGCTGGAGTAAAGGAGTGGTTAATGGAATTACATTCGCACTTTAAGGCTTGAGGCAAAACCAGCTCTTAACAGGAAGACAAGAACAGACACTTCTAAATCCTCAGATACATGTGCTAAGCTAATCTAGACCTTTGGAAACTAGAATTAGCTTCTGTCTCCTGAACGGTGACATATGATAAACATGAAAAGCTCACAAGTCATCTGAACCTCATTCCTCCCTCTGTGGATCAGGATACTTTTGACTACTCTTGAGGGTGTCATTGGTGTTTAGCTGGTGCTCTCTGTGTGTGTGTCCTCATTGGCCATTTTAGGTAGGAATGAGACAAACAGGATTGTCATGTGTGCTCTGTAACGATGGGGCTATGGCATACGGACATGGAAATCAGGAGCAAGAAAATGGCATATTGGTCAATGGCTCAGATTCCAGAGTCAGATGATCCTGAATTTGATCCCCAGTCCCATCACTTACTTGCTTGTAATCTTAGATGAGTCACTTAGTCATAGGAATACGTGGTGAGCCCACTATGTGCCTACCATGTGCCAAACATTATTCTATGCACTGAAGAAGCAACAATGAACAAAACCGATAAAGCATTTACCAAGCAGGAGTTTAGTTCTTACTGGGGACAGAGAGAGAGTCAGACAATAAGTAAGCAATAAAAGCAAATTTCAGATTGTGATAAGTTCTAAGAAAAAATAAAATATCTTCCACCTAGATGATTCCTAGGTGGGAGATATTTTTAATTGGGTGATTAGGAAAGGCTTCTTTAAGGAAGTGACAAAAAAAGAGGAAATTTTATTTTTTGTATTTTTAGAAGAAATGGGGTTTCGCCATGTTGGCCAGGCTGGTCTCAAACTCCTGGCCTCAAGTGATCCACCTGCCTCGTACTCCCAAAGTGCTCGACTTACAGGTATGAGCCACCGTGCTCAGCCTGAAATCTGAATAAAAAATATCCAGTCATTCAATGTGTCAGAAGAGTTTTCCAGGGAGACAGAATAGAAAGTGCAAAGATCCTGAGGCAGGAATGAGTTTGGTGTATGTGGGGAAGAAAAATGAAGGAAGGCCAATGTGCTTGACAGGACTAAAGCAAATAAGAGAAAAAGTGGTAGAAAAATAAGTAAGATTATACATGTATAACACTTAGTATGTTGTCTGACATATAACTAGAGCTCTACAAGTTACAACTTAAAAAGTGGAAGAATATAAGGATACCTTTTGCTGGTAAATCCCAACAACTATAGGCATCTTCAGAGCCAGCATCCATTGGTAATCACTGATCAAACCAAACACTTTTACATTCATCCTTTAATGTATTTTACATTTCCTTTAAAAGCAGCTGTGTTTAATGTAGAAATACATGTTCTCTAAGTGCAGGGCGACCACTCATCAAATGCTGTTCATAAAGATTCCTTCTCAGTGATGCACACTTTCTGCCAAGGCTCAGCATAAGGCTCATGCCAAGATACATATTTGCCCAATAAGCCATAATGGTTTAATATATCAGGTTGAAAATCACCATTTGTATTTACCATGTTATGTGACTTAATCCTGTATTCTGAAACTATCATTAGAGCTGCTTTCAGTATAATTAATCAGCATGGAGCCTCTTGAAATTATTCTGTATGAAGAGAGTGATCGCAGCTCGGGCCCCTAGCATTCTGTTGGTAGAGAATTTAATTGCAAGATGTGCTATTTGTCAAAACAATATAACAATATAAGTACATCCAAGACAGGGGCTGGGAGTCGGTGGAGGAGAAATAAAGAAGCACATATTCTTATCCCTTTTATGTAAGTGTATTTAAAGCAGACAGAAACTGCAGATGTCAGGCATGTATTTTAAGAATCCTCTAATCATTCCCTAAAACATACGGATCCAGAGATACCATGGCTTGTTAAGCAAACAGCAAAGATTCTCCAAAATTTCTAGAATTTACTTGAAAAGGCAGGGAGTTGCCTTTTAATGTCATAACTCATGTCATCATTTTAAAAAGCAAAACACATTTTTGGTGGGAATTTGGGATGAATAACCCAGTGGTTTCTCCTCTTCTTTACTATCCAAATGACTAA
Source organism: Homo sapiens (assembly GCF_000001405.40). NCBI lineage: Eukaryota > Metazoa > Chordata > Mammalia > Primates > Hominidae > Homo > Homo sapiens. The sequence continues at coordinate 158,832,937 of NC_000005.10, forward strand.
GATGTGAGGCAAGATTGTTTGCCTCCTTAGATAAACATGAGGTAAACATGAGTTTTGTGTTTGCTATTCCCTTTGCTCAGAACCCTCTCTGGCTCTTCCCAGGATGGTTTATCCTTATTCTTGATCTCTGAACTTGAGTGTCCTCACCTCAGAACGCTTTCCTGGTCACCTACTTTAAGAGAGGTTGTCTCCCTTCTCTACTAAAAAAAAAATCTAAAAATTAGCCAGGGGTGGTGGTGCGTGACTGTAGTCCCAGCTACTCTGAAGGCTGAGGCAGGAGAATCGCTTGAACCCAGAGGTTGCAGTGAGCCAAGATGGCACCACCACACTCCAGCCTGGCAACAGAGCCAGACTCCATCTCAAAAAAAAAAAAAAAGAAAAAAAGAGAGGTTTTCATCTCCCACCCCACACTGTTTTTCTCTCTCATAATAACCTGTTTAATTTTCTTTATAGCAGCAGTTACAATTTCTAATATTTGTAATTGTTAATTTGTACACATCTTCATTGCAGCTAATGGCAATTATTCTACATACATCCATTTTCTTGTCTTCATGGGCTGCACAGCTAGACCATGCAAGCCTCCCTATGATTGCATATGACCATGTGACTGACTTCTAGCCAATGGAAGTGAGCAAATTTGTAAGCCAAGGCTTTTAAAAAGCACATGGCACCCTTCATGTGTCCTTCTCCCATCAGAGGACTGGATAAAGACAGCAGGGTTCTGTAGAATAGGAGAGGCATAAAATAAAAGGAGTCCAGGTCCCCAAATAACCTCAAGGACAACACCTGCTCGTCAACCAGGAACACCTGCCTTGTACCATTATGTGAGCAAGAAATAACCTTCTGCTGCAGGTGAGCCATTCGATATTATATGTTCTATTTGTTACAAGAGCTAGTATCATCCCAAGAAGAATATAAGTTTCATTAGGGCAAAGACCTTATCTTTCTTATTCATCATGATAGACTCACCACTTAGCACTTCAATAAATATTACTGAATGCACGCATTCCTGCATGTGTGCATAACTATGTCTTCTATTTACATTCATATATAGTTATAGATCTAATATTTATACGTGAATATAGATTTATAGCCAATGGAAAAACTTTATTGAAGAGATAAGATGAATTTGGAAATTTATACTTTACTTCAGTCTCCAGGTATTATGGTATCTATTGCAATGACAGCTTGAACCTGATTCTTGTTCTTCCCTTACCACCCTCATTCTGCCAGTCCCCAAAAGGAAAGCTATTGATAAAAATTTAAATCTTAAGGTTGAATTGTCTGGCTCCTGTCGGTTAAAAATCAGACCGAAGCATGGTTTTAACATAGTCCTTTGACATTAGCATCTTTTTAGTGTCAAGACGAAGAAATAGGATTGTTTAGTCATAAGTGAATTTCTCCCTGTGTCGTGAGCTATTTCCATCCCCAGCTTGCTCCCCTTCTCTTTCCTCCAGCCTTCCTCATACCCACCAGTCCTTAACAAAGCCTGTATCCACTGTTGTATTTAAGCAAATTTCTTACCCTAACTACAGCCTAGGGATTTCAAAAGAAAGCATCCATTGTAAATTAAAAAAAAAAAAACATTGTGCCAGATTTTCTACAAGGTTTATTCCATACTGCCTTAAAGTATGAACACAGCCCAGCTCTGCAGAAAGTGATTAATTTCTTGAAAACACTAAGGTCACACTAATTGACACGACCTGTGTAATTAAGCAATCTCTGTTTACACAGCAGAAGCCCAGCCACTGTGAAGCTGAGTTTGCTTGACAGAATGTCTTTCCATGTCAAGAGATCAACAACCTTTCTTATGTCCTCCTCAGTCACCTACACAGGCCCCTGATTGCTGTTCAGAGGAGACACGCTCCTGCGTTGCTATATGAAGATCAGGCTGGCCGGCAAGCATACAAAGTGAGATGGAGGAAAGCAGCGGCAGTGACCACTGCACAGACCCTGCTTAGTAGGCAAGAGAGGGTGTCTTCAGTCAGATGTGCCAGGACTCAGGTTTTCAATAAAACTGGTAAAAGCCACATTGACATGTAAGGAGGAGACCAGAGTTTTTTTGTGCCAGAAAGACACTCTTTCACTCACCCTCAGAGGCAACAGAGACATAAAAATATTTGAAACCAGCCTCCCAATTAGTGTGCTATGAGAAAAATGCTAAAAAGTATAGGTCTTACTCATAAGCAATCTTCAACCAATATCATTATGACACACACCTCTGTAGCCAGGACAGCTACAGCAAAGACTAATCCTCCCTGTCTTGGTTCGGTCCTAAGACTTGGGAAATTTAGTAGGATTTCTTAGCAGACTACTCTGAGATGTCTTCGGGGTGATTTACTCATGCCCCATCTAGGTGAGGAGCTCTCTTGCCTTGGAGAATTGACCAAACCCTTTACAGGTTAAGTGAAGTTCAGGTTACCTGCTAAATAATAGCTTGTTTTTCTAAAGTCCCTGCAAGTAAAAATTGATCAACACTGTAGCTGTACTCTGGAAAAATGTTCATGTTTCCTCACTTCCACACAACTCTACCCTCTGCATGATGAACTTTGATTGTGTGTCAATGTTCTTCATGCAGATGGCACCTTTAGGCTCTGCTAGGACAAATATCTCTTTTGAAGACCCCTCTCAGGCTTTCCTGGGATTCCAGCACATATTTGTGGGGGGTCATTAGGGCTCTCAGATGTTACGAGATCTCTTTATAGCCTCACTAAATATCTGCTCACAGACTATGGACAATTTTTTTTTGTTGTTGTTCCAAAACATCAGAAAATATCTGAGTCAGACTGCTTGGATTATACCACTGCCTTACCATTTAGTTGATGTGTGACTTTGGGTAAATTGCTTAACTGTTCTAAAATGTTTCCTCATTTTAAAAATGGGAATAATCCACATTTCCATATTCTTAATAAGGGTATTTTGAAGATAAACATGATAACTCATGTAAAATACTTTGCACAATGTCTCTCACTAAAGAAGCACCAAATAAATGTTAGCTTTATCATCATCATCGCTACCAATATCGATAGAAGCACATAAAGGTAAACACATGGACACATGCATTTATACACGTGAACATGGAACATGCTGAATATAGACACAGTTATCTTCCCAGCATTTAATGCAGTTAGGAATGAACCAAGACAGAGAACCTAAGAAGCTTGGGGTGGAGGCAAAACGAACAAACAGAAAAACACCTGAGGATGACAGTGAGTTCAGTTTGGGGCTGACTGAGTTGAAGTTCCTGGAAATATCCAGCAGACATCTGGACAGTTAGATCTAAACCTGGGTGTCAGGTCTCAGAGATTCTGATACCAGAGTTCTCAGTGCATAAATAGTGGTTAAGATGCTGTGACTGGAGAAGATACTGGAGAGAGCCTATAAAATGGGGAAAGATCTGGACTTCAGAAGGAGACCTGGAAAAAAACAATATTTACAGAAGACAAACAAACAGCATCCCTTGTAGGGAGTTCAGAATGAGTGACTGTTGTTATATAATTCAAGAAAAAAAAATGGATTCAAAAAGGGTGTAATGTCTGCCAGCATGAAATAATACAGAGAGAGGTAGGAGTAAATAGTCATGAAAGAGAAAAAGACTGAAGAAGAAAAAATAAAAGGTTGGGTTAGAGAGATTTGAGGTTTTGCTTTAACTCTCGAGGCAATTCATCCATCCTCTAATTACACAAATATCCATGCACCTGCATGCATGAAACCCAATGTTGGTTGTATGAAAATAATAAAGAAATGTATTAATGTACAGGGATAAAAAATAAAATGTGACAGTGTTCATTCTGCCATGGGTTCCTCCATCCTCTTCTAGGCAGCAAAGAGTGGGTGATGGGAACAAAGCAGGTTAAACCTGAGACCCAATAAGGAATTTGTCATTGTTAATAAAGGAAGACACGGCTCATCCTTAACTCAAAAACTGACTCTATGGTGGCCAAGGTAGCTGCCCCTATTGATCTATTTTAGGACCCATTTGAGAATCACAGGCAAGAGCATTGTCAGTGTCAGAGTTCAGATAAATCATATTTATTTGAAAGACAGTATGGACTTTGTGCTGGGCAGCTCTCACACTTAATCAAAGTGTGCAATTTTTGGGACAGTGGCACTGTCACCAGTAAGAGCTTGTCAGCGGTTATCAGATATAGGACTAATCAGTAGTTCTCAGTCAGGGGCCATTTTGCCTCTCCTCTCTCCACCAGGGGACATTTGATAATGTCTGCAGACATTTTTGGGTGTCATGATTGGGAGGTAGATGTTCTCTACTAGCATCTGGAGGGTAGAGGCCAGTGACACTGCTAAACATCCTACAATGCATGGGGGCACCCCCCATGATTGACCCTAAAAAGGATTATCCAGTCTAAAATGTTAACTGTGCCCAGGTTGAGAAACCCTAGACTGAACTCATGATCCATCTTCAGTTTGTCACATGGATTTTCTCCAAAGGCTTGCATTTGTATTTTATCACTTACAAATTAGCTATACATGCAAAATATTGCTTTCTTTCATATGTAGTGATATAAGCAGAAGTGTCAATTTTCCTCCATTTTACAGTTGAGGAAACTGAAGCTCCAAAGGATTATAAGACTTTCCAGATATCTATGTTGTGCCTCCTCATCTCAGCAGCCTTTCTACTAAACAAAGAATAACTATTTTGTTTGCAAAATAGAAGCTTTGTAGATGTTCTCAAAAATAATAGACTAAATTGGTTTCTCATCTTGTATAACAGGTATATTTCTATAATTCAACCTTTTCAGACATTTTACTAGTAGGTTCCACAAAGAAAAGAGAGCCCCTGGAAGTTCTACACGGATGCTCTTTTAGGTTCCCAGTGTCATCAAAGTCCATCCCAAACTCTGCTGCCCTAAGAGGTACAGCAGAGTTAATCCTGGTATACATTAGGCATTAGACATGTTTATTAGACATACACTGTTTCACGCCCAGCTATACTTTGCTCCTAACTCAAGCTTTGGTCAAAAGAAATATAAGGTTCATGTCAAGACCAAAGCAAGCTACAAAACAGTTTATTCCAAAATTCAGCCTCATGTTGCAAGACCCTAAGCAACACACACTTAGTAGCACCACATGTGTGGTTTTGCCAGCTTAATTGCAAAGTTGACTCAAACATAACACAAAAAATCCTCTATGGGAATGAGAACACCAAGTTTGAAGTCAGATGACCGGAGGAAACATTTTGCAAGAAACTAGAAACCTCCCCATTCCTGGCCAGGCGCAGTGGCTCACGCCTGTAATTCCAGCACTTTGGGAGGCCGAGACAAGCAGATCACAAGGTCAGGAGATCAAGACCATCCTGGCTAACACAGTGAAACCCTGTCTCCACTAAAAATACAAAAAAATTAGCCGGGCATGGTGGTGGGTGCCTGTAGTCCCAGCTACTCCAGAGGCTGAGGCAGGAGAATGGCATGAACCCGGGAGGCAGAGCTTGCAGTGAGCCAAGATTGTGCCACTGCACTCCAGCCTGGGCAACAGAGCAAGACTCCATCTCAAAAAAAAAAAAAAAACGAAAGAAAAGAAAAAAAGAAACATCCCCATTCCTGTGTGTCAAGCCAAAAGGTGGTGAAGCCAAGATGATTTTAGAGAAATACCTCAGAATCTCAGGAGAGATTACTTTTTTCTACCGCATTTGTTCTTTAATAAGACTAATAAGTCTCACCTCCTTAAAAGAAATCATCTTGGAGACTAAGAGATATTGACATCTCCAATCAATGCTCAAGATCATCTTTCCTTTTTCCCATCAGAGAATGAAGGTGCAGCTAAAATTTTTCAAGATTCTCTCAGAGATCATACATTTCAATCTACACTTAAAGCTGACTAAATATACTTAAGAGCATACTTTAAACACCATGCTGTTTCCTTGATGGACCATATGAGCATACATAAATGGATCGTTGCTCTGACAGGGAAACTAACATTGACCATACAAATAACTTAGCCATTCGGTGGAGAGCAGCACAAGGGTCTAAAACTTTGCAACTCAAAGTGTGGGCGGTGGCCTTGGCATCATACAGGAGCTTGTTAGGAATGCAGAATTCCAGTCCCACCCCAGACCTCTATTAACATTTTAATAAGATCCTCAGGGGATTTTCAGCACTTTTAAGTCAGAGAAGCACCACGTCTAGACTCAACAACCTTTTCTAAAATCCAAGTACCATTTTGTGTCTTAGAAGTAAATGAATTTGTTTGTGAGTCCTCTTCCTTTAGTAAATGTATAATTAAGGACATTTCTGAAACAGAATTGTTATCCATATCATTTTAGAGATGTTATGCTTCTTAACAGGGCCATTTATAATAGGCAGCTACCACTAACAATTTCCAAAATTGGAAGAGGTGAGCAGAGAGAAGCAAAGGAAGAGAAAGCCATTACTGTAAAGCAGAGCAGTTTTACCAGTTGTACTCTTTACTGTTTTTTGTTTGTTTGTTTGTTTTTGTTTTGTTTTGGTGGGGGGTATAGGATCTTACTCCGTTATCCAGGCTGGAGTGCAGTGGCATGACCTCAGCTGCAACCTCCAACTCCCGGGTTCAAGTGATCTTCCTACCTTAGCCTCCCGAGTAGCTGGGACAACAGGCAAATTCACCACATCCAGCTAATTTTTGTATTTTTCTGTAGGGTTGAAGTTTTACCATGTTGGCCAGGCTGGTCTTGAACTCTTAAACTCAAACAATCTGCCTACCTTAGCCTCCCAAAGTGCTGGGATTACAGGCATGAGCCACTGCGCTCAGCCTCTTTACTCTTATTTACTGGTTTTCTACATACAAAATTTTAGACAAAGGATTCATCATTTCTATGTACTTTACTTAATCTGTGGGGGTTTAGGCAAGTGAGTCCACTCAGGCAGCCAAAACTAGACTCAAAGAACACCATTGTTTCCACCAGTGAGCACAGGTGGTACAGTTCCCACTCTTCTCTAATCTAAACAACTGCTAGATTGCAGATACCTGGGGGACCAAGGGCCTCAGCTGCTCTTCACCTCTGGGAAAAAAAGCTACGTATCTTCTGCCTAAGACTTTTTTATCCTCTCCTGATATTCATGCCATTATTGAGATTCAAGAAAGATAAGTCAGACCCACCTGGAATCTCCGCATGTCACGTGGGTTTCCCGCATTCTTTAGGCAATTTTGGTTACATTTGAGGAAAAATTTCAAGAAGAACCTGTGAAGAAACAAATCATCATGGTTAGCATTTCGGTTTCTGACACGGGAGGGAAAAAAGAGGTAAGTCACCCCTGGGTTGTGCATTCGATTCTCTTTACATGTTTTCTGAAATATTCAGCATGGTGTTAGAGCCAATATTTCATTTGTGGCTTTAGCCTTTGTTTTGTTTCCACGCTGGACCTTCCTTATGACACAAACACTGTTGGCACTGCCAACAGATCTCACAGAAGAATTAAGCCCCAAGGAAGTATTTTCACTCATACAGAGGGAAAGCTTTCATCATAATTTAAGTTAGGTTCCAATTGGATATAATTGTCTGAGAATTACTCATGGTCCCCAACGACAACATGCAGTTTAAGCCCTATAAACTCACAGATGATGAACTGGCAAATACATGCTGGATGAATACAAGGATTTGGTAACCACTTTTTATCTTAGCCTCTCAAGTAAAATGTTTTAATTAGTACTACCCATGAGAAATAAGTAAAATTCACAAACTAACTAAACTCCTTTGACTTCTCAAATACCTCCTGTTTTTTTTTTTTTTTTTTTTTTTTTTTGTTTTTTTTTTTTTTTTGAGACGGAGTCTCGCTCTGTCGCCCAGGCTGGAGTGCAGTGGCGGGATCTCGGCTCACTGCAAGCTCCGCCTCCCGGGTTCACGCCATTCTCCTGCCTCAGCCTCCCAAGTAGCTGGGACTACAGGCGCCCGCCACTACGCCCGGCTAATTTTTTGTATTTTTAGTAGAGACGGGGTTTCACCGTTTTAGCCGGGATGGTCTCGATCTCCTGACCTCGTGATCCGCCCGCCTCGGCCTCCCAAAGTGCTGGGATTACAGGCGTGAGCCACCGCGCCAGGCCCTCCTGTTTTTCTTAAACTGTCTGCTGTAGACAAGAGCTAGCTGTGATTGAATAAAGATTTTCCTGCCTCACTGCCACCTTGGTTTCTGAATTGGTTCTGTAGTGAGATTCATGGGTTTTACTTGCTAAGGTGACCAAAGGTCCCAATTTGCCAAGAAAAATCCCAGTTTATACCAGCTGTACTGGTGTATATATTAATAGTACCTACTTTAACTCTCAAAAATGTCTTGGTATGGGTGATAAATTATATGGTCACCCTATAACTTTCTGAGTTATTTCTTATGTAACCATCACAGTTGTTAAAGTCTATCATGGAAAAGCAGCAGCTACTAAAAGTGTCATATTGGGGCATTCATGTCTACCACCTGTAATTAAACCTTCTACCTGCCCAGGTTTGGGAAAAGAAGTATTTCCAAAGATACCTAAGTTTTGCAATCTCTTTTACTACTAGGCCTAGATGTGATGTGCCTGTGGATTTCAGGCCGAAATGTTTCCTAAAAATATCAAAATGCATTAAAATGCTGGTCAACTGAATTCTTGTTGTAATTCAATTCTCTTCCCCTTTCTTCCACTTCAAGTCCACACTGGAGTAAAATCCCCATCTCAACACAAATAGATTATGAAGAACTATCACCCTATGATGCCTCAGTCTGAATTTGGCTCTGACTGCAATGTCTGTCAATCATGTAACACTGGGATCCTCTATAACAACAGCACTGCACGAAGACATACAGAGTTCAGCCAATTTCTGAATATGAAACTGAGAGAAGTCCCAGATGAATCCCTCTGCTCCTTGGTCTCTTAGAATCTGCCAAGATGGGAGTATGTTGTGGGAATCATTCTTTAGAGACAAACAATGGCCTTTTCAACCAAAAGAGTAACATTTAAAAATGCAAACATCGTCCTAAAATGACTGTTTAACACCACACAACATTTGACTGCCCATCAATGAAAGCAGGCCTCTAAATAATCACTTGCCGCTACTTCCAGATTCTCTCCACAGAAGCCAAAGTTGATCAACCTTTCGTCCAAGACAAATGGCTTACAGAACACCACTGAAGCCCAGCTGTGTGAAACAAAATCTGATTTTGAGCTCTCCTTTTCCGGTACCAAGACCCACACTGTCCTTGCACAGGACAATCAGCCAGTCATTGACTCTTGCCCACTTTCAATATGACAGATTTGGTAAAGGAAGGGGGGTTAAGGGAGTGGCCCAAATCCTAAGTGCCTTTGCACTGTCTTGTTGGTCTGAGCTCCCAGAAGGCAAGTGCTGGGTAGCCCTGCTGATCACACATGGCTTTCAGAAACCATTTAATACAGTGGAGCTGACTGTTGTGATCCTTGAATCTTGCTAGGGTTCAATCCTATATCCATAGACACTGAAGACATGAAAACTGGCTGCTGCTTTCAAGAACAGTCAGTTAGAAGGGCATATTTCAAAGCTACTTCAAGCCCCAGGAGAGGGCTGATTATCACTAAACTGACAACAAGAGTGGGTGTGATATGGTGAAAGGCCACAGCCATTAGAAACACCCAGAATAATGAGATTCATATCCTGACTCTGACAGGTACTACCTGTGTGACTTTGGATAAGGAGCTGAACTTCTCTGCACCACACTTTCCTTATCTATAAACTGGTGCAATAACAGGCCTTACTGTATAGGGAAACTGTGAAAATTGCGATAAGGCAGAGTAACAGATACATGGTAGGTATGCTGATGGTGGCAGTCATCATAAGAATGGCTTCCGTGTATTGGGTGCTTACCTTGTGCTCAGTTCACTGCTAAGAACAAATCTGTTTTCTCATACAATCCTCCTAAGTAACCTCTGCTATTAATCCCATTTTATAGATGAGAAAACTGAGATTCAGAGAAGTGAAATAACTTGTCCAAAGCTAGGAAGTGTGAATCTAGAACTCAAATTCAGACAGTGTAGCTCCAGAGACTGTACTCTTAACCACCATGATGTAGTAGTTTTAGTAATGACAGAAGTAGTGCAGTAATGATGTTAATACTAATTGTACTATTGATAGCAATCGTACTGTAACAGCAATTTTGCTAATAAGAGTAAATAAGATTAATCGAACTACTAAGAATAATTATTAGTATCATGATTTCCACAACAGCAACATGAACATTATGGAGGTAGACGTCATTGCCATTCTCCCTTAAGAGGGCCCCCTGCTTGCTTCCCCAGGGTTGGTAATATTTGCTGCCCATGTGTGTTTAAGCCATTTGAGCCCAGACAAGACAGCCAGATTCAGGTTGTGCTAGAAGGAGCTGTCAGCACACCCTCTGGCTTCTTCAAGTCAGACAACTGCTAGCCACCATGAGGGGGTCCATCTGGTGCCAAAATGAATTTTGAAAGACAGGCAAACAGGACACCAGCTATGCCAGGGAGAAACAGAATCAAGGGAGCAGAGGATCTTCTGCCTCAAAGATGAGCTGGGGCAGGGCGCCTGTCAGCAGCCCATCGTTAGCACAAAAGCTATGCCGGGCACACACCAGATCCCTGTTACCCTAAGCTGGCCTGTCACTTGGCATGCTGGCAGAGTCCCCCGCCTGCCCCCTCAACAGTGGATCACTTGCTGAAATTGAAAGCTTGACCATCTGTCGTGGGGAAGACACGGCCATCAACTGGTGCCTGAGGCCTCACACAAGCCCTTATGTGGAAAAGACGCTCTGAAGGGCCAGTTCTTTTGGGGAAAGCCAGCCCTACCCCAGAGGGAGCCTCAGAAATTCTTTCAAAGTTTTCCCCTAAGTAAAAGCCAAGTGCCTGACCCTTTCGGATTACAGTTCCTTAAAGGAACTGAGAGGAGTTAGAAGGAGGAGTTAAAAATATCCCCACTGAGAGACAGACATGGCACACGAATTTGGGGGATGACTTATCAGGCTAAGTTTATAAGGCCTTTGTAAACCGGGGGACATGTGCACGTCTGCTGGCCTACGGAGAAGATCTCAGATTCCGAGGGGGCTTTTAACAAAGCAGAGGTTATTGTAACTCAAAACCTCACTTTTGTCTAATGAATTGCTGCATTTTGTGAGGCGGGTGTGTTTGATAAAGTGTTGTCAGGAGAAAAAGTGTGGCAGCCTTACCCCAACTGTGGGAAACTGACCCACAGCAGGACAAAGCCCCTATTGACCCTGTAGAGTTCCAAGGAGTTCCATAAACTCCAGGAAACAGCCTGACCAGGATCAAACTCCTTTTTAACTCAAGCCTTTTTTTTTTTTTTTTTTGAGGGGGAAGGAAGGAGGTAACGAGAAACTCGACATCTTTCTGTTAACTTTCAGTACAAATAATATCATCTTGTGTTCATGTAATGCGTTAATTATTCAGAGCACTTATATTCCCAATATCTCACTAAATCCTCACGGAATTTCTATAAATTAGGTGCACCAGGAATTATCAAAGCCATTTGAAAGGCAAGAAAAACAAAGACAACAAAATTAAGGGATTTATCTACAGTCAACAACCAATCTCGTAAATTGACCGAAAGGACTAGTCATGGTATGTGTTTTCCATGAACTCTAGGATTTTATAAGTGATCTTAATCATCACTTAGTCTAACCTCCTCATTTTGCCTATGAGAAAAATTAGGCATCAGAAGACATGACAATATTCACATAGTTAGTAATGAATATCAGAGCTGGAACTATAATCCATATGTCCTGATGTCTAGTTATATAATTTTCCCAACATAATATTAGCTTCTCAAGCCAATCCTGTAAGAGCTGAATGCCTGCGCTCTTAAACTGTTTAGTCTACTACCTCAAATGGGAAAGTGACAGTCATAAAACCAAAAGGTGACATCCTATTAAAAGTTTTATTTGGGTTCATCAATCAGGCCAGTGTAGGACATTAGCCCATCACGGAACTAACTGAACCCAATACAAACATTTGTAGAACAAAATTGCTTGTTCAATGACATACCTGTATCACCTTTTACCAACCAACAGATATTAGTATCTAGTTTGAGTAGCTTTCATGTGACCAGCACGGTACTCAAGACCAAAAGGCACTTCTGGACTCCCCCAAAAGGAAAATTAATTCAATTAGTCAGCAGGATCTGACTCACCTACATAAGGATATAAAATTTTTAAAAAATCATCCCTGCATGCATAGTGCCCGGCGTAAGACCTAGAACCCAGTGGTTTTTCAGTAAATACTTGCTCAACTAAATGGAGTCTAGGGTCTGCAAGGGATAGAAATAAGGGTGTTTTTACAGTAAAGACAGCAGTAGAATATACTGGGCAAGAGCTTGCATTGGAGCTAAGAGAAGCCTGAGTGAATTTCAACAATTCCTGAACCTCAGTGGCCTCATTAAAACATGAGAATAATAGTACCTCTCTCCTAGGATCACTGTGCAGCTTTCACCGTAATTTTAGCTTTACTCCTTAATTAATTGGGTGACTTTAGATAAATTATTTAACCTCTCTGTGCCTCAATTTTCTCATCTGTAAGATGGGAGGAACATCGGAACCTACTTTAAAGAGTTAAGAGAATTAAATGAGTTAACATATGTGGAGTGTTGAAATAGTACCTGCCATAGAGGAAGTGATAATTATTTTCTTCATCATTTATCCCTGGCAACTGCTCACTGCCTAGCACTCAGAGATGTTGAGATTTTCAGATACAAAAAGTATTCTTCACTCTTTAAATGTTAAGGTCAAGAAAAGAAGCAAAGACCTATGTACCCAATGAGAACTATAGGTTTCATTGAATGACCTACAAAAAGAAAAAAAAAAAAAAGAAGAAGAAATAACCACCAAAGAAAGATAATAATGACTACAGCAGCTTTACCCAAAGGCTAAGACACATAAAGGAAAGGGGTAGTGCCTTAAATCGTGGAGAACTCCAGCCAGTCAGAACTGAAGGGCACACACAGTAAAACTGCCCATTAGGCAACAGCTTGTACATCATTAATTATTATGTAAAGCATTGCAATCAATCTGGGCTGAGCAGGTTGAGTTTTTACCTCCCCCAACCCAAATTCTGAAAAATCACGTTTGGATTTTTGCAGCTGCTCTCATAATGTCCATGCTAGACAGGAAATGCATCAAGGCACACCTAAACTGAGACACAAAACCTACATTTGCAATCTTAAGGCTCCTCGAAAGTTCCTCTTGACTTATGCCTGCAGATGGTTATGTGGCAGATGATCCTTCCCGCAGATATTCAGGACACGGAGACTTGCTCTGGCCCAATGCAGGAAACAGCTGTGTGGAAACAACTGTGGGTTCCCTTCTGTGTGAAGTTCAAGCTGCTCCCACCCCACACACACTGGAGGGTAAACAGCAAAATGCCTCATGATTAAAAGGACCTCTTTGGAAAAGTTGTTTCCATAGACGGCACCATCACCTTTGCTTTGAAAAAGAAATGCAGAACCTCCTGCCTCCATGTCCAAGCCTACTGCCCAGAAATAGCCAAGGAAGTCTTTCTAAGAGTCTAAGGATTATCTCCCAAATTGAAAATATTGAACCAAAAAGCACCTATCCCTACCCAGCCCACCTGAGCTGCCAGGGGCTTTATCCGAAGGTCATCACTACCTCCTGGTAGCCTTCAAAGACACAGAGCTCTGAGAAGAGGTAAACAAGAGTCTCAAGGCCCTGAAAAATGGATCTCCCTTGCAACAGAGCAGGCCAAAACAGTGAGAAGGAGAAAACTCTATTTTCAATGTCAAAGAAAGCGTTTTGGTTCCTAGCACACAGAAGTAGTTGTAGAGTACAGTTCATCCATGTGAAAATCTGATACCCATAAGGCTGCCAAAATCCCAGGATGCCACAAGGGCAGGCTGAGGAGGCTGAACCCATGTAAGGGTAAAGGTTGCTCACTGCCGGGCTGACTTCCTCTCCTTTTCTGATATTAACATGCATTCCTGAGAGAGACCCTCTTTGACTTAAGCACCAATCATTCTGTTTGAGAGGTGGGGTGGGCAGAAAGGGGAGGAATAAGATCCTGGAGGGAATTCTGCACAGATGAAGCAAATTCTCTCCTCTCTCCCTGCAGTGGAGGGTGGAATGGTACCGAGTTGTGGCACTATCTTGGGGATCCCAGGGGGAGAGCATGTGGCTGCCCCTATTCTTGGCCACTGATTTCAAGAAGTTTACCTTTTCCACTGGCCAAGGTCCTTTAGATCTTGGGCATTTCTGGAAAGTGTTCTCAGCCTGAAGGGATGAACATGATCAACCTGAAAAGCATTCATTACCTCAGAGCTCAGAGTATGCCCTTGAGGGAAGGGCATCATTAGTGGCAAGAATTTAAAAAAACAAAATGGTTTTGTCATAGCACAGCAGCCAATGAAAGAATTTAAAAATAGTTTTAAGGAAAAGGACGCACTCCACGTAGGTCTCCTCATACTAGAAGTCAAATCTGAAAGGCAGGAAAAAGTCTTGAGACAGTGAATAGGTAGAGGACAGGACAACTAACCAGTTGCCAATGGGGAAAGAAAAAATTACAATTTCTTAGAAATGACACAGAGAAGGGAGGTTAGAGCAAGGGGGCTGTAGCTTAACACTGACTTCTGGCTATCTGGCCCAACTTACTCCCCTAGCAATGTCTGACTGGAAATTTAAGAGAGAAAGAATTCTAAGTTCATGTGTGGTAGAGAAGATGTTTATCCTCACGGATGTTCTTTTACACAGATTACTCAAATGCCAAGTGTTTCTTGCCAAAACATATTAAGGTGCAAACTCTGGCCCTGGGCGAATATTTGAAGTCATCCTAATGATTTGAAATGTGGCAGAAATGAGGCAGATCACAAAACCAAGTGTCCGTCTGTCCTTCTTGGAACTGGGGACAGACTGAGGACACATTTGTTTTAAACTGTTTCCATTACAAGGAACCAAATTTCTACTGGGAATCATGGCCACAGAGTTCCTGCAGACCAAGGGACAGGTTTTGAGCAAAGGTATCAGGACTTGCACTTCTGGATTACTGGTGTAAATCTTTCCCCAGGCTGAAAAGGATGCACAGGCAGGTGGCAACTTTGCTTCAGTAACAGCGACCCACCCCACAAAGCCAAGCATAAAAAATGAGGCAGAAGGAGCCTCAGCTCCTCAACTTAGCAGTTACTACAGCAAACACAAGCACTGCACCATGTGTAAGGCCGTGTCCTGAGTGCTTTGCATGTATCAGTTTACTCTGTACAACAGTCCTATGAGATTCTACTTCTTTTCTCATTTTACAGATAATGCTACCAAGAGGTAAGGTAATTTGCCCAAGGTTTCCCATCTAGTAACAAGTGGAGCTGAGATTTGAACATAGGCAGTTTGACTCCAAAGCCCACATCCATTAAACTATATTCTTTACATGTTATATATATATCGTGGGATCATTGACCATTCTGGTTATATTCTTATTATCATCACCAGATTCATTCAAAATTACAACTGAAGCCAGCATAATCATTTCACTAGAAATGCCAACACTTTCACTAGATTATAGCCAATTATAAATTTTAATATTTTTTGAGTTTGCTCCCAACCACTCTCACCCTATTTGTGATCCCTCAAATGCATTTTAACCATAATGAAAGACCAGTGGGTGATCTGGTAACAGAACCAACCCAAATATGGAGAACAGTGGCCAAAACAAAACCAATGTAATCTGGGTCTCTTGGGAAGTGTCAATGAACATCACCATAAGGATTAAATTATACTATATGTAATTATGATAGTCACCAGTCACTACTTTTGTGTGTGTTTCATGCAGACAGAAAGCCAGGGGTTGAAAATGAAAGGCTGTTAATATCTCCTTGTTCAGTACATATGTGTTTAGCATTTTAAAGCAGATTCATTTAGAATCTCACGTTAGAATTTCACTTTTCCCTTCTAAGGACTCAGAGGGTTTCGATATTAACTTCCCCTGTGGAGGTGACAGATGTCAGAGAGAGATCAAGAAGTTCAAGTCCACAGTAACTGAGGCATACAGTTCTGCCTGGATGCTCAACTTATGATTCAAGACTTCAAAAAGTACAAATGTTCGTTGTCACACATTCATTCACTTACTCAACCAACAGACCTTTCCAGAGAGTCCAATATGTAGTGATGCTTCTCATTCAATACCAATTTTACTAAGAGCACCATGATTTTGGTTCAAGTTTTTCTCCAAAAGAAAAGTAAAAAAGAAGACAACTCTTTACATTCAAATTCCCAGGAAAACTTTTGACTCTTAGGATGATAGAGTATTCAAGTAATTGCCAAGGAAGATTGAATACTTTTAAAATATTAATCAGTTGTGGCTGTTCTGGCAGGGGCTAGATCAGTGAATCTTTCAAAGTCCCTAATAATGCCAATAATATGCTCTCCTACTCTTCACTTTTCAGCATTCTTTGCTAAGTCACACCAAGCTACATCCTGTGCCCTGAACATGAAATCTCCTTCCTGCCTTCACCATAGGCTGCCTCCCTGGATCTGAAATGCCTCCCTCACTCCCACACCATCTCAGCTTCCCATCATCCCACTTATCCCTCCAGGTGCGGTATAAATGTACTGAGCTCATGAAACCTTCCCAGATACCCAGAGCTAGAATTAATCCCTGCCACCTACACTCTGTTACAGCACTTGTCACACTTGGTCTTCACTGCAAGGCCTGCAGTTGCTTGTATAATGGTCTGCCCCTGCAAGACACCACGGACTTCTGATAGTGCCTTTCCATTCCTGACAGCTCCTTGCACAGCTGTACATGCAAAGCACTGAATACACAGCTGACTTAAACTACCTGCAAATATTAATGGCAGTTAGCTTTGAATTATAGCACAAAGATTATTTCTTTCTTCTATATTTTCTGACTTTTCTATGAATAGGCACTACTTTAATGAAATAACAAACAACTGCATTGTAAAACTTCAAGTGAATATCATTCAGCACAGAACCTAGGGATGTTGGCCCCATTCTACAAGGAATAAATTAGGAACTAAAGATTACGAGTGGCTTTCTCAAAGTTTCTATGCTCTAAGATTTACCATTTAACTCAAATGTGAACAGTTAAGAGCTATCCATCTCACACTCTGTAAAATGTACATCATTTATTAGTTTCATATTGCATAATTCATACATGAGTATCAACTGGGAAGGCTCCACACCATTGGTGTCCTTAACTTCCTACTTAATATTTTAAACTTTGATGTTGAGAAATTTTTATCTCCAAGTTAAACCTGCCATTGTTTTCCCATCATTCAAGTGTAACCCAAAGGAATAAAAGGCCATATAACTAAAGTCTGTTTAGTTTCTTCTCCAAAATTCTACAGACCATTCTGTTGACTTTTGTTGAAACCCTTAGTTAAAACTCTTAATGATTTACTATTTCTTCATTCAGCCTATTTTCTTAGGTTATCTATTTATTCATTCAGTCTGTCCTTATTCAATAAGTATTTACTAAGCACCTACTTTGCACCAAACAGAAGGCATACAACAGACAACCCAGTCCCTTCCCTTGTGAAAGTTCATTGAAGTACAGTTCTCATGCTGTCTTCATCAGAATTACCTCAGAAACTTGTCCTGGCAGAGAGAAAGTAGGAACTGTATGAAAATTTCTGTACGTACTCTTTCCTGTGGGATGAGTCCACTTGGACCAGAGGGGCATTTGAAGAATTTTGATGCACACTAAAGCTTGAGAATTGATAGCTAGTTGATTCTTAAAATTAATAATACCATACTATGTGATAAGTGAAATGATGGAGCTATATACCAGAAATTGTGAATTGCCTGGGCATCTCATCATGTGCAATTGAAATTCAGCATAAAAACTTAAGTAGGGCCAGGTGTGGTGACTCACGCCTGTAATCTCAGCACTTTGGGAGGCCGAGGCGTGTGGATTGCTTGAGGTCAAGAGTTTGAGACCAGCCTGACCAACATGGTGAAACCCTGTCTCCACTAAAAATTTAAAAATTAGCCAGGCATGGTGGCGGGCACCTGAAATCCCAGCTATTCTGGAGGCTGAGGCAAGAGAATCACTTGAACCTGGGAGGCAGAAGTTGCAGTGAGCTGAGATGGTGCCAGCCTGGGTGACAGAGCGAGACTCCATCTCAAAAAAACAAGTCAAAACACTGCTGAGTAGAAATAAAAATAAAATTTCCCCACCCATCCTCTCTTATCCCAGCACAAGCTGCAGGGAAAGAAAAAGGTTCCTAGCCAGACATGATGGCTCATGCCCATAATCCCAGCAATTTGGGAGGCAGGCGGATCACCTGAGGTCAAGAGTTTGAGACCAGCCTGGCCAACATGGTGAAACCTCGTCTCTACCAAAAATACAAAAATTAGCCAGGCGTGGTGGTGCACACCTGTAATTTCAGCTACTCAGGAGACTGAGGCAGGAGAATCACTTGAACCTAGGAGGTAGAAGTTGCAATGAGCTGAGACTGGGTGACAGAGTGAGACGCTGTCAAGAAAGGGAAGAAGGAAAGGGAAGGGAAGGGGAATGGGAGGGGGAGGGGGAGGGGAGGGGAAAGGGAAGGGAAGAAAGAAAAGGAAGAAGGGAAGGAGAGGGAAGGGGAGAAGGGAAGGAGAGAAGGGAAGGGGAGGAAAGAAGAGGGGGGAGAAGGGAAGGGGAGGGGGGAGAAAGGAGGGGAGGGGAGAGGGGAGGAGAGAGGGGAGGGAAAAAGGGAAGGGGAGGGAAAAAGGGAAGGGGAGGGGAGAAGGGAAGGGAAGGAAAGGGCAGGGAAGAAAGGAAGGGAAGGAAAGGGAAGGGGAGGGGAGGAAGGGAAGGGAAGTAGGGAGGAGAAGTAAAGGGAAGGAAAGGGTAGAAGGGAAGGAAAGAAAGGAAGGGAAGAGAAAGGAAGGGAAGGGAAGAAAATGGAAGGTAAGGGAAGAGAAAGGAAGGGAAGGAAAGGGAAGGAGGGAAGGGAAGGGAATAGAAAGGAAGGGACGGGAAGGGAAGAAGGGAAAAGGAGAAGAGGGGAGGTGAAGGGTGTGGAGGGGTGGGGAGGGGAGGCAGGGGGGAGGAGAGGGGAAGGGAAGGGTAGGGGAGGGGCAGGGGAAGGGGAGGGGAAGGCAGGGAAGGGTGGGGAGGAGGGGGAGAAGGGAGGGAAGGGGAGGGGAAGGGTGGAGAGGGGAGGGGAGGGAAAGGGTGGGGAGGGGAGGAGAGGGGAGGAGAGGGGAGGAGAGGGGAGGGAGGGGAGGGAAGGGGTTCTTGTTTGCGTTAGAAAGCTGATATTTGGAAACTTTATGCTTCAAGGAAAATAAATAAACTCACTTTTCAACCAAAAAAAAAAGTACATATAGACAAAAGGGATCAGCTGAAAAAGCTATTCCCCAAGGTGTGGGGGGTGGGGGACACAGAATCTTGCTAAGGATGAAAAGTATTTTGAAACTATTTTAAATAATCATTACCCTTTTAATATTCACCGCATCTGTCTGTTCACTTTTCCCATCATACCCTCCCTTGTCCCAGTCTCAGCATCTTCATGTGTTGCCTGTCATCCCCCGGCCTCACACATCATTGGGGATAATGAATTTAATTTGAGCAATGGATTTCATTGAAAAAAAATCTCTGCATCCCAACATGCCACACAAGCTGAGCTCAGATAAAAACAAGTGACTCCTTAATTTGGATTTAAACCTCAGGACCAGTCTACAAATAAAAATGACCAGCGAGCATCATGCCCACAGAGCACTGACAATAATCTCCTGTGCTCCAAATTATTCTAGTCTATATTATAGACGATCCAATAAGCCTGTGTGTTCTAGTCCATAAAAATATAAGAAGAAATTTATCATTTTGAAATCATAATGCAAAATAGAGTCTGACACTTTATTAAGCACTATTTCTCATGATATCATAAGGATGCTGATGGAAAATGAAACTAAAGCAGTATCAGAGACGAACAATGACAGCATTTAGACTTTCTGAGGGTGCTTTGTAGCTCACAGGTCACTCGCTTGCCCTCCCCGCATGTCACTTTTGAACAGCTTCAGTTTAAACCTGAAACACTGAAAACATAATTCTGAAAAAAGCTTTCATTTTATCACAAAATTGGTTGATCATTTACAAAAAAATGCTGGAATGGGATAAGAAATGATCTAATCCAGATATTCTTAACCTGCAGTCAGTGGGTGGTCTACATGGCATCCGTGATCACCCCAACATTGTATGCAAACTTTTGTATACTTGTTTTCCTGTGGAATGGGTCCAGAGGCTTCAGAGGACAGGAGTCTGAATTGACTGCCAGAATCCTTTTTATTCTGTTTTGATAACAGTCTGCTATTCTCTTTTTTAGAGAACAACTTCGCCCTCACTCAAGAGTCTTTACATTTCAGCAGCATAAACTCATTCCACACTTGGACCAAAGAGGCACTTGTGATTTAGGCCTGGCCAGTCAGAGTATCATAACCCCCAACTATATATCTGCTTTAGAGACTGGCATGTGACCCAAGTCAAGCCAATCAGGCTCTATCTGAGCTAGTCTCAGGATTTTTGTTTGGGCGGCTTTAAAAAAAGAGATGGAATTTCCATTTATGAGAGTTGAACCCAAAAAGATGTGCAGCTGGGGTTGCTGGAAAATTCAATACATTTGAGATGAATCTATAATAGAATATAATCCATTCATATTCCACCTTGTAGAGATCACTGGAAAAGTGAGCTTTCATAGGTGGGGAGGAGAGAAGGTAAGAAGAGCTTACATCATACAATGCCCTCCAAGAAAGATAAGGAGAAGTGGAGAAGGAGGTGTGCTGAGAGGGTGGCAGGAGACGAGACAGTCTCAAAAATGTAAGAGAGAGAATATTCAATAGAGTGCTGGTAACTTTTAGGCTCCACAACTTCAATATTCTTAAGTCTATCACATGCACACGCGCACACACACTCACATACACATACATTTATGTATATATTTTTTATTTCACATACAGAATTGCTATTAACTTTCAAAATGATAGAAGCTTTTAAATTCAGAGTCTCAAATGCAGACCCTACAGAGCCCAGGAAGGTCAATCAATGAGTGAACTAGGCTGCATGTAAAACCACAGAGAGTACTGGGAATTATCAGAACTCAAGAGTCAACGTCTTGTCTTCAGGGACAGCTTGACTCTTCTCCAGCCGACTGACTCCACAGGGCAATATGGGTACAGTGTTGTCAGACCCTCCTATTTGAAGAGAAGCTGGAAATGCATATTGTTAAGTGTGAAATTTGCCAATCTTCCAAACCACAGAAGGGCCAGACAAAACAAATCTGGTAGAGGGATGCAGTTTGCATCTCCGGCCCTAAACTGTAATAACCAAAGTGGCAGCAAGTCATTTGTCTGCAAGACTAGGGCAGGGTCACTTTGTGCCCATTTTAAAATAAAAACAATAACAAAACAAGGACCCCTGTGGCTACACTAAATGGGACTCCTCTCATTAAAAAACAAACATAGTTCTTGCTTTTGAAGCAATGGCATGTTTTGTTTGGTTATTTTTAAGGATCGCATCACTTGAAATTCAGATGTAGTCAAGCTTGATTTTCTCCCAGACCTTTGGCAGCTGACGGGTTGGGTGAAGGGAGAAGTTGGGAAAAGCATCTGGTCCCAGAAGCAAAAGTGAAGGCAGTGCATATTTACCAGCATGAGGCTGTCCACAGACAGTGAATAGAGACACAGGGAAAACCTCCAATACCCACCTGTTCACAGCTGGATTTCCCAGGGCACTTAATTTAATCAGAAGCAGTAACTTTTAGTAGCATTTTACAACCAATTAACCATGCAGGAAACAAAACAACTGACTCGGTGCCTTCCTCCTTGCTTCTAAAGAGACTGTGGCCTCAAAAGTCAGCAATTTGGAACTCTCTGTATGAAAGAAGACGCCATCAAACCCAGCACAAACAAGTTTTTTCCCTTCCTACATTTAATGGGAGGACCCTTGAATCTGGCCAGGCCTTGTTGGCATGGGAATCACTCCCATTTTCACATAAAGAGCTCCCATTTTGGTCAGCACATGCCAGGCACTGGGCATTTACACATTCATTCTAATGAATTCTTACCACCACCCCTTAATGTTAGGGCCTACTATATTCCCATCTACAGATGAATGTACTGAGGCGAGGGGAATCAGTAAAAGAACCCCAGGTCACATATAAGTGAAAGAACCAGGATCTGGGCCCAGAAAATATTGTTCATAACAGAGAGCAAAATCTTAGCATAGAACTCACTGATTTCCCCTGCAGCGAGTTAAAAGTAAAACCACGTGATAAGAGCCAGCTTCTGGTATTAATGAGGATAAACTTCCTTGTATCAAAAACAGGTATTCAAACTTATGCTAAATTCTATAGGCAATAATTTTCCACTAAATCAATAACAATTTTTTAAAAACAGGCTATACCTTTTAAACTGTGCATCACTTTAAAAAATCATTTCTAACTTTTCTTTAACTGATCCTCACGAAAAGTCTTGAAGTATATGACAGGGAGTGGATAAAGTCACTTCCATTTGACAGATGAGTCTACTGAAGCTCCAAGAAATCAGGTGACATGGTCAGGGTCACCCAGCTGATTAGTGGCAGCCTCTAGTTCCCATTCGTGAGCACCCCAGCCATGGGGGCTACTTTTCACATCCACAGAATGCCAAGCTCTTCCCCACCCTGGGTCCTGGAGGGATTTGGCCCTAGTTCTCTCCCACCCTTCAGGTCTCTGAGATGTCATCTCCCCAGGAATGTCTTCCTGTATCCTACCTCAGTGATCCCCCTCTCATTCCCCATCATCGTCATACCCAGATCCTATTACGGTGCTTGGCATCTGGCAGTCAAATATTTGCTAAGTGAATGAGTAAGTAAGTAAATGAACGCCTGATGAATTCTCAACTTTCTGAATTTTCTAACTCATAACAGTGACTATGCATCAGGACTTTCTCCCCAGCACCTCTGGTCATCTGTAGCATAACACATGAAAACAAATCCTGCCCCAGCAATACTTAAGGACCCACCTGCTGAAACGAGACCATGGTGGGACACCCCCTGCCCTGCTCCAAACACACGCACTTGTTCTTCAATGTCTTTCTCAGTTGACTCCAGGCTAGATTCTTAAGCATGGCAGGAAGAGCCACACAAAGTGGAGGATATAAATAAAAATGTCATAAAACAATAGTTTATTAAAACAAAGTAGAGAGTCTTCAAATTTAAGAAAAGAAGAAGCTACAGGCAGGTATAGCAGGCTACAACAGAGATCCTTAATTCTTCTCTGAGTTTTCATCCCTGTCTCTGGGGTTCTTCTGCTGATGGCTACCAGATGTCAGAGAGGGGCCTCTGAGAGAAACCTGACACAATCCCGCACCCCAATTTAAGCCAAGAGGTGTCGTGAGAGAGCACTGGGTCTGCTTGAACCTAGTATGTGTTCCCTCTCAATGAGTCTACTTCCAAAACCATTCCCTGAACGCTGAGAGTGTTTTGAGTGTTATTTTTGATATGGAAGGCTCTTCTCTTACAAAGATAATGATGATAAATTGTTCTCAAAGTGAACAGCCTGGGAAAATATGGGATTTTATGTATGTTTCCTTGAATTATGGAAGCAAGTTTGCCTGCACACTCTAGTGGTGTGGTGATTCTTAGCCAAGATGACTCAGAATACCAATTTCCTTTGATGATGGTTGATTCTTTTAGAAGGAAAGATTGCTCCAAAGTAGCCTAACTGAATACTTTACCAAGTGCTAGGCTTTAGAAAAATAATAATGAGTTAAGCATAGCTAATGTTTATACTACATTTAGTACATTTTTTTAGTCCTCACAGCAACCCTACGCTCCCCCATCCACTCACCCTGCCTCCATTCCTGTCCCAGGGCACCAGGTAAGAAACCAGCTGAATCACAGGGAGATTTAGTAACTTGCCTGCCAACAGATAGCTCATGGCAGATATAGACAATATTTGAACGCAAAGTCTCACTAGACAGCTTGTGCTCATAAGAACTGCAACTGGGCTAAGAATCTGGGTTCCCTTTACCACTGTAGGGTACAGCAATATGCCTGCACTGGCAGCTACCATATTTCCCTCAGTCCTTAGATACTGCATGGTAAAATCTGGCAACATGCCTATCTATTTTTTAAAAGCGAGAAAAAACAAAACAAAACAAAACAAACCTTTCTTCTGCCCTTGAAACAATCACTTCCTTCCTTTGTGATCTGGAACAAAACTATCTTTGCCATCTTCCGCCTCCTACTCTCTGCCACAGAGATTATGTTGATGTGAAGACCAACTGTGTTGGTTAGATCTAACCCTGTTAGATCCTTCTGCATTCCCTCAGCACCCCTTCTGCTTGGCCAACTCAGTAGTTTTGCAAATGCTATGGCTCTCTCCTGGCAAACTTTCTCTTCACCTCTCCCATCCCTTCTCACCTGAACAACACATAATCCCATCCATCAAATATCACATGCACTGGGACACTCCCCTGGCTGTCCCCCAAAATCTCTCCAAACTCTCTCCTCTGTGCTTCTGCTACAATTATTATGTTGCAAAATATCAAGTTTCATGTCTCTGTTGCCCCTAAAAACAAGTTCCTACCCATTCACAATGACATAAATGTTTGTAAGATTGAAGTCCCGAAGACCAAATTTCACTCACATTCCAAGTATAATCTTTTTGGTGCTGTTAATCATTGGACTAGAATCCTGCACTGGGCTATTTATACTCTTTGAATTGCTCACATTTCTTCCCTCAAGAACTAAGCAAAAAAAAAGTAAGTGTAAGTGCTTTCGTGCCTCAAGTAAGACAGTCCATTCACCAAGAGTTTCATGATGGTGTTGGGTAGCAGTTTTCCATACTAAAAATGGAGACGGGGAAAAAATCCATTTAACTTTGATTTCTTGCTTTTTTGCTGGAAAGCTTTATAAGTTGCTTCTTGGTCTCACCTAGTAGAAGGGTCACTGCCTTAGCTGGGATTGTGACAAGCCTCTCTAGAATTAGAGTACTTTATTATCACATTAGTACTGGAAAAAGTCACATAATTAACAGAATTTATCCTCATTTACTCTGCAAAATCACTAATATTCAATCTCTCTGCCTCTGTTTAATTACTTTCCTTAACACAACTTTTTTTTCCAAGTTGACCCTTCGTGGGCTCATCTGCAGAAATGTGTTAAAACTTTTTCTCCCTCTCCTCCATTTAAGTGGCTAGACTTTATTCATTTGAATAAGCATAAAAGGTGCACCATAAGGTCTGTCATAGTTCACACAATGCCTTTGAATTAGCAGCCGTGACGGTGTCATGCTTTTGCTGGAGATCCTCTGTTCGGAGTAAGTGATGACAGCCACCAGAATTACTGTTAATTGTAATATGACACTGGCATTTCACCGGCTGCATCTAGTGGTAAACTTGCATTAGTTCAGGTTCCTAAGAAATTTAGAAGCTGAGACATGGCAATTCTTCAAAGAGAACAGCAGACCCGCCTGACACATGCTGCCTTCTCAGGTACTGCTTCTTCATACCTGCTTGCTCAAAAGAATGGTAAACACACACACACATGCACAGACACACTTCAAAATAAAGCCACCTCTGGATAACAATGTCATCATTAGATAACAAATCTGGAAGGCACTGGCTTGCTCTGAAGACTGCATTCTCCTCCTTTGAAGCAGCAAAGTATAAAGTAAAGAAACCAAGGCTTAAGGGACAAACATTTAGTAGAAGCT
The DNA here is from genome assembly GCF_000001405.40 of Homo sapiens. NCBI lineage: Eukaryota > Metazoa > Chordata > Mammalia > Primates > Hominidae > Homo > Homo sapiens. Next base: position 158,858,555 of record NC_000005.10, read on the forward strand.
GAATAATCCCATCCATCAAATATCACATGCACTGGGACACTTCCCTGGCTGTCCCCCAAAATCTCCCCAAATTCTCTCCTCTGTGCTTCTGCTACAATTATTATGTTGCAAAATATCAAGTTTCATATCTCTGTTGCCCCTAAAAACAAGGTCCCCTTTTTCTGAAACATACATTTTTAAAACGTGCCTCTATATTTCACATCAAGGCAGCCTGCTCCAGAAGATGGGGGCTCAGAGGAAAGGAAGAGGGGCTTGGCTTGAACAGATCTTTTGGTGTGGAAGTAGTTGGTTCACTTTTCAGGGAAGGTAAAGCCCTCCTAATGAGGTCAGGGGTGGGGCCGGGTGAGTGACAGGGAGACAGTGAACAAAATGGGCAGCTGTCTTGGCTCCTTAGACAGTGAGCTTTAGGAGTAGAGGACTCAGGCAGTCTGCTTCTGCCCGACATCCATGGGTGGTCTAAAAGACTTTCACCGCAATCATTGCCAGCCAACAACATGTTTATCTACCAAAAGAAAAATCAGCCCCTCTCCATTTTCCATACAAGAGACGCATCTCAATGTTAATGTGAAAAAAGGGCCAGTAAGAGTTCTTATCTGCCCTCCCTTTGAGTCAAGTGATATGCATTTACATTGGTCTTTAACTCAAATTAGAATCACTTTGTGGACTTCATATATAATATGGCCCATGTTCACTGGAAAATCAGAGCTCTCTCTGACCTCCAAGCTTTAGCTCAACCATTCCTTTTGCCTGTAATGCCTTTCTCTCCCTTCTAAAGACCCCCTATCCTTCCAGGTCTGGTTAAGATTCTCCCTCTCCCCATAAGACTTCCCAGATTTTCCCATTCGGAGTTGATATCACTTCTCCATACAACTGAGGTGTCCAAAGTCTGTGAGTGTCTTTCTTACAATTCTGAGGTCATTTTACACTTTGGGTATCTGTGCATGAATCTGATGGCTTCATTTGGCTGTGAACACCTAGAAGGGGTCAAGAGGGTTGAGGCTTTGCTGAACCTCACTGACTACACTTGGGACTATTTCTGGCTGAAACTAATTCACTTGTACCTCCAAAGCTGCCCCTCACTTAACCTGTGGTCAAACACTTCATCATTTTGGCCCCGGAAGTTGGCCACTTCCCACCTTCAAGCCTCTGTGCATACTGTTCCCTCTGTCTGGAAAGCTGTCTATTGCAAGGTAATCGAGCCCACTCCTCAAGCCAACTCCAAATCCACCTTGATCACATTGGCCAGAACAGCATTATCTAAATTCCCAAGGCTTTTGTTGATATCTCATCGGTCACTTATTACCTTGTACTTTGCCTATCTGCATTTACATTTCATATCTGGCCAACCAGATTTTAACCGTCTATGTGAAGGGAACGTATTTTATACAATCCTGTTTCCTCCACAATGTTTAGTAGAATCTTGTTTATACATCACCGTTTGGTGAATAAATGAACATTAGTCTAATATTTCACTTTGGGATCTCCATAAAAATAAGACAAGTATTGATGGATACACTTCCACAGTACTGCCAATAAACTTCTAGTTCCGCACCTACTAATGATGCTATCAACATGATTACAATTATTCTTATTTTTAAAGTTACCATTATTTGAGTGCTTACTATGTGCAAGGTCATTTGCTAAGCACTTTACTAACATCATCTTATTGAATGCTCACAACAACCCTAAGATAGTAACTACTAAGGTAGACACTATCAATAGTCCATCTGCCTGAGATCACAAATCTAGTACTTGCAAGACCCTGGATTCAAATCCAGGTATGACTAAGGCCAATATCTGTGTTCTTGTTCACGACACTATTTGTAGCCACCTGATCATGCTTTGGAAGGTATTCACATATGTGTGAAGAACGCCTACTCACCCTGGCTTCTGACATAAGAATGCAGATCTGGGGTATAAGTGACCCCACTCAGAGTGTAGAGACAAGCCACCACCATGTGGACAGGAGCCACCTCTCACGATTTCCACTGAGATAGGACTTGGCTGCCATCTTGGCATGGTTCTCTTCAGTGCCACTGAGCCCTTTTCACTTTTAGAAGGACAAGAAAACCCTCACTGCCTGCTTTTCTGAGCCAACGTGGTCAGCTTGAATTTTAAGAATTGTTGCTTAAGGTTTGGTAAGACAAACAAGTGACATTTTCTGATGGCTCAGACTCTTTTGCTCCTTCTCCCCTTCAGTCCAAGCCCATGGCGCATCTTGCGTCTCTGTTGCATGTGTGTCTCGGCGCATAAATCCCTTTTGCCTCAGAACTCTGATATCGCCATCATGACATCCACCTCCAGCACCCTGCACAAGGGTGAGCGTGGGCCTCTAACCATCAGCTGTTTCACCATGTCAGTATCACAGGGAGCAGGACACACATTCCAGAGCTGGGTAGATTAACCTCCAAGACGACACTCAGTTTTAGCTTTAGCCTCCCTAAATCCTCAACAAAAGCTTTAACAGCCAGAACTGATTTAGGACCTTAACTGTAAATCTCCTCTCTTCTCATGCACTCACTAAAGGGGTGATGAGTAAAATCAACTGGGACCTTTTCTGGTCACTTGTCCCCTGTGTCCCCTGGAGGATTCAAGGTGATAGCTAAGAACCCGCATTATCAAGAATCTTACTCAAAGGCAGGCTAAAAAAAAATAAAGGAACTGGAAGGTGAAGAGAAACATTATTAATGGCGTCTATCAAATGCGGATTTGTGAAAATATCATTCATTTATAAAAATGAAGCCAACCTAGTAGAATGTTAAAAACAGCAGTAACCGAATGTACACTCAATTTTTAGAGACTTGCTGATCAGCAATGGAGCCCTGCCATGAGAACACATCTCCTTTTCACTCAAGCGAGGATCTGCAGGGGCATTTTCAAAAGTAAATAAATGTCCACAAAGAACAAAAAAAGATCAGTAGAGAATTGAGTCTCTCAAGAACATCCCTGACAAAATAAACCCCATGTTTATGTATGCTCCCTCCATTGGCCTGAGCCAGAAATGTTCCCTGCAACTTGAAACCAATGGCACAGGAGTTGAGAGAAATGTCCGGAATTAGCTTAGTCAAATGCTGCCTTCAATTAATGCTCCTCTGCTGCTTAATGAGATCCCAGGGCCAAAGCAGTTTAGTTTGACTTTAGCAGTTCCCACTTGTTTTGGCCATGATGCATCACCTTGCCTTTTCTTTGGTTATGTGGCATCTTACATAGAGACACCTCTTTAAAATTCCAAGTGGCATATTTTGAAATAGTGTCTAGATTTTTTTCTTATAAAGGTTGATTTATTGTAAAAAAAAAAAAATGTTTAAAATCCAAAATTCATAGATAAATAAAAGCCACCTGTATCCCATTTTGTCTCAATCTCTTCAAGTACATACAAATTTAATAACCATATACAGACACTATATCCTTTTTTATGTTATTTCATATCTTCAAAATATTGTTTTACTCCATAACATTTCATCATATACAGTAGACATTCAAATGATCTCCTAATGTTTGATTACTTTCAAATTTTTTTGCTATGATAAATAATCCCTTGGTGAACATTCTTGTATGTAAAATTTTATCTGAATAACCAAGGATTGCCTTAAAATAATTAACAAGAATTTCTGAGTCAAAGGTGGCAGATTGCTGGAGATGGAGGGTAAAATAGTTTCATCTGAAAAAAAAATGTTGGCAAAGGTCAAGGTAACTTCAGATTCAGCCAAAGTAGGCTGGGAAAACTTCAAAAAGTGGCCCAATGGTGTAAATGGTTTTGATAAGTTGGGTTCCAGGGACATCCAATGTTTATTAAAAAAAACAAGAACACACAAACAAACAAAAACTCCAGTGAAGCAAGCAGCACATATTGCATATCCATGATCCAACCTGTCTTCACCTGCCATTCTACAATGCATTGAAACCCATGACAGTGTAGTCACCATCTTGGACTAGAAGTAACTACAAATGAAGGCTATCTCAGAGAAGCCCCCTACGTGCCACTATGCTTGTCCCACTGTGCCTGCTACAGGGCTGAGAAAAGGACTCAACTACAGCAAAGCAAGTCAATATTGGATACAGTCAGGTTTTCTACTTGGCCCATGCTACCACCAAGATACCATGTCCAAGAGTAGGGTGAGAGAAAGCTCATTTTTTAAGCGATCTCTGCTTAAAGTCTGAATGAAGTTATATCCTCCCTGAGAAACTGCATCCTTTGCAAAGTGGACACCATATTGTGAACTTAGGCTTTAAGGAAAATTCAAAACAAGTGACCTACAATATGATTATCATTTTCTTAAAATTATACCTGGAAATTGTTCAACAAGAACATCTGCTCAGGAACAGCAGTCCTTCATTAGACTCACATTCTTGAACGATTGAATTCTACAGACCCTGACTTTGATTTTGAAGACTTTTTGTTTTCCTGAGAGGTCAGCCTCAAATACAACTGCTAGTGACTCAAATTATATGTGATCTCTTCTCACTGTCACATGGCATAAAGTCCACCATTTACAATTTGGCACCAAAAACCCAGTCAGCTAAATCTCTTGTCCCCTATCCTTTATGTTCCTTTATGCTAAAGGTTTGTAACCTTCATGCTTATGGTTTGGAACTCTAACTCATTTGATGTTTCCTAAACTCTCTGAGCTCTCTTAAGCCTCCCCCCATGTAAGTCCTCACCCCTGCCCATTCCTGGTCTAAAAAATCTCCTATATTTCAAGAATGATCACAACTCCTACCTCTCCCTCTAGGAAGCCTTCCCAAGTTCCTCCCGACAGGAATAGAACATCCCACCTCAGTTTTCCAACGGCACACTCCTCCAGAACCACATCTGTCACATTGCTCTATGACTGCCACTTACCAATCTCCCCGGAATGAGAGAGTAAGATCCTCGAAGATAACAACCATGTATGTTCATCTCTGTATCCTCAGAACCTGAGATAGAGCTTATAAATATCTGCTTGATTCCGGAACAACAAATGATAAAATGCTACCTACGATTAAGAAATAATTGAGAATCCAAAATAAAGTAACAAAGACCAAGAGCCTGAAGACACTCTAGCTGTAAACCACGTGTGTGTGTGCAGAGTATCATGGCTTATTATAAAAAAAAATATGCTGGAATGTTTGCAAAACCAAATTGTATTAACAAAAAACATCTGCAGCTTTATACTGTGTGACCATAATCTTGATTTTTTTCATAAAATGCAGAATATCATTTATAACAATAAATACAAACTCTATAAAGTCTCTTCAATATAACTCAAACCTTTTTCTTTGGTGTGCTCTAAACATATTTTACGTAAATGATGCCAAAGTCTCATGAAAATATACAGAAACCGGAAGCTCAATGGCAGCAGATGCAGAGACTCCTCACAGAGTTACTGAGGGGGTAAATAGAATCTAACTCAGGGGCCAGGTGTGGTGGCTCATGCCTATAATTCCAGCATTTTGGGAGACTGAGGCAGGTGGATTACCTGAGGTCAGGAGTTTGAGACCAGCCTGGCCAACATGGCGGAAGCCCATCTCTACTAAAAATACAAAAAATTAGCTGGTTGTGGTGGTACACACCAGCTACTAGGGAGGCTGAAGCAGGAGAATCACTTGAACCCGGGAGGTGGAGGTTGCAGTGAGCCAAGATCATGCCACTGCACTCCAGCCTGGGTGACAGAGCAAGACTCTGTCTCAAAAAAAAAAAAAAAAAAAAAAAAAATCTAACTCAGGGGCCACCTTAGATATGAAGAGAGTACTGGCTTTTAAACTAACCGAGATCTGACACTGGATTTACTTAAAATCTCAAATAGTCTTGTCTTTCTTACCTTTCTGCCAAGCCAAAGGGGCAAGGGAAACTGCTGTAAAAATGAGGTGCTCACAGACTACGAGAATGAGGAATAAATATTGGAGTTGTCTAGAGTAGCTTTTCACCCAAAGAAGGGATCCATTCCGCAGTGTCCCTGACAAATGGTTGCCCCAGTAGTTCTATGCCTGTTCTGGTTGCTGGAGTGGAGAAGATAGGAGAGCACTCTCCCTCCAACGACTGACTTTCTAGTGGGGAAAAAAGACAAAAAACAAGTGAAAGACTCACAAGTTAAAAAAAGATAATGTCAGTTACCGACTCCAGCTATTAGAAAAGAATGGATGGCAGATGGAAAGTGATGGTTCCTAGAAAGGGGAGAAGAGAAGATCTTGGAAATTATGATATATTGGCTGGGACTTGAAGGGCAAGAAGGAGCCCAGCCATGCCAAAACCCAGAAAAGCATTCCAGTTAGTGCAAAGGCCAGTGTGGCTGCAGCACAGTGAGCGAGGAGGGAGGTGATGCGACGGCAGTTCCAGGAGAGGCAGGATCATTCTATCTCTAACAGAGAGCAGCCCGTCACTGGGAGATGGTCCTTCCCATATGAGCTGGACAGCTCTGCCAGGAGGTGCCCTCTTCCTGAGAACTGAATTCTTCCCTCCTATCATTTACCTTCAGAAACTTCAGTTTTGAGCTCGGGTTCAGATAGCAGCATTACATCTCCTCCTTCCCTGAGACAACCCAAAAATAATTTAAATCAGAGAAACCGGCCCACCTTCTCTTCCCAGGACTCTTTTCCAGGATAAACCTATTTTAGTTATCCACCCCTTCAAGATAGGATTCACAAACCCTTCCCATCCTGTTCACCCTTTTCCAAATACTCTCTGATTAGCCAACACCCCTCCTCAATTATGCCAGAACTGAGCAAGCCTCCAAAATGTTAGAGGCAGCACAGCAGGTTGGTTATGACATGAACTTGGTTTAAAAAGGTTCCAGTCTGGGCCCTACCACTTATCAGTTGTGTGATCATAACCAAGTCACTTAACCTTTCTAAGCCTCTGCCTCCTTATCTGTAAAATGAGAACTATAGTATCTACCTTGAAGGATTATTGTGAGAAATAAGTAAGAATATATATGAAGTTCCAAGGGCTGTGGATGGCATATAGTAAATGCTCAGTAAGGTTAAGCTAGTACAAATTTGATGATGATGATAATGGTGATAATGGGATCACAATCATTTCCATCTTGATCTAAAATCTGCATTTGTTCAAATTCAAGTTTAAGATATATTTGTTGTGCCGTGTTGTGTTGTGTTTGCTGTAGTAGAGTAGGGGAATAGCAGCCATTTACAGTTCTACTAAAACTTTTCCCCCAGATCTTTTGCATATAATACAATCACTCTAATCTGATCACAGTAACAGAGAAAGATCAATAAAGAACTAAACCATAAAATTGGGTACATCTAGGCTCCAATTACTGCAGGAATATAACCATGTCCGTATCACAGAGATAATGCTGCAAATACTTAAAGAATGTCTGCAGATCACCTTCCTGGAGGCAAAAGAAAGGTCTTATTCACCATCGTTGGAGCAAATACGTTAGTCCTCAATAAATACTAGTAAGAGTGGAGAAAGGAGGAAGTGAGTTAGAGGTTGCTCTAGGCTAATGGTATCACATTTGATGATCAAACTCACACAATGTTAGATCTCAAGGGGACCCAAATGAAACATATTATAGGCATGGAAATGGAAGCTCAGAAAGGTGAAGGCACTTGCCCAAGGCCACAAAGCTAACTTGGGTCAGAGCTGGGTCTCTTAATCTCTTCCCAGAGGCCATCCTAGGCAAACCAGTTGCAGACCTGAGTCCCTCTGGACAGGGCCTCTTGATCTCCTTCAAAGCCTTCTTGCAGAAATGTCCTCTGAGACAGGAGAAAGTCAGGTTTCCCCATTTCCATGGTTTGTAACCCTAACTCATCTGAACTGAGAGATCCTTAGGGAGTAGAAAGTCAAGGCTGGCATCTCCAAAGCTGCATAAATCTCTCACCTAAGGAACATCATCATTTTTCTCTTGTCACAACCCTTCCAGCCTAATATTTGACAGCTCTGATCGGGTACTGTCCAAACATTTATTAAAACATTTTAAATGATGAATATATCCAATTATTACTATTAATGTAGCTAATACTGACTAATGAGGGGGAAATGCAGGAGCCAGTGTCCCGCAATTCATTACCCCTGCCTTGTCAACAATTCAAAGCCCGAAACCTAATCATCCATACCGGGCCCTGTTATATTTCACACGTCACTTTTAATAAGTCACTCAGTGCCTATAAATTAATGTAACATGTCGGCGTTTATGAGTGCAGCTTTGTCGCCGTTAACAAATGATGTTCTGGCCCACTCTACAACAGCTAGGCAGTGACGAATGATGGAAGATGATTTCTTTCCAAACTATAAACTATACACTGGGGACTCCAGTAATATATGTATATATATGTATATGTATATATATATATATATATATATATATATATATATATATATATATATATATATATATATATAAAGCCACATAGTGCATATGTCTAAGCACATACAGACATACCACACAAACTAACAAAGCATGCCAACATACACAGAGGCACAAACATGGAATAAATATGATGCATAATTTTTCACAAAGAGCTGTGCAATATCCCCTGTACTTTCTTCTCTAAAAGGTTAAACATGCAGCACTAGGAACCATGACAGTCCCATAAAAGTGGTCAATGTTAATTTCAAATTTGTTGTAAGTTCTGCTCTATTGTGCCTGGCCAGGTTTCAGGATAGCCTGACATCCCAGCTAATAATGGTGTCAATGAAAGGAGAGGGTTCACATTACGCCTAGAATACCAGTAATTAGAGGAAGGGCCTGAGTTTTTATGACAAAATTGGTGGTTGTTGGGTGTTGGGTTGGAAGAGGTTACTTATTTGCTTCTAAACAGACCTGAATAATCTATATCTTCTTCTAAGCCATGATTTCATATGTGAAAAAATCATTAGTATGTAATTTGGGTGTAACTTTACCTCCGTATTTTCATCTAACTCAAGGTTCAAGATGGGATACAGTGTTTCTTTAACTGGCGACCCTTTTTTTGTTTCTTTGCCCCTGTCAGAGGCAGCTCTGGAACTACAGAGACACTTTGGGTCTTTGCACACCTGGATTGAACACCATACACAGCGACAAAACTCTAGGGGCAAAGAAGGCCTGAGATTTCCTTGGGAATCAATCTGCATACAAGGTCACAGCTCTGTGGGCTGAGTTCTTAGGGCAGACAATTCTCACCTGCCTTAGTTTGCGGGAAGAAAACACCTCTCCATTTATTGGAGTGTACCAAGACTTCCATATGGTTAGATATTTTATTGTTAATATTTTCTTTCTCCCTGTAATCCTATCTTAGCTTCAGAGCTAATTATTACAATGGACATAAAAAGGAACAACATTTGAAAAACTAGATACTTGAAAAGTTTGAAGTGGATTTTCCAGGGTTGCTATTATGGCTCCTCTTTGATGAGCATTCGACCATTTCAGACTCTGCCTTCATTTGTTTTTTCTACTTGCCTACAAAACTCAGAAGATAGCATTACCATGTGACTATACAAATCCTACAAAAGCTTAATTTTTTTTTTCTCTAAAGACTGTATATCTACATCTGGAAATTCTTTATGTAGTTCTGACACAAGGATTTCGCTCAAATATCAGGGACGGGATTCAAATCAGAGTTCCCCAAGAAACAAACAACATAAAAAATGGCTCCTATTCATTTTTTTTTTGCCATATTCTTCATTCTGTCATTGAATTATCATTAAGAAATAATAGCCTTAGGATTTAAATGTCTAGACAAAGATTCCTGTTTTATAAACCCAGAGTTTATAGAGTTTAATTTTGTGTGTATATGGCTGAGAGTTTAATTCTTTCAACTTATGTGTTAGAGATGTTAGAGAGCTAAACATGCTGCCTAAAAAAAAATCACTCAAAAATTTAAAGGAAATTAAGAAGAGAGCTCCAAACATGTTTTTATTACATGTCTATTAGGAAAGTACTTGCATTGCACTTCATCTGGCAGGGAACATACTGCCCAGTTCAGTCTTTTGGGTTTGTTTGTTTTTTTCTGGGATCTGTGAATGTCTAGTTCAAGGACTAACACCCTTCACGTCCCCTAATACATTAGAGAGAAGTTCACAGTGAAGAAAGGGCAGTGCTTTTTTGTTATGTGAAAACTGAGCAACGTCTGATGCTCAAGAAAATGGCTTCAAAGTACGGTCTGGAGTCACACGTCACACAGCCACACATGGTGTGCAACAGTACAGACTAGCAGACCAATAAGTCAAGTGATTACATGGTGCCCCTGTCTCTGGGTGTTTGCACAATTTTCATGCAGTGAAGATGCTGAAAATGCTGCATAGTGGTCAAGGGCCATGGCAATGCTTTGCTGGGGACAAAAGGGTGGGAATGTCATAAGCAAAACTTGAAATGATTTCAACATGGTTGATGTTGAAAGCATTAACTTTTAACCTACTCTTGAAAAGATTCAAAATGACTTCATAGAATCAACTAACAGCAATCGAAGGAGGTTTCATGTTCTCTTGACAAAGCCGGACCAAGAAAGAAAAGAAAGATGATATGTACTTTTCCTTTGGAATCATGAAATGTGGCATTCAACTTTTTCTCCGTCCAGGACTGGTGTTTTCTGCAGTGTGTCACAGGAAAAAGGCACTTGGTTTAGGGTGTGTACGTGTGTGTATGTGTGTAAAAGTAAGGCAAAAATGGAAGACACCAGAACTCTGGCCGCCGTATGGAAGAAAATGCAGAATGCTGTCTGCTCTGGTTGCTCTATAAAGATATCAACCCAGGAGGAGACAGCTGAAAAGTGCTTTTCCCAGCAGAGAGGGCTTCACAAGGCGCAGTGAGATCCCCCTGGGAATAGAACAATTTGCATAACAATGTGCTGTTGCTTATCCGGGAGGACCCAAAGGATCTGGATACCCTGAGAGAATACACCACACTTTTCAGTCCAGCCCACTAGAGAGAAAGGCATTGCCATTCAGTCTGTGGGGTCACAGGAGGGAATACCCGCCCCCGACCTTTTAACATCATTTCATTGCATGAAATCCTTGAGACCCTCCTATTTCCTCTTCTCCAAACATTCTGTTTTCCTATATTAGTAGTGTTCTCTTTTTTTTCCCTAATTGGCCCAGATCCTAATAAACACACACACACACACACACACACACACACACACACACACGTTTTGTTGTTTGTTTTGTTTTGTTTTGATCTTTTGGGACCTACCCAAATCCAAGGTCTCCCCATCCCCTTTTCACTTCACTCTGCCTTTTCATCCAGGCCAGTGACTTGGAATCATGCATGACATATTCACTACTTGATCTTGTGAACACTGGAAAGACTGTCTTTATTCTTTCATGAAGATAATTGGAGAGTCTATTCTCTGTGCTCTAGGGGATACCTATTTTGTTTGCCTTTCTTTTGAATGAGAAAGAGGCATGTCTGAGGGTGATATTTATTCCTGCTGTTTTGTTTTGGGGACCAGGTAGGGAGGCTGTTGAAGAAAGCCAAGAAAACCCAGAGAAGGCAAAACTCTAATTCCACAATATGCCAAATACTCATAAAGAGCAAGATTTCATGCTCCAAAGCTGCCACTGTGTATCAACAAGCAGTGCACTTCATGCCAAAACAAAGTTTTTTTTCCAAAGCACATTGGCAAGGACTAGATTTAGAGAGCCCACAACAGAAGTGTGCATGCCCTCCACTTCAACCAAAGGCAAAATAGCATTTGGCCATGTTATTAAAAATACACTGTTCATAATTGAGGTGATGTGAACATTCTGCTCCCCTCCTCCAGAAAGGACTGGGCATTTCTGGAGTTCCACCATTACTAGATGTCATAATTTAGGACAAGAAAATAAAGTTAGTAATAGGAAGCAATAAAATTTCATTTAGCATCTGCTATAGACTGTGGATGACATTAGGCATTTTCAAATATCATCACCATCTGAAGATTAAGAAATCTGGCCAGGTGCAGTGGCTCAAGCTTGTATTACCAGCACTTTAGGAGGTCAAGGCAGGAAGATCCCTGGAGCTCAGGAGTTCAAGAGCAGCCTGGGCAACATGGCAAAACCCCATCTCTACAAAAAATTAGCTGGGCACTGTGGTACTCACCCATAGTCCCAGCTATTCAGGAGGCTAAGGTAAGAAAATCACCTGAGCCCAAGAGGTCAAGGCTTCAGTGAGCCATGATTGCACCACTGTACTCCAGCCTGGGCAACAGAGTGAGACCCTGTCTCAAAAAGAAAAAGAAAGAAAAAAGAATGAGAAATCTGAGGCTTGCCCACTAGCCCACAACCACATAGCAAGGTCTGAAACCTGAACCAACATCTGGTTCACCTAATGCCCTGGCTCTTTGTACTTGTTTATATTTAACATAGAGTGGACAGGGCATCAGAGGACTCTGCAAGATCATGAGGAGAATATTTGAAGGAATATTTAGTCTGATAGAGAGAAGTCTTGATGAAACAAGATAGCTGTTTCCAAATATTTGAACTATTTACTCTTTGTACGAAGCAGCAAACTTACAATTAAAAAGTCTATAGGACAGACTGGGACCAAAGCCTGAAAATTCAGTCAAGAAGGAACACTCTAATACGACAGAAGGAAAAAAATACTCTCTAATAGTGAAGGGGCTGCCTTACAAGATGAATTCCCTATCACAGCACACATTCTAGAAAAGACCAGGCACTACTTGGAAGAAATATCAGATAAGTGAGGTGCTCATCTAGCTGCTACTACTTTCCCTTCAAGCCTTAGGGTCTAAGACCAGCATAAGCTTGGAGAGGTTCAACTTCTGACATGCAGATTGCTGCAGAAGACAAATTAAGACATTAAAACCAAATGCCAGGTAGTTAGAAAAAACAAAGTTCTGCATGAGAACAAATCTGCATGACCATCCCCTCCTGACTTAAAAAATAATAATTAAATAAAGTTCTAGACACATTTGGGCTCCCTTGGAAAAAAATGCCATACAATTGCATTAACACAACTGTTGCTATTAGGAATATTTACCTAATAATAATAATATGTAGAACAATCAAAATAGGGAGGAAATAGCCAGAAAGTCATTCTTGCAGATGGTCACATGTCTAGGGAGGCAGAAATAAGAAATGTTTAACAAGCAGTCTTCTTTAAGTTATGACAAATGATGCTCTGACTTTATAAAACCCCCTGGCCAAGGATCTGAAGTCCATCCCCATAGGTGGAAACAGGAATGATAGAATCATAAAATGTTACAATGGAGAACCTCTAATTCAGTCATGTCTTTCCACAGATGGGGAGATAGAAGCTCAGATAGCTTAGTGGATTTGCTCAATGACGCACAGTTCATTCATTGCAGAGTTGGGGCCACAACCTTCCTCAGACCTAGCCTTACGATCCAGGATCTCTTCCTACAGCAATGCACCAAATTCATTTTTCTAGAATTGAACTAAAAACAAAACAAAACAAAAACCCAGACAGCACCAGCTTGGAACAGTCAGGTCCAATGGGATCAAAGCCTAAAAGAAGGCAGGTAGTTACCACAGCAGGTGCAGAGCACTTGGTGGAATTGCAGCCATGGCTTTTCTAAGAATATGGAAAGTCAGTGGAAAGAATTTTACAAAACATACTTCACAACCTAATTCTGTTGCCAAAACAGACACTAATAAGTAGTCAGGAGAGATGCAGTCATCCCAACCCCATGATGGTCTTAAGCTTCCCTCTGCCTTTAGACTGGACTTTCCTATCTACCCAAGTAGAAAACTTTTGGTCTTTTCTTTTCTTTTTTTTTTTTTGAGATGGAGCCTCATTGTGTCACCCAGGCTGGAGCCCAGCGGCATGATCTCAGCTCACTGCAACCTCTGCCTCCTGGGTTCCATCGATTCTCTTGTCTCAGACTCCCAAGTAGCTGGAACTACAGGTATGCACCACTATGCCCAGCTAATTTGTGTATTTTTAGTAGAGACAGGGTTTTATCATGTTGTCCAGGCTGGTCTCGAACTCCTGACCCCGCGAACTGATCCACCAGCCTTGGCATCCTGAAGGGCTGGGATTACAGGCGTGAGCCACTGCACCCGGCCCTGTTTTTGGTCTTTTCTGATTTTGGTGATAGAATGGAAGGAAATGAGAATGCAAGACATTCATATCTGAATTTTAATTTTAAAACCTGCTTAGCACACAATTCACTCTTGTCAAGTGAACTGTCGAAAGCTCCTAAGAACTACATAATTTATTCCTGGGCCACCACCCAGTGTACAAACATAGGCATTTACTCTGTGGGATACACTGGTAGATGAAACAATGATCTTATTTCATCTTCAATCATGCTTCACTTTTCTTTTCTGTGTGTACATTTTTGGAGGAACTATTAGTTAATCAGAGCCCTGCTACATACCATTAATTCAGTTCAATACAATGGGTATGTGCTAAGCTGTTACAATATGCCAGGCACTGTCCCTGGGTGTAGACCAGAAATCTCCCAGAGCACATTCCCTTTGAATAACAAAACAAGCTAATATTTTGGCTTTATCAAAAGCCATACCTTTGTCCAGGGCTCTTCAGTCAAGAATGACACTAATTTTTTTTTTTTTTTTTTTTTTTTTTTTTACTGCTAATCAACATTACAAGATCCACAATGGCTTAAAACAACCTGAAAACCTTCATTCATTAATGATAGTCAATTTCTCCCTCAACTCTGACTTACTATAGTGGAAATGGGACTCCTGTGCCATTAGAAATGATTTTCATCAATACAAGTGAACCTTCAATTAGAAAAGCCGACTGACCAGAACCCTAGTTAGTGGGGATTTTACTGTCTAAAGACAAAGATAAGTGAATTGCCCAAAAGTGCACGTCTTTACCCCCACTAGCATCTTAGATTCTACATCCTCTTTTTATGCATCACTCAACCCTTCCATTCCCTTTGACTCTATAGAATACACAGCTCTCTAGAGTGATTCGCCACATTTTGGCATTGCCACAGTGTTCCCTGAACTTCAATCACTCATAACAGCACCTTCAGAGTTTTTGCCATTTTTACCTATAATAATATTCACTTAATATTTTATGTATACTGACTCATTTCCTTTTATCCCTAATAAACTTATTTTTGAATGACACTTTCCATTCCTACTATGAATGAAAACCCATACTACTTATCTGAGATAAAAGAAAGCAACATAATTAAAAGTGAATGTAAACAAAATTTTAAAAATTTACTAAATTTTGGCTAGATACTGTTGCCTACCACAGGGTACTCATTGAAAACCAAGATGAAGCAAATGTGAGGGAGGTGTTAAAGACAGATTCCCACCAAACAAGGACTTTGGCCTCATCAGGAAAACTAAAAGAAATTTTAAATAAGATGATTTCCTTATCACCTAATTCAGTGCTATTTAAAGACACCTACAGGTACCACTTAAAAGCATCCAGCAGTATGTAGGTATACAGTGAGAAGTACCACCACCAGCAGTATGCAGATCAACAGTGAGAAGCTGCGAGTTGGCTAATATAGGTATGGGAAAGCTCACATCACACACATAAGGGAACACAACCTGTATGATGGAAAGAAGGCTAGAGAGAAAATATTGATCAGCCTAAAGAGAGGAGATGGAGGATTGTTTGTTAGTGATTTGTATAGAGTTGGAAGTTCCTAGGCCAGAGGAAAATTCATGAGTTTCCACTGGTAGAGGAGAAAACTAGAATATATCAGCAGATTATGAGCTGCCATGAATTTTTCTGTTTTTCCTCTTTAAACATGGATACTGATAATGAAATACCAGAAAAGTACACTCTGTGGTGAATCTGGCTTTTGATATTTATTAACATTAAATGGACTTTTGCAACTAAATAACACCAAAAAAAGAGAGAGGAGATACAACTATAGTATGTTCCTATAGCATGTTCCTACCCTCAAATAAATATCAAGAATATAATCTATGTGGAAGAAAGATCAAGTTGGCAGAAAAGGGAAAGGAGAATTAGGAAAGCAAAATAAATAGGTGCAGAGAAACTGTCACACAAGTGAATTGAGACTCAGTATTTAATTAGGGACAGCAAGCTTGCAAGGCTCTTGGTAAATGTCTACCGAAACCAACCACGTGTTGGTTAACACTGAGACATACAAACTGATCAATAGTACAAAACAAAAGGGCTCAGGTATGCATGTAAAGTCATACATCATTTCAATAAATTACGCTGTGTGTAGACAGGTTTTTTTTAGAACGATCATTCTGAGATCAAGAGCTAAATCATCTCAGCCACATCTTGATTTCTGCAAGACTCGGCAGGAATTATGAGGCTTAACAGCATTCTGACAATTAGCATATTATAAATACAAAAATGATATATTAAAGGGAGAGGAGGAAAAAAAAGGCCAGTGTTTTACACCTACAGTAATATAATTCCACTACTTAATGCAAAGTAACAGGCCTCAGAGTGTTTGGGATCCTCTTGTATGGTGTTATCTTCTCTATCAGTAAATGAGACTATGTGAACAGTACAACCTATAAATAATTCAAGGCCTGAGATGGCAATTATAGAACCATGCACAACTAGCATGAATATTTTATGAAGGCTAAAACAGCTCTCAGAATGAATCATGGAGAGATGAACACACACAAGCACACACACACACATACACACACACACACACACACACACACACACACCAGGCAGTTTTGGCCAAATTGTATTTCCAAGACAAGGCCTCTCTTTGATCTCTAGAACACCTTTATTTTATGGAAACAGTGATGATAGTTACATATTTTTCTTTTCTTGAATTTATTTCCTAAAATCCAAACAGAGGAATGAAGGTATGAATTTGTCAATAGGGTAGAGGAGCTTGAAACCGAGGAAGAAGGACAAACAATTTTTAACCTGAACTTCTGCAGATAATTCCAAGTGATTTTTTTAACCTTTCCAAATGGACTCTACAAAAAGTACCAAGTTCCAATGTATCAAAATTGAAACTGAAACCAGTGTCACTTCATGACTCAAGCAAGAGCACTTCCTATCCGAAAACTTCCCTCATATACATAAGCTTTTATTTCTAATTAGTCCTTGAGGAATACCTGTAATCCCTGCTTTCACTACATTCATAAGACAAAACAAATATTACTGAGCCATAAGCCTGAGCAAACAAGCTACTATATTTAAAAGTAGCAGCCCAGATGTCATACTCTATTAGGAAATGAGCAATGCCTAAGTTCTGAGCTGTTTCTGTAACCAAAGGATGTGCACAGCTGAAAAAAATGAAATTATATGAATTCACGTCTTGATTTCCCTGTGCAATGTACTTGTGCTATTTGAATAAGAGTTAATATTCATTTGAATTTTACAGAGATTAGCATTCATCATTTTTACCTGCCTCCTATTTACATATACCCAGATGATATCCATGTGGTTACACAAAACACCATTGTTTTCCTAAAGTCAATTTTAGCATAATTCACTTTCTTAATTACAACCTAAAACTGTAAAGACTTTTCCCAGTCCCTCCACAGAAGAATCTTAAATTTATGACCCTTTTGGTATGAATATGTGTGCTTTTCACTTCATTACAACAACAAGAATGGAACTTTAGGACTCTAGGATCTTAGCACAGGAAGGAACCTTAGATATCTTCTGATCCAACTGCTTCATTTTGTGGATGCGAAAAGTTTAGAGGCCAAAAAACTGTTCCATGGCATATTCGGTATCACATGACTAGTTGAAACACTACGGCCAATAATATAAAATATAATAATATTAGCAGGAACAAAAATCAGTAACAACCTCAAGTATTTACAGTGAGCTTGCAATAAAGCAGGCACTGTACTTTGCAGGCACTGTCTCCTTTAGCCTCCCAATACCTCTAATAGGTAGTATTATTATTGTCTCCATTTAAGGATACGAAAACTGAGGCTTAGAGAGATTCATGTATCTCTACCCTCAATCCCACGACCCCTTTTCCCTCTAGTGTACTCTTCAGGAAGTTACATCAGAATTCTCTATTTGAGTCTTGGCTAGAAGAAACTTTCATTACATGGACCAGTTATTACTGGAGACTTCCTAGATGGGAGACACACTGATGTTTTCGGTCTCACTGAGCCTGCTGCTTTGTGAGACCTCCGAGGGCATAGAGAGAAAAGGAAGCTCCTACAACCTGTACTGCAAGAACTTCAGGAAAAACAACATCTTTCCATAAAAAGTTTCACGTTGCCCTATTATTCAGTTTAAGAAGTTCAGAGCCACTGTTCCATGGGCCTGCCTTTTGTGTTCAATTTGGAGGCATGAAAATACCTTTAGAATTTGTAAATCTCAAGGCAACCGAGTGAAACGCCACCTACCGCAGCAGCTGGAGGGCAGGCCAGTGTTATGCTTTGATAGCCCCCTTTCGATTGTATTAATACAAAGGAAATTAAAAAATAGCATGATTCTCTCCCTTTCTTCTGCTCATGCCCAGCTTTGGATTTTCATAATAGGAGGGTAACATTTAGAGGTCTTTTTTACATTCGTGCACTAACCTGGTACAAATAGAAGTAAGCTGTTTGCTGTTTTCTTTTAGGTGCTCCAAAATATGCATGACTTTAGACCACAAAGTCAGAGAAATACCCTGTTTTATTGTAAAAGTGTAAAGAACTGAGCAAGTGAACTGGCTTTTGGCATGTATTTTCTTGAAGCCTCTATCTCCACCAACTCCTTTTCCTACTGCACCCAGATTCACTTCAGTTTTCCCACAGTTCCAAGCCCACAGTTCCAAGCCCAACTCTGAGAAGGTGCTGAGAAGAGGAAATCCAGTAACTGAATAACAGCCACTCTCTGGACTCTTGCCCCTATTCTTTTTGTATCCTCTAGGGAGCTACAGTGTCACTTACTAGGTGCATGCCCCTGAATGGGTTAATCTTTTCTTTTCCTTATTTCGACAGCCATGTTTACCTTTTGAAAAGGCGAGCAGAGGCACAGTATGGCACTGGAGTGCTAACTGCTAACACATGGGCTATGCTACATCTCGGCAAAAATTTCTCTCATACTTGTACCAGCGTCCCAGCCAAGATCAACACCATGAGTTTGATTTTCTTCATCATGAATTGACAGCTTATTTATCTCCATGGAAGAACTTTCTAAGCCCTTTAGGCACCCAGGCAACTTAGAAGGCATTCAGCTGACTGTTCAAAAATATTATTGCTTCATCAAAAATAGAGACTAAATTATTTCATTCCTGTTAGGCTGTTCTCTTTCTAGAGAGACATTTTAGTGACCCTGAGTTATGATAATAGTTTATAACCAAATACTACAAACGCACACACACACACACACTTTCCAATTGGTATTATATTTTGAAAACCTTTTTAGACCTAATGTTATGCTGACAGTACTAAGTTTTGTGAGGATGCACAATTTCCATGGCTTCCTTTTCCAATAATGGTTGGGAAGCCTCATTAGAATAATTAGGAACGAAGTCATTTCCGGTCGCCATATATTGCTCTGGAAATAATAGCTTCCAGTGCCTGCAAAACCAGCAAGGAATAGAATGCATATGCCAACTCCTGAGTCACAATGGAAAATAACATAACTCCATGTTGCTGTATGGAACCTAAACCAACTGCAACTCTGTCAGGTGCTCACGTCCAAAGAAAACTTGTCACTGCTCACGGGAGAAGTTTAAATCAATTTGCAAGCAGAAGACAACCCAGAAAACACTAACTAATTGATTATGCAAATGCAGAATCCAAAAAGTATTTTCCCTAGTAATAAATCACCTATGACTTTGCAACGAACAGCAATGAGAATATTGACCTGCTTTGGAGTGAGGACAGATCTGTATATATAACTATCAGCAGGAAAAAAATGTATATGAGCATGAGAAAGTGGCATGGGAAGAGAGAGAGGAAAGAGAAAGCTTTACTGGTTAGATTGGAGGGACTTGTGACCACAGAGCCTCCCAAATCAAAGCTAGTGCCCATTTCTCTAAAAGTATCTCTTCAATTAAGGCACTGGTTTCTGGTGTTATGACTTCCACATAACAGTAACAAGAGGAAATATTTACTGAATCCTTATTGTGGGCCAGGTGCCCTGCTAAATGCTATGTCTCATTTAATCTCATTATCTCATTTAACCCCCACAACAACACTATGATGTGGGTATATACTAGTACTGCCTTCATTTTTCAACAAGGAAACTGACACTCAGACGAGTAATTTGAGCAATTTCCCCAAGATCACACATTTCTACTTCTAGCCAGCCTTTTTTTTTTTTTTCCTGAGACAGAGTCTTGCTCTGTCACCCAGGCTGGAGTGCAGTGGAATGATCTCAGCTCACTGCAACCTCCGCCTCCCGGGTTCAAGTGAGTCTCTTTCCTCAGCCTCCTGAGTAGCTGGGATTACAGGGATGTGCCACGGTGCTCAGCTAATTTTTTTATTTTTAGTAGAGATGGAGTTTCACCATGTTGGCCAGGGTGGTTTCAAACTCCCGACCTCAAGTGTTCCGCCTGCCTTAGCCTCCCAAAGTGCTTGCTGGGAGTACAGCTGTGAGCCACTATGCCTGGCCTAGCCAGCCTAAATTTGTTTACACAGTCCTAAAGCCCAATAAACAGAAAAAAAGAATAGATTCTCTTCATTCCAAATTTGCAACCAAAACTCCCAGGATTTTTTTTCTCCTTTGGTCTAGTCTACATCCCTATTATTCACTCTGCTGATTCCTGCCATCCACTCTGCCTTATTATCATCCTCTATGCCCCATCTGTTTTCTGAATGTTTTGTTTGTAAACGTCTGGCATAGGATGGTTGGTTCAGTACAGTATGTAACTGGGCACATATATGTGATCAATGATCACAATGGTGAACATAGAAACTGGAGGCATCTTATATGTCTTCAATGTGGCAACATATGATTCTACCATACACAGTGTTTGCAAGCACATACGCTCAAGGAAGAGAGTACATGCGTCAAGATGGGTTTGGCAAAGAGGCTGTCCTGAGAAAGAGGAAAGTTCAAGTGGAAACACTCTTGGGTGTTTCTACCTGAAAGATAATGAATGTGAGAAAAGAAAGGCACAGAGCAAATATTACAGAACCTCACAGGAAGAAGTTATATAGAAAAGAGCATTGTGTGGAAGGCAATGCTGAGAAGAATAAAATCATGTTGAAAAGTTGTAGGCATTGATAGACATTTGGGATGGTTCCAAGTCTTTGCTATTGTGAATAGTGCCGCAATAAACATATGTGTGCATGTCAGCACACCAACATGGCACATGTATACATATGTAAGAAATCTGCACATTGTGCACATGTACCCTAGAACTTAAAGTATAATAATAATAATAAAAAGAAAAGTTGTAGGCAATTTGAGTTTATTAGAGGAGAAAAGAAACGGACAGGAGGGCACCCCAGCCCTGGAGTAGCCCCGATTTTGAATCTGTGTAGTGAATATTAATCGCTCCTATGGTTGAAATACTTGAGAGCAGAGATTGGGCCACACGCCTTTCTGTGTCTGTCTCTCTCTCTCCCGAACCAGGCTTTCTGGAACATCAGGGCAGGAAGGGTGTTTAGAGATCGCCTGGTACAATCACCTCATTTTACACACACAGAGATGGAAGTGCAGATGGGTTAAAGGACTAGCCCCAAATCACACAACTAATTAATGGCAAGAAGCCCAGCCAGCACAAGAAAACAGGCTATTGACTTTTTGCCTTGTGCACTTCGCAAATCGCCCCACGGCCTCTTTTGGGAGGCTCTTGATAAACACTCACAAAGCGCTGTCAAACTCTGGGTGCTCTGAGAAAGGGAGGATGAGAAGATCCCACAAGTTTCCCACACTCAGCCCCCCGTCTCATGCAGATACTCCATCATGCTTCCTCCACCATCCGTGACTTGCTCACAAGGGTTATAAACTTGATAACCTGAGAAACCGCAGCTTTAGAAAAATGGATAAAGATACCATGAGAGAGCTCAACATTAATGACTTTTAAATAAGGGTCAGTTGGAAATGCGGAAGAAAGAAAATTTCGAAAAATTTATTCTCAATCTGGCCATAAAGATTATTAGGTAAGATGCACACTGTCTTATATACACGCTGGTACATTCCCACACTCCTCTGCCCAGCACGGCACTAAACATATGTACATATTTGTTCGATAGAATCCTTCAAAGTCCTCTCCCTTAGAGTCATTTGCAGATATTTCTCAAACATGATGCAGATCAAAATGCAATATACAAAGTCAGGTAATGTCCCCAGCATCAAATTAAAATAGCTAACCGGCCAACAGATGGCAGCTGAAGCAAATCGCTTGCCGATTTAAATAAGAACGGTGTTCGGTTCAGTTGTGCACATTTTTCTAGACAGAAGTTGACTGCTAAATGAAATCAACTTCAGAGCCCAGTTGTTTGTAGTGTGAAGGGGAAATTACAAAAAACAAAAATGCCTTCTTTGTTCCTGGAACCCGGGGTGATTCACAAGCACGGACATCCCCTGGTCTTCTGATTTTAAATCACTAAGGTGGAAATGTCATTCACCCAGGAGGTTATTGATTAAAATAAAGAGCAGGAATGTTTTCTGCATGAACCTCACTTCTGCTGGCAATGTTACATCACTTACAGACTGCAAAGAAGAAGAAGAGGGGAAAAAAAAACACAGTAAAGAGAGGAAGGTTCAGAACAGTCACAGACTGGGAATAAATAACACAAAGAAACTCTGGGGCCTGAGGACAGAAGCAGAGGTTGGCATTATTTTACATTAGAAACACTTCGTATTCAAAACGGTAATTGATAGCAGAGAAGTGTTGGGGGAAAGAGCCACTCGCGTTCAGGCAGGCTGCCCTGCCAATCAAACTCAACCTTTCTTTGAATGAATAAAAGCTTCATTGCCCTATTATGCTGATACAGTCAGACAGGACTAAAGTAGCCTGTTTGTCAAGTTTATGTGAACTGCCCCAAGCTACTTAGATTCTGACGCTTAAATAATCCCCTCAAAATCACCCGTGATTCTGGATACAGTTCTCTTTTTTAGCAACGCAGTGTAAATTTTACCCTGGACTTGCCTGCCCCTGGCTACAGATGGGCAAGAGGGGGCCATACCTCCTCCTCTGTGTTAGTACAAGGAGGGCATTTGGCTGTCTTTTGTTTACGATCTGCTGCGGTGCTGAAGTGCTCTGCACACAGGTCTGTATGTGCTGCGGGCTGTCTGAAGCCTGCAGACATTCACCAGATTCTATATTCCCAGCTCTATGGGAAGTCAGCATAGAGAAGTCTCCACATCACCTCTCTTGTCATCAGGGATATGGGCTAAATAGCACCAAACCTTGCTTGCAACCAAGTGATCAATGAAAACTGAAGAGCCTGGGGGATGTTTGCTTCCTTGGTCCCAATCCTTGTCTGCTTCCAGCAGCAAATCAGTGATTTGGGCTCAGGGAGGACTGGAAGGTTACACTGCACCCCAACCAGCAATGCAGGGATTCTCAGGAGTGACTTCAGGCCCTGGGGGCAGGAGGGGCTCAGAAGAGCTAAAAATGAATCTGTCCCCCACCTCCCTTCACAGGGCTATGTGTCTTTGACTTC
Source organism: Homo sapiens (assembly GCF_000001405.40). Taxonomy (NCBI): domain Eukaryota; kingdom Metazoa; phylum Chordata; class Mammalia; order Primates; family Hominidae; genus Homo; species Homo sapiens. Next base: position 158,881,953 of record NC_000005.10, read on the forward strand.
CCTAGTTGCTTCTGCTTAAAAATACATGTGACGAAACTGCTTTGTATTTGCAAAGAAGGAGTTGTGGGTAACAATGAACATGCAATTGGGCTGGAAATAGATTTATCAGGCTTCAAGGATTATTGTTTGCTGAGAGATGGTACACACATTACTATTTCACAGTTCAGCTATGACATTATTAACCTACTGTGCAAGGATTTTATTGCCAGATTGGTCCATTTATCAAAAATAAGAGAAACTCAAAACCCCATAAGGAAGTTAACATTTCAAGCAGGCTTGGCTTTCACTTAACACCATTAATCTATCTATTTACACAAGAGCAAGAAATGTTCATTTAGTAACGTCTCTCCATTTGGTATAAAAGCAGCAAGTCGGTACTGGATGCAAGCATGCGAATGTCATGCTCATTGTCACAGGAAAAATGAGTGTTTTCTCCTTAAAATGAGTTGGCATCCCCAGAGCCTGCCACGTATTCTGGGCTGCAATATGCTAGATGCCAGGTACTCAACCAGCAAAGGGATAATCCAAGTCCTGGAACATTTACAGACCCAAGCTAGAAAGATAGGTGTTGGAGAAAGGTATACAGAAATTAGGAGACTTTCCTAATTATTTTGTGACAATACAAGATAAAAATATGCAAAGTTTCTCGAAGGAAAAATAACTGTGTCCAACCTTATCACAACAATGAGTCCTTAAAATAAAAAAGGATAGGAAAGTAATGGTCAACAACTCAGTAATTCCAAGATGCAAGTGATTTGGGACTGGAAAGATGGTAGTCTTTTAACATATCTTCTCCAATAGGAGGTTTCGATAGCACAGGGATATTCATGGAGCAATACATGTTGCTGTGTTACACACCATCGAGCACCTCGCACTGCAGGTGCACCCCAAGACGGTGCAGAGCCCCGCTGTTCATGTGTGAATCTGCATGACTGTGTTAGGAATTTATTTATCTGTGGGTAAAGACACAGGCCTTGAAAGAAAGAAAAAGGGGGTGAATCATTCCATTTCTATTTGTTAACCTCTCTTGTGTTTCTTCCTTCATTCCTCTTGTTTTACTATTTCTTTATGGAAGAGGAGACAATCCCCAAGCCCATAAAATGCCTGCAGCCATTTTGATCCTATCAGTCTTTTTTCTTCAAAATATGTATGTAATGTTAAAAAAAAAAGTGAAGGGAAGCTGTCACCAGAGAGAGGTACATTCATTTTTGAAATGTGTGTATCTGTGTCTGTGTGTATATACATGTATGCATAGATACAAATGTTTGTGTATATACACACATAATACACATAAAACATGAATGTCCCTTTTTCTGGCGACAGCTTTTCTTCACTTTACAGGAACATATATATACATACATACATGTGTATATATATACACACACATACATGCATGTATATATATATATACACATACATACATGTATATATATACATACATACATGTGTGTATATATATACATACATACGTATATATATATATACACATACACATATCAGTATAAAGAAACGCATACCCAGGTGATGCAGAGAGTTAATAACACATTCAGCATGCCCCACCGTGCACTCCCTACTAAAAGGCACTGTGCTCGCTTGAGTGCTAAGTGCTCCAGAGATGGTAGCCTTGAATCAGCACCAGGAACTATGCTGAGGATATTACAAACATTACCATCTCCAAGTCTCACAATCCTATGAGAGTAGTTAGCCCCGTTTTACAAGTAGGGAAGTTAAGGCTTTGGCAGGTTACGCAGCTTACTCAATTCACAGCTGATAAGCCACTGAGCCTGGGTTCCACCAGATGCCAAAGCCTGTGTGTCTCCTTCCCTACTGTTCAAAGCATTTTACTCTGGCACTGTGTGAAGAACCAAGGAAGATACGAAGATAAAAAAGCGGTCCTTGCCCTGGAGGAGCTCACAGTCTATTATAAGAGCCATATATACTACTAACAAGGCAGAAACTAACAAACCTCCCAGCACAGCAAAAAGTTAGGAAGCACATAGCAAACTCAGCACTGCCTTGGGAACCGAGATGTCTTCAGGGAAGCTGCGCACTCCAACACACACAGCAACTTTTCTCTAGTATGAACCTGTTACAGCAGGTACACAAACACCCTGCACCCTGTAAAGTTTCTGGCACAATACTATTATTTGCTAACATTTTTCTATCCTGACAGCTTAAGTCACTGTTGTCATATTTTCAGAGACTTATTTTGGTTCAAAGAACAGAATAGCTGCTGTGACACTAAATCAAGTGTCATCCATTTCAATTTGATCAGAATCATCTTAGCAAAATACAGTAAGTGAGGCATAGTGGAATAAATGAGGAGGTGAAAGTCAGAGAGATCTCGGTTTATTCCTGACTCTAACAAGTACTTGATTATACCCTCTTTTGTAGATGAGAAATATGAATCTAGGGAGTTCTGTGAACACTTTAATACACCTCTCAAATTCTTTTAATCTCACTTTTCTCATCTGTAAAATGAAAATAATACATTCAATAAGCATCTATTTAGCACTAATTACTTGCCAAGCACCATGCTCACTGCTGAAGACATAAAAATGAAAAAAGGTAGGCAAGGTAGCCCTCAGGACAGGGGAAAGTTGAAGAGACAGCTGGAATGCTGTGTGAGAGTGCTTTTAGGTGGAACACAGGGCACAACAGGAAGGTGCAAGAGACACACCCGACTCAGCCTTTGGGGGTATGTCAGAAAAATCATCATGACAGAGTTTAATCCTGAGTGCAATTCTGAAACAGCAGCAAGAACAATACTGATCATCATTATTATACTACTAATATTAAATTAATTGCTTACTCTATGATAGAAAATATCTTACATAATTTATGTCTCTTCATCCATTTGTGCTTATTGACAGGAAAAGTAGGTAGTATTATCCATAATTTAAAATGAGGAATTGAGACACAGAGAAATTAAAATTTACCCAAAGTCACCCAGCTACTGAGAGGGAGATCCAGGATTCAAATGCAGGTGGCCTAACTCTACATTCATACCCAGAGCTTCTGTGCTATTTGTCTCACAAATGGAGAGAAGGGGTGCTCCAGGCAGCAGATGCAGCATGTGCAAAAGCACACCTGCCTGAGGTTAAAGGCCCACTCCTGCAACTGCAGGGAGCTCAGTGTGGTAGGAGGCCAGGTCTATGACTGTTTGGGGATGCAGAGGAAGGAGACATAAGCCCAGGCTGACCACTGAAGACACAGGCAATTTGCTTATGCATCTAAAGTTCATCCAGATGACAATGGGAAGACATGGAAAAGTTTCAGCCAGAAGATGATGTTTTAGAAGCAGCCCTCTGGCTGTCACGTGGAAGACAAATTAAAACGGAGCCACATAAAAGGAAAGGGGAACAGTGAGAAGACAGTCACAGTTGTCAGAGTGGAAAATAAAGAGGACACGAGAAAGAGAAGTGGACGCAGGCAAGAAATGTTAAGTCAGTAATGCGGTCAGGAGTTAATGACAGACTAAATAAGGGTGACACCCTTGCTTTGGGCTGATGGAGCTGCCTGGGTGGTGGTACTATTGGTTCAGTGATATTCAGAGGATCAGTTAATCATGCACACATTGCAGGGGTATTACAAGGAGCAGAAGCAACCCACACAATCATCATCATATCATCAGAGTTTATTGAGCACCTGCTATGGGCCAGGCACTCCACTACCACTTTGTCCACCTCTGCTCATCAAATCCTCAACAATGACTCTGCAGGAAAGATACTGGCTCCATTACAGATATGGAAACAAGGTCCACAATGTCTGGGCAAGTCATTTAAATGTCATCCTACCAAGTGTCAGAATTAGGACTCAAACCTGGGTCTGCCAAGCACCGAAGGCTATGTCAACCATTATTCTCTGCCATGATGTTCTCTGTTGTTTTCAGTTTTCTCTTCCTAGCATAGAAAAATGTCAGAAAATATGTGATCAAATGTAGCAGGTATATTCTGCAAAGTACCTGTTGAAATTGCTTCTCTGCCTCTGCCCTCCCTACAACTTCCCCCAAGTCTCACTCCAAGTACAGTTTGAAGGAGGTTGTTCTAAGGCAGGAGGAGGAAAGGAGCCTGGCCTTGCTGGCAGTGCTGGGTGTGAATGGGAAGGTGTGCCACTCCCTTTGCCCAACTCTTCTGTCCTAATCCTTAGAGGAATCCATCAATTCCTACCTTCCAGATTATCTACAAGGATACAGCTATTGTCTATGCAGCCTGTTAGAAGCAAAGTCATAATTCAAGGCATGCCTGTCATCAAAATGTTGCATTGGAAAAGCTGTGTGGACCAGTGGCTAAACCACAAGTTTTACAAACCCAACAGACGCTCCTTGCATTGGCAAATCAAAAGCTGGTCTGAAGCCAGATGCTCAGTGTCTTCCAGCAATCCTCATCAATAACTGACACATTCCATGCTATTTCTGAAGTATAACATTCCAAGTTAGATAGATAGGCATTTGCTCTGCACTGGTGTTTTCGAGTCCAAAGGATTCACAAATACATTCTTTAGATTAAAGCATTTCTGTACAGATTTGGGGGTAAAAGAGGGTTTTCACCGCATGGAACTCCAATCCCAAACCCTCTGTCTATCTTAAACTAATATAAAGTAAGTCATGTTTCTGTTTCTCTTTCAAAGATTTACTTCTAGCCAGATATTTACATAAGGTAATGCTGCCTACATACTAGGAGATTAACAACATGTACAGCCAGTTTGAGAAAATGCATACTTATTTTAAATTCAAAACACAGATGGGATGATTATTTTCTTTACAAAAGGAGACTTAGGCTGGGCATGGTGGCTCATGCCTGTAATCCCAGCACTTAGGGAGGCCAAGGCAGGCAGACCACCTGAGGTCAGGAGTTCGAGACCAGCTTGGCCAACACGGTCTCTACTACAAATACAAAAACTAGTTGGGTGTGGCGGCGGGCACGTGTAATCCCAGCTACTCAGGAAGCTGAGGCAGGAGAATTGCTTGAACCCAGGAGGTGGAGGTTGCAATGAGCCGAGATCGTGCCATTGCACTCCAGCCTGGGCAACAAGAGAGAAACTCCATCTCAAAAAAAAAGAGAGACTTTATATTAACAGAAGAGGACACCACAGATGTAGAAACCTAGATTCTTCAAAGGCCCCAGTTTCAAATATTCAGTCTTTTTTGGGCACACCAATTGGCAAAAACAAATTGGTACTTAACATTTCTTTTCAATGACTCAGCAAATGAATGGCTTCTGTTCTGTTGTCGTAACTTTTTTAGACATATAGGACCATATGTCTCTATTTTCATTCGAAAAATATGGCCAATAAAACCTAACAGGTACAGAGACATCTGCTGAATTATAACAGCCAAGCCGAAGATACATCTTTTCCTTGTCAATAACTTAGAAATTCTTTGATCCTAAAAATAAACCACAAAGTTTACCATCAACCACCCTAGATTTTAAAAATTGGCTTCAATGTATACGTCCTTTCTTCAGAAACAGCCATTGTAGAAAACAACTGTAATGTTGTTGCAAAATTCTTGGGCCTAGAATTAGTGAGCTTCACGCTAAGGCTCATCTCTGAGATGTCCTGTTTCTCAGAAGCAGTTTTAACTAAATTTCATATTTAATAAATATTAATAATACATACTATTAAATAAAATGTATACATTTTGCCAGACAATTCTTAAGAAAAGCATATGGGCAAGGTACCATTGTGAATGACAACCTTCACGGTCAGGTTCCACCTGCATCCTCAACAAGCTTCTCTGTGATTGGAAGCGTCTTTTATACTCCTCTATTTATTTTCACTTTAACCCAGTATTCTAGAAGTGATTTCTACTCCATTTTCTATTGCCCAGTAAGATTCACTTCAGTGGGAGACTGGGTTATGAAAAAATATATTTAAAGCATTCATGTTTATGATTCAAAGAGTGGGGGGAAAAGCCTTACCTTGAGCTCTGAAAAGTTTGCCAACACATTTCCAGGGTTTAAGGTGAAGAATGATTTCTGTTTTGCCTCAATATGAATTGCAAAATTCAAATGATTAACCTCACCATGGGGCTCTCTGTTTCCAGGGCAAACAGGAGAAAGGACTGTTTCTCTGCTTAAACCTCTAAATCAGTCTGCTTGGAGTAAAGCTGGCAGGTGAGGGCTCGGCAGAAGTCACATCCTTTTCTCATCAAAACCTTACAAATTATTTATTTGATTAGGAAAGAGACGCCACAAAAGGCAACATATATTGACAGTTACCACCACTAAGTTCTTTTTCCGTTTTTCCTAGTTGGTGAAGAAATGAAAGAGCCTCTTAAAATTCACTCCTCATTTTTTATTCGTGTGTGTGTGTGTGCGTGCGTGTGTGTGTGTTTGTTGTGTGTATATTGTGGAATCAATGTCTGACTTAATATCAAAATACCAGAAAGAATACTGACTATGGCTAGCATGTATTATGGCTAATAAAATGTAACTGGGCCAAATTGTTCTCAGAGAAAGTTGTGTACATTCATTCCTAAGAGGCAAGAATGTGAACCTAGTATAGAGTCATAAAAGTAATAAATCTACATAGCTACAGAAAGCTTTCACAGCCAATGTGCTAAATTTGTTCAGTGAGTTGTCAAGAAAACATTTTCTATGACTATATCTTTTCAATTTAAAATAAATACCTCCACCAGATCCCAGTAAAAATTGACAAATTATATTAAAGACCATGGAACTGGTACTGATACATTTTGAATAGAGGAGAAGTCTGCAGTGGGAAAAACAATAACCAAAAAGGTTTAATTTGTGTCTCGATATGAATTTACTCCTTCATATCTCCACTACTGCCCTATCATCCCTCCCATAATGCAATTCTCCTCCAGCCTCTGCCACTCCAGGAACACTCACCACCATCTCCATCTATTAACCTAGGGTTCTCTTCCTCCTTCTTCCTCTTCATCTTCCCACCAGATTTTCCTCCTGCTATCTTCCCTGTCATAGATGTGTCCTCTCCCAATCAACACAAGCAGAATTTTCTTCCCTTTACTTCTCCCACCAATATGTTGAATAATTCTCTTCCTTTCCTGCTCCCATCCCATCCATGTATTTAGGTATTAAGTTCCCACTGATTACTTTAGGGTTTTTTCCCCACATATGTTCCCCACTGAGAAAGACTTGTAACACTTGTAACACTACCAAAACTACCCTGATTTCCCACAACTTCAAACTCCACCATTTAGAAAGTGGCCAGGATTCTATAATGCTAATTTAAACACCTAATACTGTATGCCTGGCCTATGGTAAGCATTCAACAAGTACTTGTGGAATAAACCACATCTAAATCAATAGATGGGGATGGCAAGTGGTGAGGATGGGGAGACAGTACTTGCAAGTGGGATATGGCAAGAAGGACCCTGGAAAATTCTGCTGAGGACAGTATTTAGCCAGCTTTTCAGTTGGAGCAGCTAAAGGATCCACTTTGTCATTCTACTTAGGTTTCTTGAGGTTAAAATTTTAAAAATAAATTTGTACAAGTCCTAGCAATTCCTCTACTGCTTAATGTTATATACAGGAAAAATTAAGGAAAAAAACCTCAATGATGGCAAAGCTGAGCAGAAAGCTTGAGAATAAGTACATCTAAGTTATTTATGATGCTGAGCTACGAGAATGGGATTCTAGCCTCTGTTATCCCTAATTCATTAGTGAAACTGGACAACTAAAGGTTTCTAGAATCTAGAGCAGAAAAGCTTCACAAATTATTTGCTCAGATGTTCCATTTTACAGATTAGACCCAGAGGGATTAAGGGAATATGTGTGAAGTCATGGAATGAGCTACCAGCAGAGTCAAAGCCAACATCTAGGTCTTCTCTACTCCTCTTCTGCAGTTGGTCCTCCTTATCTATGGGGTTTCACATCCACAGATTCAACCAACCACAAATCAAAGATATTCAAACAATAAACAATGATACGAAAATAAAATAAATGTTTAAAAATACAGTATGGCAACAATTCACATAGCATTTACATTGATTTGGGTATTTTAAGTAATATAGAGATTAAAGTATACGGGAGAATATGCCTAGGTTATATGCAAATATTATGACATTTTATATAAAGGATTTGAGCATCTGCAGATTTTGTTATCCAAGGGGGCATGCTGGATCCAATCCCCCACAGATACGGAAGGACAACTATAATAATATCCTCCTGTCTAATCCCCTAGGTTGTTGTGAGAATGCGTAAAATGAAAATATATATGCTAGATATAAAAAAATTGTGCAAAGCTAAAACTGTCACACAGGGATATTTTAAGAGTTTTTTCCCTAAATGTTACACTTACTTAATTTTTTAAAAATGTTTAATTCCTGCTGTCTGGCCACTAGGCCTTTATTCAATGTGGTAATTATGCTTTCCTACAAAGAATGTCAAAGATGATCCGCATTTGCTTATTCATTTAACAGCCCTTATCCTCATATATTTAATTCCAAAACAAATAGCCACCAGCCACTTCTACATGCCTCTCAGAACCATGCAAACTTCTCAACGAGCTCCATTAATCTTTTAATTTTCTTTTCTAAAGACACAGACCTTTTTCCTGTCTGAACCATGGGACTCCTATAGCATTATCTTACATACCTCAGTCATTTCTTTCTCATTGTTACAAATGGAGACAAGAACTGAGAGCAGCATTAGAGTAATTTCCTCCAGGTTACTGTATATTCAATACTTCTATTTATACTTTTCATTTTGTCTGCTGCCTTTGTTTTTGGTCCTTCCCCGAAGCCCCCGCCACCCTGCTGCTAAGCCTGGTATCAAATATACAAGAGTTTTATATACTGAAGTTGAGATGATGTCATTTTCCCTTTACTTGGGAATGGATCACTTTTGAAAGTGTAGGTTTTCTATTTAACATTTTAAAATAAAACTCAATCAGCTTTGATGGTATTAGTTCTACCTCCTTTTAGCCAAGTCCTCAGGAAATGCTTTACTGCATCCTGGGCTAGTGTCTACCTTATTATGGAAACTATTTGTTTTCTTCCCCTTGCCTGAAACATCAAAGATAAATAAAACAACTTGACTGTTGAGCATAAGACAGATTTTCTGTCCACTCAGGAAGTTAATCCACAAGTGAAACTGGTATGTTACTCTGTCTTCCACAAAAGAATCACAGGTTATCCTGAAGTGAGGAGGTATTGAAGTTCACGATTTCCCACGGTACATAATTTAGTTTTGTGTGTGTTTGTTTGTTTTAGTTTGAGCACAACAATGCTTTCTGATTTGAGAGGTTGGCATTTTTAAAACCCTATGTCTCTCTCTTGCCACTGCCTTCTTTTGGCTTCAAGACATCATTTCTGTATGTAGCCAACTTCTGCAGTTAGAAAACTAAGTGCAGTGGTCTCTGAGCAACGAAAATTGATTTCAGTGGGAACTGTGTCCCTGTAACTGTAGGAAGAAGCTCATCCTTCTCTTATGGTAACAAAATCCTCTTCCCTTTTTATTGATATATATGTGTATTTTTCCCCTAATGCCCACTTCCCTGCAAGCAAAAAATAAATCTCTCCAGCATCTCTCCCCTGTTATTTCCTTTGGATTCGAAGTAGACCCAGTGCTAAAGTCTGGCCATTTCCAGAGCCATCACTTTCCCAGGTCTCAACTTTGGGCTAATCTTTATTTCTCTGGTAATTTTCCTTCTTAGAGCCAGCTAGTGTATATGCATATATATGTGTGTGTGTGTATGTCTATGTGTATATATGTGTGTAAATTGTAAATTACATAGGTATGTTTACGCATACGTATGTGTGTGCTGTAGACACACACAATATTTAGCCATTTCTTGGCTCAGTTAAGTCTCCTTGGCAAGGTTTTGAATGTTCAACTCTCTCTTACTCTATAGTTTTCCAGTTCCTATGAACTAGAAATTTCTTTTGGTATTTCAGTTTTTATTCTTCTGGTCTCACTGACAAACAAATGATGCAAAGCTCAATATTGTCTTTATTTTTAAAAAATATTTATTTATTTATTTATTTTTGCCAATGAGTTACCATTCACCTAAGAGCTCCCCTTGTTCTATATGCACAGTCAACATAGCCTTTATGGATTTCATCCACAATTGCTGTGATTGTGTAACATACCAGGGAATACTATCTTCCAAAGATATTTCCCTTCATTTTATTCCTATATGCACACACACACACATACACATACACACACATATTTATAGTCCTTCCTAAGTTTAATATTCTATTCAACAATATTTTACTCTTCCACCGTTATATACAGGTTAAGCATCCCTAATCCAAAAATCTGAGGCCAGGCACAGTGGCTTATGCCTGTAATCCCATCACTTTAGGAGGCTGAGGCAGGCGGATCACTTGAGATCAGGAGTTTGAGACCAGCCTAACCAACATGGTGAAACTCCATCTCTACTAAAAATACAAAAACTAGCCGGTTGTGGTGGTGCACACCTGTAACCCCAGCTACTCGGGAAGCTGAGGGAGGAGAATTGCTTGAACCCGGGAGGCGGAGGCTTCAGGGAGCCAAGATTGTGCTACTGCATTCCATCCTGGATGACGAAACAAAAAAAACCAAAGATCTCAAATCCAAAATGCTCCAAAATATGAGCTTAAGTGCCAACATGACACAAGTGGAAAATTCCACTCCTGGCCTCATGCGATGGGGTCGCAGTCAAAACTTCGTTTCATGCACAAAATTATCTAATATATTGTATAAAATTGCCTTTAGGCTATAAGTTTAAGACATATATACATAAAATATATTTTGAACTTAGACATGGGTACAATCCCCATGATATCTTTGATGCATAAACAAGCTCTTAAAATTCTCCATCCTGAGCAGACCTCATGATATGACTTTTCCTGGTAAGACATTTTACAAAAAAAGAAAGAAGTGGTGCACTCAATTTCTATTCTTATTTTTTATTATTTTTAATTTCAAGCCATAATGATTTTGCTCACTCAGCACCTACTCGAAGCGCCCCTTTTACTTTGATTTTTTTTCTAACCCTTACTTTATACATAAGGTTATTCCTTTGGCTTCATTTCTGCTAGCCTGACACGTTTCTTCTTTGCTGATCTTTTCTAAACAGTTTATGTCCCACAATATTTATCCTTCTCCCTCACACACCATTCATTTCCATTACTCACTCTCTGATTTGGCTATACCCATCATTTCTGAAATAGAGAATGCCTGAACTTCTTTGAAAATCCACATGTCAAAATGTAATAAAAATGTTTTCATTGTTACATTGTTTTAAGAGAAATGAATGGCTTGCTCAACCATCAGTTCCAAATTTATATTCAATTTTGGGAATATATATTATTAAGCCTTTTTTCTCTTCCCCTGGTTATAAAATACTCAACTTGACTCTGTAGTCTTGCATGGCTGGGATTAGGAGTTAAGGCATTCCTTATAAATCAGTGTAATCTTCACAACAGGACATTGCTGTATCGAGAATTCCTCTCTGTATTGTGCATTTTCAATTATGTTACATGTTTCTACTTAGTAAGCCAGCTTAATTCTACGCTATGTCACAATATTAGAACATGTCCAGGTTAGAAAAAGGGGCAATCTTACTTCTCTTGTAAGTTGTTTAGCCTTTGGCACTTATAAATCCCCCCAAAACACAGGGGAAATCCCTTTTCCTTGCTTTTAATATGTCTTTAGATTTATTACATGAAGAATCTGCTCACTTAATCCTTTGCTGAGGCCAAGGCTCGTCAGTCTTCTAATAAAGGTTCCACGAAGAGAAAGGAAGAAAACAAAATCACAAAATAGGTGTTCAAGGGATGCTTCAAACTTAAAACACATTTCCAAGTATATTCTCCACAAGACAGACAAGAAGAGGCAGGAGACTTTAAGTTACTCTGCATAAATCCAGCCCCATTTATCTTCAGCTTTCTTTCTAGACAGTCCAGTCAGGGCAAGCAAGCAGGGAAGAGGCTGAAGGGCTCTTCGGGGACCAAATTACAGTTTCAAAATGGTTCTTGTGTTCCAGGTGTAGGACAATGTTATCTGAGAAATCTTACAAAGATTTGGTGTTCTTTAAAGAGCTCTGTTAAAACATTTAAAATGATCAAAGATTACATCATTAAAAAAGGAGGGAAGTGAGGTTGAGAAGCTTTATTTAAAATATGTTTTAAGCAGTTCTGGCCCAAATACTAAAACTCCTGCAAATGAATGAAGGAAAAAAAGGTCACTAAAATAAAAAATTAACATATCCTTTAAAATGTCACTTCCAAGTTCCCAGCAAACATGGCAGAGTCCACAGAGTATTGATTGCATCATGAAATAATCATTAAATTTCTCTATGCATTTCTGATACCAAAATTTAATAATGGGACAATATTATTCTTTGAATCAAATCTATTTTGGATCTTTTTTCAAGCTTGAGTTAGGGAAGAGGCCATTGAATTTTTTTTCTTTGGTTCTTAAAAATCCTCTCTATGCACAAACATGAGAAAATAAAAAATAGAAGGCAGATAAATAAAAAGTAAAATCTTTTAATGCCTAAATATGTCTTTATCCTTTTCAGGTTTATTTTTCTCCCCCTTTTTTACTCATACTCCTGAAACTACCCTGGGTTAAGTTCCATCAAGTGGCAGATTAGTTTCCATGATGCTAAAAAGGTCCCAATTACTTGCGGCATGTAGAGTGACCCATCCTTCAAAACTCAAACCAGATATCACCTCCTCGTTGTTTTACAGGCAAGATTAGTTGCTCTTTCAACATCACAGAGAAGAGCAGGAAGTGTGGCAGAAGAAATATAGGAACTTGGCCATTTACTGTGTCACCTGGACAGGTAATCCAACGTCCCTGTGTTTCCATTTCCTTATCTGTAAAATGGGACTCATGCTTGCCCTGCTGATTTCAATGGGCTTTTACAACAATCAGATGGGCCAGTGCACAGAAAAGCTTTATAAAGTATCAATTCGCCCACATCTCTAAGCCAACAGTCCCTTATCTGGTTTCCTTTAAGAAGCCAGGTATGTTTCAGAATGCAGAACCCTTTAGATTTTAGAAAGTTAATGTTACATATACTATATATACTGTATATTATGTAACAACCCATCAGTGAAATATATAAATATGAACATTAAATAGGACAAAGATTATAATGAATGCCAAAATCAATTTCAGTCTATAAGAATCTTGTCCAAATTTATTTACCATTGTCCAAATTTATTTACCAGCTGAGGAGAACAGATGATCATTTTCCCTTGTAGGACTATGAACATCAATAATAAGTCAGATGCCAGGTAGGAAATGTTGGACACCAGCACTATTCATTGAGCATTCATTATGCACAGAGTACTCAGTACAGCACTTTGAAAAAGAATAAAAACGCAGTAAAAAAATAACATTTAGCCAGGTTCAACAGCAGATGGATTGCTTGAGCCTAGGAATTTGAAGCCAGCCTGGCAACATAGCGAGGCCCTGTCTCAAAATAAAATTGTAACGATAATATTTGTTTGGCTATTCTATAATAAAAATCGTGATGAAAATAAAGTTAATACTAATATCAGTGGACATTTACAGAGTACTTACTATACGTCCTAAGCATTCTACATGTATTATCTCATTTAATGGTCACAATAATCGATGCCAAATATTATGCATAATCTACAGACAAGAGGCTGGGCCAGAAAGAAGGAAAGTCATCTGCCCTGCCCAGGTCAGTGACTAAAGACAATGCTATCATTCTACTGGGACACCATCAATAAACCAAATACTTCCTGAGAGGAGAATGGTAAGCAATTCAGATCAGGAGGAGTGACCTGGCCAAAGGAGATTCTGAAGCCTGGTAGCCTGAACTACCTAACCAGTGATCCCTTGAGGCAGAAGTGGAAACTGCTCCCAGCCTGTAAACATATCTGAAGCTTGTTTTCCAACCAGCTGCTGAAATGCAACTCAACTTCCAAGTTCTAAAAATAAAACTCCTGAGATCAGCCAAATCATACTTTTGGAACTATTGACATATACAAACATTTCTTCTCCTGAAATGCATTCTTGATTCAGCACAAAGAGAGAGGCAAAGAAGAGGAGTGGTTAAAAGATGGAAAGGAAAGGAATTCCCAATTACTGTATACAACAGATAACAAGGAAGAGAAAAATTAAAGGCAAAGTCAGGTTGAACAAGGAAAGGTTCTTTAGCTACAAAGTCAATAAAAGAAAGAAATAATAATATGGATTGTTAACCCTTCACAGAAGGCAAGTTTCAAATCACTTTCAATCAAAATAAAATATTCCTTAATCACTTGAGGATAAAGAGCTTTCAAGGAATACGGTACCATTCGATGTGGAGAACGGATCACAGAATTTCCATTTAATTATCCACTGTTGAATAAGATTTGCTATATTGATGGGAAGTTGAGTTTTTTTTCCTCAACTATTACCTATTAAATTGTAATCTCCAGAGGGCACAAGCTTTGCCCATTTCTTTTCTTGTATCTCCTTTATACACGTTTCTGAAAGATTAAACACTCAATAAATGGTTCATTCAATAATAGTAATCGCTACCATTTCTGAAGACCTGTAATGTACTACATGCTGACTGTTTTTCATAATTCTCTAATTTAATCTTGTTTTAGGGGAATATTATTACCCACAACTTCCTGATGAAAAAAATCAAAGCTTAAGTAACTTGCTCAAGACCACACAGCTAAGTGGCAAAGGCTGGGACTCAAATTGTATGATTTCAAAGTTCTTGTTTCTCTGATGTTGTACATATGTGTTGTGCATATTTACACACATAGGATAAAGTCACGTGGGTGGTTGCTTTATTCTCCAGGATCTCACCATCTTCTTTCATTACTCCATTAAAATTGTCTCTGTAGGCCAAATGACTCCAATAGCTCTTTAAAACCTCTTGTAAAATAAATACCCAAAGAATTTCCACTTTTGATATTTCATTTCTCTCCTTGGAAGATCAGAAAAAAAAACTGGTTGCCCCTACCCCTGCCCACCCACCTATCCTATCCCAGTGGCACAAACAGAGTTTCAGAGATGTGCCCAGTTCTTATAGCTAAATAGTAATGGAGGTAGAATTTGGGTCCCTTGATTTCAGCCCAAGACACACCGAACACAGAGGCATTTTGACAGCCAGTTCATATTTGTTAAGGGTCTATTAGACCCTTAGTATTACTGCAGGGCAACTGAAATCATTCTTGCTCTCATTCTATTATAAAGACATATATGAACGTGTATGTTCATGCAGCACTATTCACAATAACAAAGACATGGAATCAACCCAAATGCCCATCAGTGATAGACTGGATAAAGAAAATGTGGTACATACACACCATGGAATACTATGCAGCTATAAAAAGAAAGAGATCATGTCCTTTGCGGGACATGGATGGAGCTGGAGGCCATTATCCTTAGCAAACTAACACAAAACAGAAAACCAAATACTGCATGTTCTCACTTACAAGTGGAAGCTAAATGATGAGAACACATGGACACATAGAGGGAAACAACACACACTAGGGCCTTCTAGAGGGTGGAGGGTTGGAGGAGGGAGAGGATGAGGAAAAATAACTAATGGGTACTAGGCTTAATACCTGGATGATGAAATAATCTGTACAACAAACCCCCATGACACACGTTTACCTATATAACAAACCTGCACATCCTGCACATGTGGCCCTGAACTTAAACGTTAAAAAAAAAAATCATTCTTGCTCTCATCTAGTTGAAAGGGACAGTTAACATGCATATGTGACTAAGAAATGAACTGTGCAAGTTGATGATACTAATTAACCACAAGCAACAGAATTTCATAGAAGCCACCATCCAATGGCAAAAAGAGCCACAAGACTTAGCTTCAAGTTCAAGTTGTGCCACTGCCCCCACAGCTGTTTTGGTGAAGTCACTTTTTCTTCCTTTTATAAGATGATTAGTTTGGAAATGGAGAATTATGTCTTGTCTCCAACAGTGAAGAGTGGTGTGAGCTTTGACAGTGGAAAATGGGGATATTAATACTACCTCCACTGGACTGCTGTGAGGAGGAAATGAGACAATGCACAAAGGGTACTGGGCGAGGCATCTAGAGGGCTCAACAAATGCTGGCCATCACTATTTGCCATTGAAAGATCATTGCTGATTCTAAAACTGTGTAAAAGGGAATCTTTTGTTGGAGTTTTGTTCCCCAGAAGACCCTAATCTCTTGCTATTTAAGAACCATGACTTTTAAGTTTACCCTTTGTCTTTAAAACATTTTTTTTAAATATCAAAAGCAGCACTGTTATTATAGTATATATACTTAGCTACTGAAGACCAGAGACATCTATCTTGGGTCTGAATAGCCCCTGGTCTTTTTTGATATCTCCAGGTGCTCTCCTTTTACCAATATTTGCATTGGCAACTGTTCCACATCATTACTAATCATTTGACATCAGACTTAAGAATTTCTGACGCTGACAGAAAAGTTCTTCTCCCTCACTATCCTTTCTCAGAAATTACTCATTGTAGTCAAATGTGCCCAAGTCCCTGAAGCATATGTAATAAACCACCAACCAGAATCGGAAGTTCTATCCACCTTCAAACATTTGCTCTAACCTTAGAATGGGATCTTTCTTTTTATTTTTGCAATGCAACTTTTATTTTTCCAAACTACCCAGTACCAGAGGTTTTTCTAACTGGGACATTTGTTAGCCTGAGAAATATAGAAAACAATTGTTGGGTATAAATTCACATCACATTTTCATTTCCTTCACTTCTGCTATTTTCAAAACCTCAGACTTTCCACTGGTAGTACTGCACTCAGTGTGGCTGTCATCCACGCACTAAGCGGGGGATTATCTTTTTTGTCTCTCAGGAACCTCGCTTTTTTATTGCAGATGCAACTCTAATAGGCAGAAGTTGCCACACAATCCAACAGTGAAGATTTAGGAAGGATCCACGTTACAGGGCAGTGAAAGACTGCCTGAGGTGGTGGTCCTACCAGCCCTGCAAAAAGAAATGTGGGAACGAAGCTTAAAACAGCCCTCCCTCCCTACAGTGACAACACAACCTGCTTACAAAGAGCAGCGATAACAAGGTTTCAGCCCAAGATGCCCCAGTCATTCCTCTAATGAATGCAGAGGAACTATCAGCAGCCCAAGACTGTAGACACACAGTATACTGTTCCCCATATTGTTGAATACAAGATGCGTAAGTTATTCAATAATGTATCTGAATAATTACGTGAAAATGAAAATTACATATTAAACTATTCCAACAGGTGCCATTTTAAAATAAAACAGTTTCTGCCTTGCATATGCCTAGAAAATATTGCAATTACTTGTGAGTTAAAGCACGTACACTAGTACAAAAATATACCACCACTGGCACTGAAAACAGGCCATGGCTAAAACCATCCTAGATGTCTAATGATTTAGCATAAAACATATGTGATAGTGTAAGAGATAATCCTACTATGTTTACATCTTGCTTGTGTAAGTCTGTCAGTGGGCAATCACGAAGCAGAAAGGCATTCCCGAATGGTGGGAATCACAGGAAGCAGTAATCTCATCTGGAATTTAATAGTCTTTTTGTGTGTGTGGTTTTGATCATTTTCCTTTTATGAGTGCCGTGTGCACAGACTCTTGATTGTTTCTGCAATGGAAAAAGAAGAGGATGTCCCTCTGAATCCCAATGATCTGCTTTGGCCAAAATCAGACACCAAAGCTGTTAACGGGAAGAACACTTGCAATATAGGAAATCCTATAATGTAACGACCAATGCAATTGGTTAGAAACTCTTAATACACTCCCAAGTTGACAGAAGATGGCAGCTCCCACTGACAACTACACAGCCAAGCCTCTTCATCCATTCTATTTAGACCGAAGGAAAATGAAGAGATATTGAATGGAATATTCTAAAAGTTCTGGGTGGTCAGAGCCATGTGTTTTAGGATGGCCATTTCCATGAGAAAGGTGCGGTTTTGTGGGCAAACTTTTTAACCCTCTTCTCTTCCTACCACCCCCTACATCACACAATTAAGAACCGTGGGTGGGAGAAGATGGATTGCTCATCGCCCTCCCACTCTGTGGCCCTCTTTTGGATGGCATCATCGAACCCAGATGACAAGCTGGGAGGCAAGAGGCTTCCAGCAGCAGCATCTGGCCCTCTGGCAGATGGTCAGGCCCTCGGGTTCCCGGCTTGGGCTCCCTCCAGATGTGTCTCATGCTTGTCCTGTGTGTGAGCTTCCTCCTACCGCTGCAGGAAATTTTTCACGTGAAGACATTTTGAACCAGAAGAATTGGCACGTTCTTATCTAAGAAGATGTTCTTGTGTTTTTCCCTCTGGGGTTATATTTTACAAAGATGCCTGGATCCAAGAGGCATATGTGAATGTATCTTCAAGGCCATCTCCCTGGAGACCTGGGCGGTGGGAGAGGGGAGTGGAGGGTGCAAAACAAATTATACTGTGTCTCCACTCCTCTATCACTTTTTACTACTTTTTCCTTCCTAATGAAATCAAATTTTGATTAACACTAAAGGTAGCTCAGAAGAGGGAAAAATGATAAAAGAACTGTCATCGGAGATGGAGGAGGGCTCTTTCTCTCTAGGCAGTTCTGATTTGGTAACGACATGGGCATGAGGCCCGGAAATTGATAGCATTTGTACAACTCTGTTTTTTTCAACAAGGCAGCTACCACCTGTTTCCCACTGACCCCTAACTACTTCCTTGACTTGCTCCCTAGTCACTGCCTCAGCAGGGAGGATCCCCTGAAGCAGAGAACTAAGACAGCTATTCCCAAATTTTGATGCTAATAACAATGATCATAAAAATATCAACTGCAACAGCAACTGCCATTTATTGGGCACCAGGCGTTACACTAGGTACTTTACAAGCCTCAGTTAATGTAATCCTTACCGCATTCCAAATAAGTCTACCCATTCTACAGAAGAGGAAAGTAAAGTGGAAATAAGTAAGGTCCCGCAGATAGTATTAATAATTAGACTTGAAACGTGGTCTCTCTTATCCCAAAGCCTAAGAGATCTCTTCATTAGTCAATTGGAGAACAGCAAATCCTAGAATCTTTACTCTACAAAAAACCTTAGAGATTATCCAAAGCAACCTTACATATTACTCAAGAATGTCCCTCAGATTCTGTTTATGCTCTTCTTTTGATAATGAACTCACTGCCCTCAAGGCAGTCAGTCTACTCCTGGACTATTGAGCCAGAAGTATCTTCATTAGCCAGAGTTAAAATCATCTTCCTTGTTAACTTCTACCACATGGATGTTATTCTTGCTCTTTGGAATAACATAGAACAATTCTTTCTCTCTCTCATACATCTTATCAGACATTTGAACCTACTTTCTCCATTGGGTTGACAGTAGGATAAATACCATTAGTTCTCTGTAATTGTCCTCATGTTCACCAAGCACCGCTAAAGCTTGCTGTCTGAAAAATTGCCTTAATTATTTATTTAATTTTCCTATTATTTGTCTGCCTTCTCTGGGCTTGAAGTCCATGACAGCAGGGATAGTGTTTGTCTTGTTCTTGGCTACATCCTCAGCTGCCACTCAATGGGTAGTCAACAATAAATGAATGAATATATCTGTGCCTTCTGGTTCATTCATTCCCTCATTCAATCATTTTTTTCATTCTTCATTCAACATCCAACACTATGTGAGCACTATTTTGCAACAGCAAAAGTATTTGGCGATAAGTTCAGTTAGTCAACAAGCATTTTCCATAATAATAATTATAGCTAACATTTATTAAGAGCTTACCAAGAAATATTTGGGGTATATGCTAGGCATATGTTAGTTATATGAAGTAGGTATTCTTTTAACCCCCTTTTTAGAGATATGAAAAGGGAGGTATAGAGAATGCAGTAACTTCCCCCGGTTTACACAGAGAGTGAGTAGTGAAGAGAAGACTCAAAACCAAGTTTTCGGCCTGGTGTGGTGGCTCACGCCTGTAATACCAGCACTTTGGGAAGCCAAGGCAGGTGGATCACTTGAGGCCAGGGGTTCGAGACCAGCCTGACCAACATGGTACAACCCTGTCTCTACTAAAAATACAAAAATTAGCTGGGTTTGGTGGCATGCACCTGTAGTCTCAGCTACTCAGGAGGCTGAGGCAGGAGAATCACTTGAACCAGGGGGGCGGAGGTTGCAGTGAGCCAAGATTGCAACACTGCACTCCAGCCTGGGCACGACAGAGCAAGACTCCATCTCAAAAAACAAAAAAACAAAACAGAAGTTTTCTGATGCTCCTAACTTGACAGTATACTGCTTCCCATCTACTGAGAGTAAGAAGTGCTTGTTTATGTATTTTTTTACTGCTGTCGAGAAGGAGAGGAAATTCTTAGGAAGCTAATAACAATGTCTCCCATGAGGCTGTAGAGACACAACCACACAATGCAATCAAAACTCCACCCTCAAAATAATTACCTATCAATTACTGAGCAAGAGTATTGATGAAACTCCATGCCCAAGTCACAAGCTGACTTGATTCATGGCATGATCAAAGTACGATTAGGCCCAAAAGCCTGCTTCTTTTTCTTTTTTTTTTTTTTCTTCTAGAAATAGGATCTTGCTCTGTGTCCCAGGCTGCAATGCAGTTGCAGTGGTGCAATCATAGCTCACTGCAGCCTTGAACTCAGGGATCAAGCAATCTTCCTGCCTCAGCCTCCCAAGTATCTAGGACTACAGGCATGCACCACCACACCTGAATAATTTTATTATTATTATTATTATTATTATCATTATTATTATTATTATTAGAGACAAGGTCTCTCTATGTTGCCCAAGCTGGTCCAAACTCCTGGTCTCAAGGGATCCTCCCATATCAGCCTCTCAAAGTGCTGAGATTACAGGTGTGAGCCACAGAGCCCAGCCCAAAAGGCTTCTCGTATGGGGACAACAGATTTCAGCATGGTGGCCAAGGACACAAAGCTGTGGATAGAAAAGAGCAGGCAAGGGTTCTAACTGGGGGTGTCCAATCCAAGCCCAGAGACAGGAAAGGTTCTTTGACAGGTGCGGTTAGAGACTTTGCTGGGTAGAGCCAAAGGACGGCTCTGGGGAAAGTGGAGAAGGGAAAGCTGGAAAGTTAAGAACAACATCTAGCAGGCACAAAAGATTTTCCTTAAAGTAGATCTTGTAAACTAAAATAACTAAGACCTTCAGTTCACGAAACTTTGGAGGACAAATTAGCACTGCCATTAGGTTGAGACTCCAGTATAAAGGGGGAAAAATTCTGCAAGGCTTTGGCTGTCAATGAGGGGAGAGCTCTTCAGCGAAGAAGCCTGTCGCATTGGATTGTGATTATAATCCACAAAGCTCCCCTTCCCCGGGTCAGCTCATTCATTTATAAATAAGAAGATTACTCACTGCCTACATGCATAAACAGCTTTCTGCATCATTCTTGGGGTATTTTCCATAAATGTTTTCTGCATGCCCCTTTTTTTCTTTTTCTCTTCAAATGCTCACCGTGTCTGGGTCAGGAACGTGCCCTTATCAGCCAACTTCAATTAATAGTTCCAAATCAGGTCAGCAATGGCCCCTCTCTTCTCTCTGGCTTCTCCTAAGGGAAGTCCCTTGATTAGGGGTTACAGAAGGCACCAGCAGTGGGGTGCCCTCATGCTCTGTCCTCCTGTCAAGAGCCTGGCAGACAATGGGCAGGTCTTAGGCTGTTAACTTCTGTTTGGAAGGTAGATTTCTTTATCTGCTATGTTCTTTTTCACTTAAAAAAAAAACGCAGTCTGCTAATCCAGCCATTGGTGGTGGCTGATTAATTTTCAAAGTGAATTCAGTTTTAGCCACTTCTACAAATAGACACTTTATTGAGTTGAAGAGTCAAGAAGGGATTGCTATTTAATTGTATTTGATCCAAAGACAATCAGTGGCTTTACTATCTCACCTCTCTGTATTCTCTAATTATGAGCAATATTCCTTCTCCTTGTGTTGACAGAGCACTTTACAATTTTCCACACTCTTCTGCTTATATTCCTGAGGTAATCCTTCCCCACCCCGTGAGGTAAAGTGGGCAGGTACTATCATGTCCACTTGATACAAGGAGAAGTAGAGGCTCAGAGTAAAAGACCCGGTAATCTAGGGGGTGGAGGGTACAAAACACTTGATCCAGCAAGAAGTAGAGGCTCAGGGTAAAAGACAAGAAGGAGTGGGGAGCTGCAAAACCAAACCCAAGGCCCTGACTCCAATTCACATTACTTCCTGTGGTGCCACACCACCAAAGCAAGGGGAAGGAATGCTTGAGTGGTGCCTCAGAGCTCACAGAGCCAATCTGAGTTCAAATTCTGCCTGTGCCTTCTGGAGCCTCAATTTCCACATCTATAAAACAGAGAAGAAATAGTACCTACTCACAGTGCCTGCTTGAGAGGGGGACCTGAAGATCCAATGAGTTGATGCACCTGGAGCTTAGGACAGATCCCAGCAGACAGCAAGTTCCCAGCCACGTGTGCTGCCACCTTTGCCTCTGCCTCAGGACTAAATGCCATTCATTACAGCCTACTTGTTTTCTTGTGTTGCAAGCCCAAAACTTCAAAGCACAATTCACAAACTCTAAGCCCATGACCTTTGTTTTATTTGGGATACAGAGCCTTTCTGGTTTTATTGTCAGCATTTACTAATTGGGAGCATTCACTGAAACATCAAGATATCCCACATTTTGTGAAAATAAAACATCCAGCAATACTAGGTCCACATTCCTGCATAGCAGCTATTAGTTGGGAACCGAAATTAGAAAGGAACTGAATTTGACTTTTTTCGAAAGGTAATATCCATTTATGGGCCCATTTCTAAAGGCCCACTGAGTCTACCTTTACCCCTCTCTCCCTACAGAACCGCCTTCCTCTTATGGTAAAGCTGGGACCTGGTATATTGGTGACTTCCCCTTTATACAAGGCACATGCTCGCCGGTCTGCCCCAGTCCCCACCACTCCCTAATACATTTCTCAAATCTCACCTCCTCGGTTCATTTATATTACTGCCTGCTCAGGTGGCATTTCAATTTGTTATTCTCCAGCATTAAGACAACAATGTGCCCTACTACAAGAAGTGTGTTGTAACATCTTCTAGAGCCAGCTGAATGACTTTAAAGAAGGCACTTGCTGGCACTGTGAATTCTCATATTATTCACATCTCACAGCATTCTGTTTATCATCCCAGCTTCTCACAGGCAAATCTGCACCCAGGGAAGAAATACATTCAGCACATTTTGCTAGCAGAAAACTTTAACTGGAATAAGCTCAAGCGAAATGAGGATTATAGAGTTAGGCTAAGAGTGATAGCTTTAACTTTCTGCAAAAACCTCCCCCATTTGCACCTATTCACATAAACATTGCTGCCGTGTAACTCCCAACCATCCTCAAAATGTATTTTGTTACTTGGTAATCAAATTTGCTTATGCCATAAAATGCCCTAGCTCCTATGTGAATGTATTTTTTTTAAGCCGGAATTGAGGAATATTGACCATTATTGGGAAATTAAAGGGCCTTGCACTCTCTTGATCATGAGATGAGTTTATTAAAGAGGCAGTTTGTTCTCAAGTCTGGACAGTGGCATTTTGGCATTGCGATAGCACTGGATGAGGATTAAGTCATTTCTCAGCTTTCCTTGGCAGAGTCTTTTATTATTTACAGTATTTACTTCAGGGAAATCTTGGCGTGTGTCATATTTATCTTACTGAAAAATGGGCCCATAAATGCATATTACCTTTCGAACAAAGCCAAATGTTTTGGTACTAATTTGGTTCATGAAGTATGTAATTCAGTTCCTTTGCACAGGAGCAACATTTGTCTTCTGCTTTTATTAAACTACCATAAACCATTTTTTCTTGCTCATTATTGAAATATGCATCACCGAAGCTGGGGCAAAGGAGATTTAATGACTAAAGTTCTAAAGGCAACCCAGTGACACCACTCTGTTCTGCTGCTTGCCACCAGAAAAATTAAGAAAATAGGGGACCTGTAAGGAAAGCCTTGCCCTGGCCCCACTTAGTGGGTAGCAGGAGGGATACAAGGGAATGGAGGAGGGAGCAAAATAAAGCAGTCATTTGTATGAGATTATTTCCATGAAACACATGCCTTCGTTAACAGGAGTTATTTATAAATAGCTGCTCATTTATTTTTCATTTCAATCACGTATGCTTTTAGTCTCTTTGAGGTCAGCAGCAGAGAAATGTTGCCACCAATATACCTAGGTCCCAGCTTTACCATGAGGGGAAGGTGGTTCGATAGGGAAAGAGGGATAAAGGTAGACTCAATATATCACACACCTCCCCTCAAAGCTTCTCTCTTTGCCAGTATGAGTGTTGTCTTGTGTTCATTCTCTACAAGAATGTTGTAAGTGACAGTTTCACTATCCCACCTATAACAGATCACTTGCTTGGAAGTAGGCTGCCTGTCTTTCCTTACCCTGGCAATGCAGAAAAAAAAAAAAAAAAAAGCAAAGAGACTCCAGGTAAAATGAATGAGACATTTCGGAACCAATCATACATACAAAAAAAGCATCCTTTTTCCAGGCAAACCATTCTATACAAAAACAACTCAAAATTCAGTTTAATGAGATGTAACAACAAAAAGGTGCTGTCACTTACCTGAACATGCTCAGTGTTTATTATGTGTGGAGAAGGAACAGGCAGGTGCAGGGGAGGAGGAGGAATAGCTTACACACGTCTCATACTCACCACGAAGCAGAGGCTGTGCTCTGTACTTGGTCTTACTGAATTTTGACACCACCTCTGTGAGGCAGGTACTATTATTATTCCCATTTTACACATGATGATAATGGAAAAAGATGACAGAGATATTGAGTAACTTGCCCAACCTCACAGAGCCAGGAAGGAGTAGAGTCTGGGTTTATACCACAGAACAATTTGCTCTTTGGTTCTATTGCATTTAGCTCTTGATTGAATTCTATCTTGAAATGTTTACTAGCGCACTGTGAAAAATTCAAAGAAATGGAGGAGACACAGTCCCTGCTCTCACATCCTTTATTGTTGACCAGGGAGATAAGATGTACATATATGATGCTGACTAATTTCAAATAGAAGTTGAGTTCACTTTTGTCCCACATAACTCTGTAACCTCCTTACGAAGAGGGGTTCATTTACTCAGAAAATATTGATGAGCACCTATGTGCCCAGATAGTCTAGGACTGGGGGACATCCTGGGGTTGGAACTCAGTTCTAAAACCAGGAAAGTCCCCAGGCAAATCAGGGAAGTTGGTCAGACTAAAAGTAATTATGGCTAGATACTGGGAGTATGATAGTTTCTGAAACAGACATCATCTCTGCCTTCACGCAGCAGTCACTCTAATGGGGACCCAGACAGAAAAACAGTGGAGCGAAGGTGACAAGGAGGGAAGTATTGTGCACAGCAATACCACATACTCACAGGGTGGCATTAGTATGGTGTTCTTAGCTCTAAAAAGCCACCAAAACAAATAAAATCAGAAACAAAGTTTTTTCAAATAATTGAAAACCTACATTTATGGATGAGGTGGAAAAAAGATAAGGCCAAAATTACACCCATGGCTTGCAAATCTGAGAAAATAGGTGTGTATCTTAGCATATTGCTAGATACCCAATTAACATCTAGGGTAATTCTATAACACATTAACTCATCACTGAGATGCCCCATATAAAACCACGTTAAGCTGGAAAAGCAAAACTTTCAGTTTGGGATGTTAATATGTTACCAAAACCTTCCTATTCTCATGGGTGTCCTGGTCCCATGAAATGAATTCCTGAGTTATCAGTTTCATTTGTTATTTTAAATGAATAAGAACAGAATCAGTTCTCCTCTTTCACTACTATCACCACCCAAAACATGTATCTTTGAAGCAATTATTACATTACAGTAGCAATTAATGTCAACAATATAAAAAAAAAACAAATGCTCAAAGGTGTAACCAACCAAAACCAGCACAATCATTCCCTGCATTAGTGTTCTCTCTTTTGTTCTCAGCGCATTTATCAAGTATGCAGTAGCTTCTAGAAATCACTTCAATGAAAACTGCTCCCGACACCACTACAATGAGTTAAGTAATCGAGAAATTAGAAGCTGTGTTGACTTTTCAGAAGTGTAACTAATAGCTGTAGAAAAAGGAGTCCAAAAAAAATTAACCAAATGAGATGCTAATCTTCTCCCCAACACCCCACCACCGAGTTTTGGCAGACAAAAATTACTGAGCTGGAGTTTGGCAACTGATGAGCAAGGCATAAATCCTGAAAAGACTTGTCAGTCGAAAGAAACTTTGTGGCTCCTCTCACTATATCCTCATCTTTACTTAAAATACACAGTACCTGCTGTGCTTGACAATTATTTCCCAAACTGTTGGGGAGGGTGTACACACCCATACATGCATTTTTTATCTTTGTGCACAAACTAAATATCTTTGTATACCTTGTCCACATCATCTCTATGTATGTCTACATAGATTTGCACATATCTTTGTTCACAAAAGGTATTGCCACAGATAAATTAACTTAACATGATATCTTGGCTGAGGGGTGTCAATAAGTTGTTATAATTTTTGTTTGTGCTAACAAATCCCTAGGTAAACCCTCATCTTTTTCCTTTCCCATCTTAGCAAGCTCCTTTGCAAGCAAGGCTCCCATTAACTCCAATCAAGCTTTTTTTCCAGGCCCCTTAAATTAACCACTCTAGGTTTTAGAATAAGGAAACAGCCTCGTCACAATGCATCATGTATTCTGATCAAGTGTGTATTGTTACTTCCACCCTGACAGTTCCCAACCTCATTTTAAATATGGCCAAGAGGCCTCAAGAAATGTAGATTTATAATGGAGGAGATGCGTTTGCACCTCCAAACACAAATTATGTTAATTGGGTGTTCCAACTGGAGCCAGGAAGAGGTGGCGTGATTATTCTCTGGAAACCTCGGTGATTGGCAGCCAACTCATACTGAGAACCAGGACGGGTTGGCTCTTTGGAGCCATGCAGAGCACATGCCTTCCTCCCCTTGAATAAAGGCTGCTCCACACTCTACCTGTCCAGCCGGGCTGTGGTCAAGCTGCTCCGCTTGCCATGCATCAATGCCACTTTGTTCAGACCGACTGGCTCTCAACAGTGCCCCTCCTGCCGTCTGTATTATTTAAAGGAGATTTATGGTTGGGTGTCTTGTGTTGTGAAACACAAGCTGTGACCCCCGGGCTGGGAAGCCAGCAGGGAAAAACATTAATATAACGGCACATGGGAAAATGAAACTCATGGGCAGCAGAAAAAAAAAAAAGAAAACAGAAAGAAAAAGAAAGAAAGAACAGAAATGTGAGATGTGAAATGCACGAAGGTGTTACAAACTGCACTGAGTGTTTGCATTCCTTCTCTGGTGGAACGGCAACATATACTCAGGTTAGGATGGTGGTGCTGGTGGTTTTTGTTGGTTTGTCTGTTTGGATTTTGGTGGGGGTTTTTTGGAGAGGGGTTCTGTTTGGCTGGTTTGGTTTGGTTTGGTTTAGAAGACACAGAAACAAATGCCAAACAATAAGGGCTTATGTTTAAAAATAACCCATGTTAACTAGAGGACCAAGAACCCTGGTCGCATATTAAAGAGGACCAGATAATTGTGTCACCATTAGGATCATTTGAAGTTATACATACTTAATTAAGGGGAATCAAAACTCATGCTGCCAGGCATGACTGATCATTGGTTGGCTCAGGAAGAATTTACCCCTCTTCTAACAGAACACTCTCCAAGACAGGGGCACTGGCCATTATGAGAGTTCTTACAGTTACAGATCAGGTCAAGAAGGAGGGGAGGCCGGGTGCGGTGGCTGACACCTGTAATCCCAGCACTTTGGGAGGCCGAGGCGGGAGGATCACAAGGTCAGGAGATCGAGACCATCCTGGCCAACATAGTAAAACCCTGTCTCTACTAAACATACAAAAATTAGCTGGACGTGGTGGCACAGGCCTTTAATCCCAGCTATTCAGGAGGCTGAGGCAGGAGAATCACTCGAACCAGGGAGGCAGAGGTTGAACCAGGGAAGCAGAGGTTGCAGTGAGCCGAGATTGCACCACTGCACTCCAGCCTGGTGACAGAACGAGACTCTGTCTATAAAAAAAAAAAAAAAAAAAAAAAAAAAAAATGCAGGGGAAAGAACAGAGCTG
The DNA here is from genome assembly GCF_000001405.40 of Homo sapiens. NCBI lineage: Eukaryota > Metazoa > Chordata > Mammalia > Primates > Hominidae > Homo > Homo sapiens. The sequence goes on from NC_000005.10 coordinate 158,910,009, forward strand.
GAACTAGAAGAGCAGATTTTAGCATTTTTAATACAATCAGATGTATTATTTCCTAATTTCCCAACTGCATACATTTGAAATGAAGAGACATTGTCATCCTCATTGAGCTATGGAATTTGTCTGACATTTTTGTTACTGACTCCAATGCTAGCCAAAAATGATTTATTTGTCCTCTGGTCCTCAGTGTCCCAATCTGTAAAATGGAAACTCACTGTTCCTATCAGAAACAGGGTGGCCACCCACCAAGCTGTGGTTCTTCCAAGGATGAAAAAGATGGTACCAGAATCAAATTATTAAAATGCCCTTCTCACAAAAGCATAACTTTCTGTTAATATTTCCCTTAGAGAAAGGCACATTCAATTTCCATTAATGGTACTTAGAAATTCGTGGAAGTAAACCAGCATATGGATATGCTGAAGAAGGTGGGTCACCATTAAATCCTAAACACACCTCTATCTTTGAAAATGTTTCAGAGAACTGTGAGATTCAATTACTTTGGTGAAATTAGATCCTATACTAAAGAACCAGTATGTTGAATCTCTGTAGCAAAGATGATTTTTTTAAACTACATATTTTATGTAGATGTGATTTTCTTTGCTCAATAAAAAATTAATTGATGTATGCCCTCAGACTAATCTCAGAAATACCTAGTAATTTTTTCCCCAATCTTTAAGTATTTCTCAGAACAAATAGGTTTTATGGTTTATGGAAAAACCTGGAGATTGTGAGCCCTGTCTTCTCCAGATGTACACAATAATTGGTGCAGGATCTTGGAAAGTATTAGGACACCCCTTAAACAAAGGCTGGCTGAAGCCTGTTGCAGTGATTCAATAGGAAATTATAAAGTCCAGTTTGTGGCCCCAAAGGGAAACACTGCTGTCCTTGAGTAGTCCACAAAACTCTATTTCCAATTAGCACCTGCTGATTCAGTGTTTCACATTCACAAGAAAAATAAATCCCCTATATTTTAAAGCAGTGTGTGTATGCCTTGCAGGGGAGCAAGGCAGTCAGGGGAGAGTACCGAGAGCCCAGCAGAGAGAATTTCCTTCCCCATGTACCATAGTCTCCTTTCTATCTCTTCAGTCATGGAACACACTTCTGAAATTGCAGCAGCTACTAGAAAACTTCCCTCAACGAGTCGCCTATCTGAACAGGGAACCTCTGCAAATCTCCTTCCTTTCATGAAATCGCTGAATACTAAAACTAAATGTAACACCCATTTTGTACAAAATGCTTAGACCTTCTTCAGCGTACTCTTTCAACATTCAAGGCTTGCTCATTTACCTCTGTGAGCTTTATGACTAACTCAGTATCACTAACTACAGCTGTCAGCCCTCAGAGGTCAGAGACATGACTGTTTACTTCTATCACTAACCAGCCTGGCTGGTTACAGCTAGCTACACTAGCTACAAAGAGACAATTAACAAAAAATGTCTCATGAGGATAGAGGGGTTTTTTTTTAGTTTTGTTTTGTTTTTAATCATCTATCATCCTCAGGGTGGAGAGGGGAAGAAATGAAGACCCATTTTTCTTTTCCATCTCATCTAAAGCCAAGCTATAATCCATTACCACTGCAAACAGACAACAGGGCATTTTCTGCTACGACAGCATACAGTAGGAACAAATCATAACATAATAATCATCATCTCTTAAAAGCCTTACTCACCCCATTTCACCTTGCCCTGGAATGGGATTCCTTGAGTAGGAGAGTATACCCACCACTCCTGTTATGATCCTTGGCTAGAACCACTGTGAGCTGAGAATCTCAGCACCCACTCCACATGCCCTACTTGGCAGCTAAAATGTAACTATTAAGTCACACTAACATTAGATTAGATGATGCTGTCATCCCATTGTTATCCAATTTATTCTTCTCTGACATGGTATGAAGTGGTTCTGCATCAATAATGATTCATAAATACAGCCATACCTGATCTCTATCACCATTTCCATGTGCTTTCACAGACAAGAAACTGCTCTCTCTTCCATTTCTCCAAGTTCATTTCTTTAGTGGGTGAGTAATGACAGTTTCACCTCCAGAGTCTATTTAACTATAAAGAACATTCACAGAATGACCTAGATATTTGGTTGATAAGCACCTGCTATTGACTCAGGGCTCATCTAAGTAGTGTGGGCTGCACATGTCTTAGGAGAGTAAGGGCCCTTCCTCATGGATCCTCCTGGTGGACACAAAGATTCCCATTTCTGCACAAACATTGCAAATTTCACATAGCCATTAGTTTCACCTACGGATCCCAGGGACTTACCCACCAAAGTTCAAGTTCCAGAATGTAGTGGATGCTTAGAATTCCTATAATCCAGAGCTTTGCCCAATTTAAAATGGAGTGATATGCATAGGTGCAGTCTTGAACTACTTTCTAATTACTTCTTGTGCAAGCCTCTTAATTCCTAAGAGTACTGTATCTTGGAGAGCACTTAACATACGGTGTACCCGTCCCTTCTAAATTTGCTGGATCATAAAAATCACCTGAGAATATTTAAGAATACAGATTCTCAAGCCTCACCCCAGGCCTACTGAACTAGAATCCCTTGGTACAAGGGCCTGGAGATGTGTATTTTAACTACTCTCAGGCGATTCTGACGAACAGGAGAATTTGGAAAACAGATGGGTCTCAGAGGATCTTCACAACAACTCCATGAAGAAGATAGGGCAAATGTTAGCTCCACTTTGCAGATATAATAAATGGGGCTCAGAGAGGTTAGTTCCCTCCACTATGCCTAATTCCACCTCATTAGCTCTGTGCCATGTTTTATACATCACTTGTATTCCTGTCCTTCCTACTCTCTATCAGCCTCAAGAAAAAAAAAGATGTAGCACATGAAAAAGGTTCTAGTAGTTATTCTTGCAGGTAGTATAGATGCTGACCGCAAAGGCAATTCCTGAGATATTGTCCTCAACATTTCCAGAGGATGCCTGCCTATCCAGGACCACCTTCTATTCCTGGCATCACTTTTGGTGCACATTCTGATATAATCAACATCCATTCAAGAGGGCCTTTTTCTGCAGAGGAATTCATCACCAGAAATACTGCACATGAGGATATAATATACAAAATATCTGTACAATACAGCTTCTTAAGCAATTATCCTGTACCGCTGGGTCACATTATGCAACTTAATATTTCCCATAACAAAAATAGAGTTCTGGGATTTTTAAAATGCGTATGTTGTTAAGTTTTACTTTAATCATTTGTGGCATTCTTTTATATTACTTTACTATTGCATGTCAAAGTAATCAGTGAAATTAAATTTTTTAAAACTTGCATTGAAAATTAACTCACATCAGAAATAGGATTAAGACCAGGGCTTCATGGTTCTAAAGCTGAACTAAGTGGAGGAAAAGACGTTCCACAGGGGGACATTTCACTTGACTTAACACACGTCAGTGGGCTTGAATGATTTCTGAGAATTTTCCATCAGTGTTTTCAGAAATAGCCTTTGGTGGTCTGCTTTCTCGATCCTAGTGATTCCAGCAGAAATGGCTGTACCCCAAAAAGGAGAAAGCTGGGTACTGCATGCTCCCACTGAGATTTGGGGAGAGGTTGTGTAAACAACTGAAGCATTAACTGGACTCTGCACCAGTTGTGATTTATGTATTGCTTGGGAGGAGGGAGGGCAGTGGAAAGGGCCCTCGGTATGGGTTTGGCAAGGCAGGGAGCAGGCCCTCCATCTCTGCCTCTCGGACACCTACCAAGGATACAGTGCCTATTCAGAATTCGAGTTCGTGGAGGCTTTTCAATCAATAACATATGGCCATGAGAGCGCGAGTATTATACCAACAGACTGAAATAAATATGCTCCGCAAATAAAATATCTGTACGTAAAACAACAAAGGCTTTAGTTTAACTGCAGAAAATGAAAAACAAGTCTACTTGAAACCAGGTTAAATGAGCAACCAGTTATTCAGTGTGAGTTTTTGGAGATGAATGAGCTGGCAGATGCTTTCTTCAGATCATTAAGACCAGATATCAATAATTTCTGAGGAGTAGAGGCAAAAGTCATCAGAAACAACCTGATGTGGTGGGGCCACACCCTGTCTTTCTCCACTTGGCCTGGTGTAGGGAGAGCTGGGACACACCAGCTGTTTAAAAAGCCAAGTGGCTCCTACCACACCAGCTTGTTAACCTTCATCTTACATGCATTTTTTTTCCTCCCAGATTCATGATCTCAGATTAGGTAGGTGGTGGGGGCAGTGCTAAATATACCTTCCTGTTACCCGAGACCTGGATCAGGGAAGGTGCTTATTAATATCATGGAGATATGATTTTTAATGATCTCTGAAAACAGCCTATATGGGTGTGAATAATGGCACTGTCTCATTGCATGCGTGGTTTGTGCTTTTGTCTCAGACAGGTTCATTTTTCACTGGAGGGGAAAGGTTCATGCCGCACGAGGGGGGTAACCAGTTGATGTTACAAGGCTGACTATTAGGCCCCTTGCTGTTCCACATGTCACAGGGAAGGACTCCAGCCGGCAACCTTAATGCCTACTTCAGCATCTTGAAGAAATTAATGAACACAGCTTCTATGGCAAAACATTTCAATCAACCCTTACCAGCTGTGCCTACATTTAAGAAAAAGAAAAGGAGGGGGGGAAATGCCCAGGTTTATCAAAAAAGTTTCTTCGAAAGATCAACCACGGTTTTGGCTGTGTGTGGGGCGGTAGGAGGTGGGGAAAGGAAAGGCAGAAGGAATAAAGGTAGAAGGATGCCAGTACCGAGTGCCAAAAGATGTGCTCTGGCCCCGGTGTTTGTTGAACAAATTAAGCACGTTCTGGTTTTTCACCTGCTGAAGTAGCAGCAGTGCATATGGCCTAGAAGTTAAAAATAAGGAAATATGCATACATTACCATACTTAATGGACGACCCTCTCCATTTAATATGCAAATTTCCTGAAATATTACTGAATGCCGTCTGTTCTAAATGAATAAATTTGAATTGCAATTAGAATAATCCTTTATAATTAATGAAAACTGTCAATTTTAGTTCATAAGTAATTTGATTAACAGGATGATGGGACACTTATCAAGTTCACTGGACTGCTAGGCTATGAGAAAACTGACAGTGAAAATGGGGCGGGCCAGGCACTCAGGCTCTACCGGAGTATTATCCTAAATTATTGATAACACAAGCTAATGAACTTCAGAAAGTGAACTCTGGGGGCCTCATTTAAAGGGACAGCCTCGGAGGGCGATGGGCAGCCACCGGGATGATGATCTTTCCAAAAGCCTTCTTTGCTGGTACTTTTGGATTGTAGGAAAATAAATGTTTAGAAATGCCAGGGCAAAGGAAAACATTGGCTCAAAACACAAATTTACCATTTCCAGCTGTTGCTGGAACAAAAGGAAACAATAGTCAGAGGATAAATGTAAGAAGAAACAATGCAAAAACATGTGGAAAGAAGTTGCTGGTAATGCATCACAGAAGTAGGACATGGCCACAGCAGCGGGGCCATCTCCGCTTCCCTTCTTTGTCTCTCCCTTCAGACAGATCATGAACAAGAACTTTTAACTAGCATTAATTGGACATTTATGTAAAGCAATCGGGGTGGGGGGAATTCCGTGGAGACACACAAGCAACTCTTAGTTATGGCACAAACAGTAAGGAGATCTGTGGCCCTTAAAGAAACAGATGCCTGTTGCCTTTTCACGGAGGGAGACAAGGAGGCAGAGAAGGGGGTTAGTGCTACAAGAGAATTCTGGCACTCTTGGTTGTTGTCGTTAATGAAGATGAAGACATAGTAAGTAAAAACAAGAAAAGAAGTTATAAAATAAGCTTGCTTTATCTTTTCTAGAAACGGATGACAAAACTCAATGCAACAATGCCAGGCATATCAAAAGGGGTCCACATTCAAGGCTTTCACACTTTCTGGCAGGTGAGAAAGTTTATTAAGAACCTTCACGTGTGGGAGTCTCTCAAGAGCAAAGGTCTGGTTTTACTGATTCGCAATGTCCTGACAGATCTTGCCTTTTCATGCCTTCAACACCTGTAGCTCCTGACAAGTGTAGGTGACCTCCTGACCGACAAAGGGGGGTCCAAATTTGGCTGATGTTGGCTGAGTAGACTGCAGTCAGGTCATACATAGTTCTTTACTTCTTCTTAATCCTCCTGAACCTACTGAGAAGTGCCTTTATGCCAAGGATGGAAATTATCTGTCCAAAGACTTCTTGTCCTTGAAACCTTAGTCAGGATTCATGTGGCAGGACAAGTGACCCTGTCATGGATATCTCAAGATCATTAAGTAATGATCTTTCAAGATTAATATTAGTCATAAGAATGCAGCATTACAGAGGCACACAATGGGCACTTCTGGGAAAATGGCAGAGTCTTAGCAATCTCCTTTCCATCTCTACGGGCCACCTATATACTACTTATCTCATTGGATTTGATAGAACAAGATAAAATCATCATGTAAAAATAGCATGTACAATTTACTAAGATATTATTCTATATGCCAAACATTGTACAAAGTTCTTTAAGTCATGAAATACTTAAGGTGGCCCTGGAAGTATATATTAGATCCATTTAGTAGGTGAATAAACTAAGGCTCAGAAAGATTAAGTACCTAGTCCAAGCAATCACATCCAGGAAGTGGCAGAGATGGGATTTGAACCCAGGTCTCTCTATCTCTGAAGCCAAAGCTGTTAACCTAATATGTACTCTGGGCTGACTTCCATGTTATAACTGTGTGCTTCAATGCTGGCCAAATTTAATCATGCTATAGTTTCCCTCACTTTTCAATTACATTTTTTATTTCCTTACTCTGGACCACCATGACTGCTAGAATTGTCTGCGTGCATTGTCCAAGCCAGCTCAGCGGGTATACATTTGGAGCCATTGTCTCCCCTTCCATGCAATAAGCAGGTCATAAACATTGTCTTTCCTTCTGCAATGTGTGCCGCAAGCAAGACTTCAGCATCCTCTGCCTCCCACAACGTGTCTCTTGAAAACCATTTATTTAGAGCTCAGTTTTCGAAATATACCAAGGACAGGGTAAGGCTCTTTCCTGGCACTCTTCACTAGTGTCCTGCCTTGCCACTGTCCTAACTAGCCAACTTCAGCCCTGGGAGATCTATAATAAAAACTGTTAGCTCTTTGACACTCAATAAAAGAAACAAACAAGAAACCAATGATGTTCTTAGTTATTAAGCTGCCTATTATACCTAAATAAAATCAAGCAGCTGGTGGCCCTATGTCTCTACAAAATTAATATTGAAAGCTGTCTTTGAACCATTTAGATCCTTCGTACATACTCTCCAAGCCTCCAGTTCCCTCATTCTTTCCAGCAATACAAGCAATTCTTGTCCTCCTTACTCCTTTCATTTGCTTATAACACTCGGAGGATTTCTTTGTTTTTCCCTATAACCTACCCCCATCTGTAAACCTCCAAAGTAATAACAACACAGACCTACCTGGATACCAGCTCCACTGAATGGAGCAGGAGGTCTTTAGAGACCATCCGGCTTGATGTTTCTCAAGGGTCATGTGCAAACCACTGATTTTAGGTATACACACTTGTTAGTGGTTATGTATTTATCTTCATGTGTGTTAGGAAAGAAAAACCGTAAGTGGCACATCAAACTTTTAATTTTAGAGAGCATTGCTTAGCTCAAAACCTAAGTGAATATTTAGCTAAGAAACAGTGAATAGACTTCTTCTATTATAAAGACAAATATGGAGTAAATATTCCAGGTGGTACTCATCTATAGCAAAAGTCACAGCGAGTCTGTGAATGACGGGACATCCAGAAAAACTGATCTAGCCCAAACTCCCTCTTTTTCCTCAAGGGATGCACTGAAGGTCAGGGAAGTTAAATAAGTTTCCTGAGGCCATGCAGCAAAGAGGAAAGGCTGGAGCTAGAACTCAGATATCCCATGAGGTCATCTTTCCTGTCACAGGGACCCAGGCCTTCATCGTGGGTCCCTTTGGGAAGAAAGGGGGATGTGTACTCTAGGAACACTGCCCAGAACACTGAGGCCATTGAAGACAGAAGAGAGAGAGAAGGCAAGTGGCAGGGCTCCCTAGGCCTCACTCTCCTTCAGCCAGGGCAGCTTTTCTTGGGAGAGGTTTTATTTGCAGGCTTTCTCTATTTCATTTGAAAGAAGAATTTTATGGCGATTTTGTTTAAAGAATTCCACTGATACTAGCAATGATTAAAAAGCCCTCAAACTACTGGAAACTCTTTCAGTCTTCTTGTATTTTGCAACCTTGCTTATGGTGAAGGAAGTTGGTCTCCATCAGCATCATCTAGCTTCTCCCAAAACATGGCTTAAGGGCCATTTATACTAGCATCTCCTGGGTTGGGGAGGAGGGTTCTGTTAAAAGGCAGAATCCTCAGGCTCACCCAACTTTATAGAAACAGACTCTTGACATCAACTCTAATGAGGTGCACTTTTAACTAGTTTCTTAGGTGATTTCTCTGTGAGCTAAGGCTTGAGAACTGATACTGGGGAAGAATGGATTACCATTAGTGTTACGAGACAGAGAATTAGTAAGAGATAAAGAGATTGAGACTAAGACAGAAAGACTGAGAAACTGAGATTTAATAATTTACTGATCCCTCAGTGGAACACTGTGTGTATAGTTAAGCCACTTTATGATAAGGTTATCTGAGGGCTCATGTAACTAAACCCACCTCTCACCCATCTCTCTCCACTCCCCACACTTACCCTTACTTTACATTGGTTCATCTCTGGAGAGAATGGACTAACACTGAAGTTATTATTTATTTACCAAATACTCAGAGCAGCATCCTGTGTGCTGGGCAAGGCATACCAAAATTAGGGCAAGTTACTGTCCAATAGGAAGCTCCGTTCTGGTACAAAGTCAGCCCATGCATTCAGAAATGCATGCTTGCTTTCTTGAAATTTAGGTTAAGGGAGGGCTTATATATAGAAATTAGCTGCTGACAGAGTTTGAATGGGCTTTCAACTAAGGCATTCATTATCCATGAAGCCAACCCTTCCAATATTCCATGGCCTAGAGTTCTTTGCAAATGGCTGTTAAAAATCACATTTGGTGAAAGAACAGAATTTTCTCCTTGGTAATTCAGCTCTGAACTCACTCCATCTGTTTAGCACTTGTTGGGCCTGCGAGGATGTGCAGACACTCTCCAGTGCTGACATGGGTGGCCACCTCCCAAAGAGCAAGAAACAAACCTGCTTTCATCAGCTGCTGGCATTTATGAGGGTCTTAGGATGAAATTAAGATTTTTTTTTTTTTTGAAATGGAAGTTTGGAATAATAACAACCTTGTAGGGGGAACATGGTACTCATGTTGCTTGGGTAACATGTGGTCTAAGTAGCCAGAGGAGAAAATCCCCGGAGAGGGTTATCTCATAGATAACACCAATCATATCTGAGAGGCCAGTGAGAACAATCTTGATGCCTGCAATATTTTAATCTATAACATGGGATGTCACCAAATAATGTGCTGGAAAACAACAGAGAAACATAAAGACACCAAATGAAAAAGCAGATCTCCCTTCAACTTTGAGAATGAGAAGTTACAAATCATCAATGTCTAGCAAAGACATATTCCAACAACGGTGCTCATTTTTTTGAATAAATAAACACCAGGGAACTAGCCTGGGAAACCTGAAACAGAACCACATCTTCTCTCAACTAAAGGCTTATTAACAGCATATGTGGGGACAAAGGATAGGAATATTCTGAGGGCAAGGAGAGTAAAGTTGCATTTATTGATCAAACTCCTACCAAATGCCAAGCACCATATGCATCGATTATCTCATTTAATCCTCTCAAAAAACACGACGGTACATATTATTATCCCAATTTACAGATAGGAATCTGAAGTTTATCAAGATTAAGCAACTTTCCAACTGAACAGGGCTTTAAAGACAGGACTCTAATTTCTAAGCTGTGTTTTTCTGCTATATGCATTGCCCATAGCCCCACAAAAGGACAGAAAGAAAAATCTAGAGGAAAAAAATCAGATCTCTGAAAACTGTCTATAAATTCCCCACAATAAAAATAACAATAACCATGATATCCTAGCACCTCTTTAGGTATATGTGTACATAACTTGCAACATATATATATGAGAAATTACAAATCATCAATATTTAGAAAGATGTATTCCAAAAAAGGTGCTCATTATATACATATGTGTGTGTGTGTGTGTATGTGTGTGTGTATACACACATATGCTTAATGTAATCTTCTTAACAATCCTATCAGGTATCATGATTGAGGTGAGGATGCTGAAGCTGAGTTAGGGACATGCTCAGGTTTACACAGCAACTAAATAACCAAACTGAGATCCAAACCCAGATTTGTCTGGTCCCCAAACCCCTGGACTTCCTATCATATTGTTCTACCTTTTCCATCCCTTTCAACTGGATGTGAAGGTGAACCAGAATCTGAAACTTCAGCTCTAAAGAGGCTGAAAAGAATATGTCGTTCCCTGCCCTCCAATACCTCTGCTTTGTACCTACTGGACACATGGCAGGCCTTGGTGGCCAGTGTCCACAGTAAAAGTTAGTGACTTGAAAGGCATGTGCAGCAGGCAATGCCAAGGGAACTTTTCTTTCTTCTTTTTTTTTTTAAAGAAACACAGTCTTGCTCTGTTGCCCAGCCTGGAGTGCAGTGGTGCAATCATAGCTCACTGCAGCCTGCAACTCCTGGGCTCAAATGATCCTCCCTTCTCAGCCTCCCAAGTAGCTGGGATTATAGGCATGAGCCACTGCACTTGGCTCCATTTTTTTTTAACAGGAACTCTTGTGAGTCAATCACACCTCATAGATATGCTTGCCCCTTTTCCTTTTAGTGCAGGCTCTGGCACCAGCGTGACTCCCTGAAACCCACTTGGTGGAAGGGATGACAGCACTGGAGAGGATGCCATGAATATGGAAGTCCCTGTGTTTTAATTTGCCTAAAAATCTGCATGTTGTTAAAACAAATGTAGAAATTAGCCATATGGGAACCTAGCTTGGGTACATATCTTCATCTGTCACCACATTTGGGGGTGGAAATAGTACAGGATCATTTGCAGTGCTTAGACTTGTAGAGAGGGAGAAAAGTCCACTTGGAAGCAAGCTAATGCTGCACACGTTTATGCGTTTGACCTCACAATATGGTAACTAATGATGGTTCTGCAAATAGACTTAGGAAAATAGATGAATGATTACAGAGGGAAGAACCCAGCAAGGGTGATGAGCTTCGTTTCGCCTATGTTAGCCCTTAATCCTTAACAGGACAGCCAGCACAAATTCTATACAGCTTGCCTAAATAGATGAAATCTACACCTTATTCTGAATTCAAATCTTAGACCCAGTGCATATAATACACTGCCTTAATAGCTTTCCAAACTCTCATTTGGCCTCAGTTATACAACCAGCTGACACTGAAAATAATTAATGCCCTTTAGGACTCGCATCTGCTCCTATGGTTCCAAGTCAAGGTTTTTAATTGGGCTATTTTGGCATTTGGAGACAATGGCAAGGTGAAATAACCTTTCTTTAATATTTTTGAGGTCAGCAGATAGTCCTGCCAAAGGTCATCCTTCAGGTTCACAAATGAGTCATTTGTATCACCTAATGCAATCTGTGACTCGCAAATTGCACTGGGCTGTGTTAGCGTGCATTAATTAGTCCATGTGATGAATACTGAATTCATCATTACCAGCCGGAGCTTGTAGAGATGTACCAATACTTGTTTTGGCGGTTTGTGGTTGCTTATTTTTACTTTGCACTCCACTTCCAACCCTGGTCTGAGATCTTCAACACCGCAAGCCCAATAATTGGCACAGCAAAGTTAACCCTCTCCCTTATGACATGGCCAGAACCTGGGGAAAGATTCCCTGGCACAAACATATTGCAAAGCACGAAGCAACCACAGTTGCTCTATCTTTGGTTTATTGAACCTGTAAAACTCAGCATCAAAAGATGATTCCCTTTTGCCTCACGATCCATAGCATTCCTAATCTTCTAAAAGAGAGAGAGAGACAGAGACAGACAGCGAAAACTCCTGTTTCAAACACCTTGCTCAGAGCAGTGCTCTTAGTTGTGCTGGGTTCTCTCAGCTGCTTGGCAGCTACTGCCTATAATGAAGGCATTATTAATTTCAGTTTCAGGGGATAGAAAATCAGGATGTGGACACTGTATGGCTATACCATCTGTGCCGTTGACATATATTGATTCATACCTTCTTCCCATCTGTCCTTGACATTGTGCAGTAACAGAGGTCACAGTCTTCTCTTTCCTAGAATTCTCCCCAAAAGCAACTTTCTACCCAGTATCCTCTCAGTGATTTGATTTGGTTGCTATTGTGCACTTCTAAGGAAGCTGGTGGCAGAGTGTCTGCATCTGTCATCCCCCAGGTAAGTCCCTTTGACCCAACATAACAATAACCGACCACATCAAAAGGGTGTAGGAAAACAATAGTTCTTCCACTTTGCTGGAAGACAGAGTCAGCAAGGGGCAGACATTTAAAATAGATCTTCCATTTCTCCAGAATTTTGTGGATAACAAAGAGAATTAATGCATCACTCTAGAAATTAGCACATTCATTTTATACAGAAAGGTACAGTAGCCAATTAAATTACACACAGCAGATCTAAGGGTTGGAAAAGTAGATTTACGGAAAGTTAAGAAGCTGAAAAACAGCAGGTGGGTATGTCTTGCTCTACATTATGGACACTAAGAGAAAAATTAAGTCTCCAGTTACTGGGATATATGTGTGTCTTATGTTTAATGTGCATTTTTTGAAAAAAGAACTGTTCAGGTTATTGTCACTTCAGAATTGAGAAAGCCTGAGCCAGATTTCAGAGGGATTTTATTTCAAGGACTATCATTTATTTTATTTTACTCTTTTTTCTAACCACTCTCTGTCCAGGTGGAATGAGACACACAAATAACTGAATTCACAATGGACTTTTTGAGAATTCAAGTGGCCACTTGTATCTGCAAAGTAAGAAGTAAGTGGCTAATTGCAGCCGAAATGAATGGCTGAGCCTACAATTAGCCAATTAGGTGGTCTATTAGCAGGAGGGGCGATTTGAACGCAGAAAGCCCCTCCGTGGAGCCCGAAGGCCTTGGGGCTTTCCAGCAAAACCCAGGAAGAGCGTTAGCCTCTTCATCAAAGCAAAGCTAGACTGCTCAGAATCAGAGAACTGTCAGTTTATTCCTAAAGCTCTAAAATTCTCCAGGTCCAGGTGATAAGTAACACCCTTCCAATGGGGGTAAAATTTTTTTAAAGATTTTAACAGCTGCCTGAAAAGCTTCCTTTTCAAAGTATATCCCCAACCTTACTTTATCCATAAAAATCATCTCCTCCTCTCTCTCCTTCTCTTAAAATTACAGATTAAAACTTATCTGGCATTCTCATCCCATATTTAATGATGAAAATGAATCCATCTTTCAGTTATTCCTTAGAGAAAATATTGCCACTTTCAAAATATTTTAAGAAATTTTGCCTTATTATGGAGGGTGGGTCTCAGATCGCTCCATCAATTTTATTACAAAACAGGAAATTTAGTTTTGTTGAAGCCATGTAGCTCTGCTGAGCTTCTGCAATATCGGGCAAAGAATGAAAGTGCTGGGTGGCGGGAGGTGGGATTTGAAAAAAGCCACGTTATACCAAAGGGATATACTATTAGTTTCCTTAAGTCTGCTCTAGAGGAAATAGCTTAAATCAAGAAACTGGACAAGCCACGCCTCTTCTGGGTCTCAAATTGTACCCATGTGTAAAACCAGTGCCCAGCCCATTTCACTGTAAGGTCCCTTTCAGATCCAAGTCTCAATGATTCTGAATCAACAAATCTCAAATTTCGTGAACTAGTGATGGACCAGTCAAAAGGAAGATTCAAAAGCAATTACCTCTGAGCTCAAAAGCCAAACCTGGGCATTGTTTACTGCCTCTTTCTTTTAGCCTTTTTTGGGTACAGCAACATTTTAATGGTCTTACTTGAAACTACATTCACACAGAGTTGTACTGTTTTAATCACTAGTTTTAAGCCCTTGAGACCTTCTCCGCAGCTCAGATGTGTTATTCACAAAACATTGTCCCTTGTGAGAATGACAAGACAAAGTTTTTAGTCATCTAACTTTTTATCCCCTAGCATTCCACTCCTGGGTTCACCCTGGGGCTCAGGCAGCCCATCTACATCAGCTCTGCCCCATGATGGGTAAACAATTTGCCGAGAAGGCAAATTACGTGGTGGGCTGTTGTTCCATTTCACCTGCAGTCTTTCTGCCTTTTCGCTGTGAAAGCTCACTACCTTCCTCATGCCAGATGCTGCAGAGTGGAAGGAGGTTTTCCACGCAATTCCCTCATGTCTCTGTAACATGCAGGTCCTTTCAGTGTGTTGCAAAAGCCACATCGTAAGGTCCTGGCAGAACACAAATCCCTGGATGCCACTGGACAAAGAAAATCTCCTTCATTTGTTCAACATAGACATAGATGCAGAGGGCAAATCCTTCTCTCCCCACACCAGCCACAGCTGAGTGAGGCAGCATCATAGGTCTGTTTCCTACACCTTTCTCCATGTGGCATTCAGAATGATCTTTTAAAAATGATAAACTGGGCCGGGTGCGGTGGTTCACGCCTATAATCCCAGCAGTTTGGAAGGCCGAGGCGGGCGGATCACGAGGTCACGAGATCGAGACCATACTGGCTAACACGGTGAAACCCCGTCTCTACTAAAAATACAAAAAAATTAGCCGGGCGTGGTGGCGGGCGCCTGTAGTCCCAGCTACTCCGGAGGCTGAGGCAGGAGAATGGCGTGAACCCAGGAGGCGCAGCTTGTGGTGAGCCGAGATCGCGCCACTGCACTCCAGCCTGGGCAACAGAGCGAGACTCTGTCTCAAAAAAAAAAAAAAAAAAAAAAAAGATAAACTGAATCACGTGCCCATCCTTCCTTTCTGTAGTTTAGCCTCCCCTCTAAATGGTTTTTGCTGCTTTTAGAAGGAAATCCAATCTCTAGCATGGCCCCACTCCTGCCTACTCCTCTACAGCCATCTCTTGCCACTGTGTGCAGCTTTCTTTCTGTTCCTCAAATAAACTAAACTCACCCCAATCTCAGGGCCTTTGCACATGCTGTTCCCACTGCCTGAAATAGTTCTCCTCACACCCAAAATCAATGCATTCACCAGCTGGGTCGCCTTTCTGGAAAGGGAATCTCTCACTGCCCAATCTAAAGTAATCCCTATCGGTGGCCATGAATCACCTCTTTATGAAATCAACCTGCTTTATTTTCCTCACAGCACATATCACTTTTATCTTATTGTCTAGCTCCCTGCTAGGATGCAAGAGCTATCAGAATAGGGGCCTTGTCTGCCTGTTCACCTCTTTATTGCCAGGAATAAAGCAAACACAGAGTGAATATACAATAAATATTTGTTAAGTAAATGAATGGTGCATAACTGGATAGATAAATGGAAGATTTCCTGGCCTCCCTTGTGGCCATGTGACTAATTCTGACCAATGGATGCATGGAGAAGTGATAAGTGTAACTTCCTCAAAGATCTCCAAAGGGAAAGGGCTCCCTCTTCTTCTCTCCTTCCTCCTTCCACTGGCCACCATGTGCAGGTAAAGGCTGAAGCTCCAGCAACTCTCTCTGATGGTTAGGTGACCTTGGGAATTGTAGCCATGCACAACAGAAGAAAATAGAAACCAGGGCCCCAACATCACAGAGCCACACCCCACACTGCACCATCTCCAGATTTCCTAAACAGGAAAACAAACAAATAAGCAAGCTTCTGTTACTTAAGCTACTGTTATTTGGTAGGAGTGTGGTGGGTGGAGATGAGTGGGAATTAATTACAACCTAACTTAATTCTAATTAATATATCAACTGTTTTTAAACTGAGAAGGTCATGCTCTTGGAAGAGAATCAGTGTGCTAATACATAAGAACAGAAACAGTCCACAATATTATTCCCACTACCCATGTGTCCAGGAACAAAGTTTGGTGGGCTCTAAAAAGAAAATGAATCAAAATGGTACAAGAGGAATTTCTTTCAATAGCTTCAAAGTTGGAGGTTTACTTCAAGACAAAATTATAAAAGCAAATAGTGCCTGCTTAATACATTTTATTTATACTTCCACCATTGAAATGTGCCTTTAATATAAGGGTTATATTTCTAAACCCCCAAAAATCCTTTCCATAACTATTATTCTATAAAAATAATAAAGCCTAACTCTTCATATCTATGTGTATTTCAACAAGTATACCAAGCACCCTAGCTCATTTCTATTTAGGTCTACTTATAAGCAAATGATAGCGCATTTGTTATATCTTAATAAATGCATCCCCTGTGATGTCAAAATTTAATATTAACTTTTGCATATTGATTCTGAAGGTAACAATAAGAAACAATGACATCACCATACACATTAGGATTATTAGATGTCAAAATGTTCCAACCCAGTATATTATTAGAAATAACTATCTTATTGGCCGGGCGCAGTGGATCACGCCTGTAATCCCAGCACTTTGGGAGGCCAAAGTGGGTGGATCACAAGGTCAGGAGTTCAAGACCAGCCTGGCCAGTATGGTGAAACCCCGTCTCTACTAAAAATACAAAAATTAGCCAGGCATGGTGGCACACACCTGTAATCCCAGCTACTTGGGAGGCTGAGGCAGAAGAATCGCTTGAACCCAGGAGGCAGAGGTGGCAGTGAGCCAAGATTGAGCCACTGCACTCCAGCCTGGGTGACAAAGACAGAGAGACTACATTTCAAAAAAAAAAAAAAGAAAAGAAAAAAGAAAAAGAAAGAAAGAACTATCTTATTTAAATTATTGGTCCACAGCAATGAAAATGCCCAGGATTTATTGTACAAATAATAGCCCTCTTAATAAGTTGTCTATACAGACTTTAGTAATGTATTAATTGCAACCGAATCAATACAACCACAAATAAAGGACGTTATTATTTACAAAGCAACGAGCCAGTGGAAAAGCAAGCCTTCCTTGTTGATGCAATGAATGCCAAGAAATAAAAGTAATCCAGGCCTCTTGACCCTACCTGCCTTCACCCATAACTCAAGGCAAATTTAAGGTGGCTTCACCCCATCTATGCAATGTGGATCTGAGGTGAGAAGATGCATAAAAAGATTTGCAGCGGTATTACTGTGGACAAATTACTTCTTTGATGTTCATTTCCATCAACTATAAGTAGGGATAACACTAGTTCTTATCTGTAGAAATATCGTGAGCATTGAATGTGATAACTTTGCAGAATGGCGAATAGTAAGCACTCATTACATGCCAGTTACCATCATAATCATCATCGATGTTGTCATCATTTTTCTCCGTGCTCTTTCCTTAACTAGATCTTCTATCATGAATGCAAGAGGTGTCCTGAGTTTTGTTTCAGTTCATGAACCACTGCTTTGTTCTTCTTCTTGTGTCCCGGAGCCCCAAACAGTGCCTGAAATTCAGTGCTTTCCTCATATCTATGAGCAGAGCTTGGGCTGGCAAGTAATGCTATATATACCAGCAAGTACACAGCTTATCATTTTCCAAGTTAGCACCATTATTCATTCTAATAATACAGGAATTAAAGTGGCTTCAAAAAAGAAAGGCCTTTTTCACATCAATGCCAGCAGGCACAGCCCATATCATGCTAAATGCCATTCTGGGTACTTCCCAGAAAATATTGGCAGCCAAGTTCCCAGAGGCCGTCTGCACCCAATAGATAAGATGAGGCAAAGAAAACTGTACTGGAAGAGATCAATGACCTTGCTGGCTTGTGTTTGGCTATCAATTATCTTTGCTATCACTTACTATGTTCCAGGCACTGTTCTGAACACTTTACACAGATTCTCTCATTTAATCTTTGTAACAAATCATATGAAGAAGCCATCATTAGTACACCCTCTTTACAGTTGAGGAAGCTCAGGATGAGGGTGTTTAAACAGATTGCCTAAAATCAAACACAGCTAGAAATCTGCAGATCTAGGCTTCACACCCAGGCAGCCTGCCTAAAACCTATTTCTCACAACACCACTCTATAATGTTCTAAAAAGTTGCTTTAACCATTTAAACATTTATGGATCCTACTATCTCCAGCCAGAGGCCTCTGAGGACAACTTGGAGAGAAACCATATGATGGTTAATTATGATCTCAGGGTGTCAGATACATAAGGGTTCAAATCCCTCCCAGGCCTGCCTCTACTAGCCTGATCTCTCTTTGACTCATTTTTCTCATCTGTGAAATGGGGATGACAATAGGACCTGCTCCATAGGCTTGTAAAGATCAAATGATATGTTAGAGTAAAATGCTTAGCACAGTGCCGGGCACATAGTAAGTGTTCAATAAATAAATATGTTCATTCATTGTTCTCCCCTTTTTCAGAAATATATTATCAAAAAAACAGAAATAGGAGCCCTGTTACTTATCACATTCAGCTTTAAAAAGCACCCCTCTGCCCACATCTGGATGATAAAATGTGATTCTTATGAAAAAAAATAATTTTTTGGCACCATGCTCCCTATCTGCAATTACATCAAAATCACATTAATTGAGCTATAACACTGTCAGGCTTAGCAGCTGGAAAGCACATCCATACATTCTAAAGAGAAGGCCATTAATTCAGCTCTCTACAGCGCAGCAATGAAATTGGGATGTCCATTCTTCAGTGTGATTTACTGTCTTTCAAGCCGCTTAAGTGGGAACCTCTACAAAAAGATTTAAGTTAAGTGACTCTTGTGCTGCTCTGAAGCTCATTTATTATTGAATTAAGTTTTCATTTCGTTTAAAGGGAATAAAGAAATATAGTTTTATTTGAAACAAGGTAAAACATTTAAAAGAAATCAGCTATTATGATCCAGGAAGCCAGTTTATATATCTGCAAATGATCTCACTCTGCTTATGCTCTGCTGAAAAGCCAAATTTAAACTCATAAATATTGCTAATATGCATATAATTTGAGACTTTTGCATGACAGCTCACCCTTACTTTTTGTGTTTTATCATTCCTCTCTTTTAAAAATTTTTAAATCTTTTTTTAAAAATCAAGACAGTTAGACACTGGGCTAGAGAAGAAACCAGGCAGAAATAAACATCCATTTTCGAAAAGTCTAGATTTTCTTTATGACATGAAGGGAAAAGTAGGAGGGAGAGACAGAGGCAGAGAGATACATGTTATAGGTTATCAGTGTGTGGCAGAAAAATCAAAGTATGGCAGACATATAATATTAAAAGATTTAGAGCGTCCTGGTCCACAGATGAATCGCGTGTGGCAAGCAAACAGAGAGTAATTCTCTACTAGTAGAGTATGTACAACTTCAGTGCCTAAATTATCAGCCTTTGTATCAGGCATCAGGCGACAAAGCTTCTTTAGAATTAGTGACCCTGTCTGTCCACAGTACAGATAAAAGAAATGGTATATTTCTACATAATGTTTCCTCTTCTAAGCCTCATGCAAAACAGCCAAGAGTAATATTCCCTATACGAAGAAGTCCCTAAAGAACTAAGTACTTCTGAACAAACTATATTTTTAAAAAGTCTGCTAGGACCCCTATAATGGTGTCATTTACACTCCAGTCACATGTGTCTACAGCACAAGACCCTTCATAATTAGGTATATACACTATACCAGCTCACTGCCTAATTAGCAAATTATGTTGAAAATAGCATCCTGCTAATTAACAGTTATTATGGCATTTCTGAAGCTGAGGCTTTAATTATCACCAACCTAATGCTTGTGTACAGAGAAAAAAAGCCCCTCCCCTTTTTAAATGATCAATAAGTGCAAAAGATTATTATAAGGCAAATCTGCTGACAGCTGATTAATTTGTTTGATGCAAAGTTGCTGCGTGTTTCAGATTATTTTATGGGAGTTGCAGGAAAAAGGTACATAATTCGGTTTCATTAGCAACCTCTGCGATTTATCACTAGAAAATGCACCCCCTACACCTTTTTTGTTGTTTGTTCAATTCCCTCTGTGTTTTTGCCTGTACCAGCATCAAAGTCAAGAGCAGGAAGTTTTAATTAAGTGACACTAATGAGGTCGTTGAAAATGATACTTCAGCAATTCAGCGTGCTGTTAAATGTGTTTATTCTATAATGTCATCAAAGGTGATTGTTTTCCCTCGTAATAGATAAAATTCATTACCATAAGCATTGTACTTTTGAGTGTTAGAAATACGAAATGCAAGTTAGTCAGGTGTATCTGTTACTTTTTTTTTTCCTTTGGCTGCCAATTCAAATTACTGGACCTAAAACAAAACTTGAGCAAAAAAGGCTCGAGCTGTTTTCTAGTTTTTTTGTTTTTTTTTTTGTTTGTTTTTTTTTGGTTGTTAAGTCTCCCATGTTTAGTAATTAACAGACCCCGCCAGAGAGGAACAGAACAAAAATGAGCATGCAAATGACTAATCAAGGAAAGCTGGAATCAACAAGATATGGGTAAAAAGATGCTCCTCTGAGCCTGGCCATCATGCGGCAGGTTCTGCGCCTCTGATCACACTGAGCTGCCCACCTTCCCATGCCCTGGAGGTAAAGCTATGTAGTCCTACCCTGGTAGCATAGGCTGTGCCACTACACAATTCAGCATTTGACTTGAACAAGAATGGGATACTTTGGATACTTTTTTCTTTAAAATGGTTCCAGTCTCCCAAACACAAGTATGGTTGTATGATGCATTTTAGGAATTTATTTATCACACTGTGAATTTCCACACTGCCTTCTTCATAAGAATTCAAAATGCTTGTTCACATTTCTAAGGCATCTAATGGGGGGCAAGTATTAAAATGCCTCCATTTTACAGATAAGGTAAACTGAGCAAAGTAATTTATCCCAGGTCAGAGGCAAAGCAAGTATAAGCCCTGTTCCAATCTCACCAAGTCATACCACCTCTGCAATTCAAAATGGTCTCCTTTAATTTTCTCAGGTTACCCAAAAAAAAAAACACATTTTCATATCTTGCACAAACTAAAAAGCTCTACAGTGTTTCTATGGCAGCCTGTTTCTTTGCAAATGGGGGTCCAGTGTTAGACATCTACATTTTTAATCTTTCATTTTTATAAGCAATGCTTTGCTGAACATCTCTGATTTTCTTACGATGGAAATGATGATGCTGTGCACAGCAAACTCTTCATCAAAGCAGCAGGTCCAGTCCCATATCTCACCTGCTTTAGCCAACAGTAATTATTTCCCACTAAGCTGCCCATTTCTAGTTTACTTTTTTTAAATGCCAAAGAAAAGCCATTCTGACCCATCACATTTTATAACTTAAAGCGGTCACTATTTTTCCTATAGCGGTGTTGCTGATTCAGAGTAAGCTCAACATACTCCACACTTATTTACTGACTACCCAGCCACAGATCAGGAAAAAGCAGGTGTTCGGGGGATTTTGTCAATACACTTAACTACTGTGAATGAAAAATGAAAATTGTTTTCCTTCCTCATGGTATTCATGTTTTGGGCTGGTTTGATCCTAGAGCAAGGGGTTGAATTAGATGACCTCGTGGAGTTTTTTAGAACACTCTCAAAGACTGTCTCCATCAAAATTTTTAGTCAGTTCCCTGAAACATCTCAGGAAATGCAAACATCAGTATCATGGAGCAAATCAAACTTTGACTTAATTTGTCATTTTTAAACTAGTTAGCTGCAGAGGTACCTCAAAATGCTCTAATATTATATAAACAGTCACTTGCTTTTTATTGGAGGGTTCAGCATAGGAAAGAAATTAGAAATGGCTCAGAAGTTCTAACAAGGTGGTAAACATTCCAAATCCCTATCTAATGTGCATTAATGCCAGATGAGAATATATAGAGAGAGGCATAGGGGCAGCTAATACTCTAGGAGGCTGTGAAATGTTGACACATCCTCCTAGAAATAGGAGATACTCATCTACAAATTAATGGAAGGATGTTTCTAGAAGAACCAGATGCCTTTACCAATTTTCATTTATTGTCTGGAATTTAAACTTCTGCTTCTCTTCACAGTTTTTTTTGTTTGCCACCTTACCTTTAGCAACCAGCCATATGCTCTTTAATAAAATGGCAAAGATGTCAAGTAATGATAGCACTCAGCACCAGTATGGATACAGTGGATGGGCACTCTCACCCGTGGGAGGGGAGGGAGCACACATTGGCACAGCCTCTCTGGGAAGCACTTTGGTATTGCATCAAGAATTTGAAAACATTCATATCCTTTGAGCCTGTAATTGCACTTCTAGGAATCTATCATAAGGAAATCAGGGATGCTTATCAAAGCATTATTTATAAAAATGAAAAAATTAAAAACTTAAATGTCTAACAATTGCAGATTGGTTAGATAAATGATGATATATCCACATGATACAATATTATACAGTCATTAAAAAACATGTGTTCTCAGAATGCATATTAATAAAAATAGCAACAAGGAGAGGGCTAAAGATGTAACATCAGGTATAACACATATGTCCTCATATTCATAAATTTCAATGCATCTATTTATGTAAGCAATAAAATAAAAGAGTAGAAAACAGATACCTAAGCGTGAACAGTGGTTATTGAGGGAAGATAAAGTGAAAGGCAATTTTAATGTTTATCTTTATACTTTGTAAAAAGTATTCATTTTAAATATGAAAATTATAAAATAATTCAATAATATGTCTTTTTTAGAATATACCCAGATGTTATTAGAAGTTTTATATTATGGTATAATTTATATCATTACATAATTTATAACATAATCAGTCCAAACACACATACTTCCTCTATGAACTTCATAACTATTTAGCCACATTCAAGCCCAGAGATTACTGAAATGCTGGAACTGCTATTATGAGACTTTTAGTAGGGCACTCCCAGAACACTCCTTTAAAAGTATCTCTGTACATCAAACCCATAATAGTTACCTCAGTTTGTATAAAGTTGCCTGTAGATTCACATGAGACAAGAGTGTAACATTTGGAGCCCAGATCATTTCTTAGCATGGTCCAAGATCCTCATGGGTAGATATTTTCCTTGAAGGATTTATTTACTCACTTTACAGAGTGATAGACACCCTGGTCTCTGATCCCTCAGAACTTCTGAAGCCACTTTTCCTTTCACTGGGCTTAGGATAATTGTAGCCAAGGCTCAGTTCATTTACTCTTTTGTTTTTTTAATTTTTTTCTTCCTAATCAGTGAGAAACTGTCAATACATACATACGGGGTATCACTTAAATTTTGAAAACTAAAAATTCAAAGCAAACTGGGAGAAATATTTTGACATGTAAACTTTTTCCCAGAGACTGTTTTTCAAAAAAAAAAAATGTTTGAAATTGCTTTTTGCTAAAGGAAGCGGGGATAGTTCAGCTGCAGGTAGAAAACTTACCACTATAGGCAACCATCATTCTTATGAAGGATAACATAATTACAACTAAAATGAAGACACCGAAAGAGGTGCACAAAACAAGCCATCTTGTCAGCTGGAGATGAGGGGATCAATAAATTGTATGCTTAACATTTTCCCAATCAAATTCTTAATACAACAGGATTTATGTGGGCTTTGGAGATGCTCAGAAAAATAATATAGATTTTTCCCTACTGGAGAGTAAATAAAATTCAACTACTCATTAAAGGGTTCACTGATTGTTTGTTTGAATCTTTTCAAAGCTATGAGGAGGAAGAAAGACAGCTGAGAACAGAGAGACCAGGACTTGCATCTTTGTCCTGTTGCTTAGTAATTCTGCCACTTCAGGCAAGTGACTTAACCTCTCTGAGCCAATGGTCACTCACCTTATTTCTCAAAGGGTGTGTAAAAGCTAAGTAACCTAACACAGAGCTGGAGAAATAGTAGGCATTCAATATAGGTTTCTTTTTCACTTTAAAGTAAGCATACAAAAACAAATAAATTAGATCTGCTCACACCCCAAAACAAAAGAACCCAAATGAATAAATTGAAAGCACAGATCTTTCAGTAAACACAGCACCTCCTCTGCTTTGCACTTCCACAAAGGACAGTCTGCGTTGATGTCACAATGCTTTAATGACTCTTTTTTGTATTTTGCTCTTTTATTGAATTACACAAAAACGAAACTTGCCCTCATTCAGTATCTATCGTACTATTGAAAATAGAATCTCAAAACCATGATATGGAGCCACAGGCAGATTTCACCATGCCCATTACACACAGGCAAATGAGAATGGTGTGTGTGTGTTGGGTGTAGGAGTGTGTATGTGGTATGATTACCAGGTTAAAGGGATGACACAGACTCTCCTGAATGACTTATGGGAGCCGAATCTCACTTTAGAACCATGTGTCATTTATATGCATATTAGTTCCTTCCTTCATTCATTCATTCAACAACCTCTGCAATGCCAGTGTAGTACAGTGCACTTCATACACATACACATACACACATACACACTCGTACAAGAGCAATCCCACCATCGCCATGCTGAATTGTCTCCTTAAAGTTATCTGGAAGACTGCATGCCATACCACTCTGTAGAGATATGAGGGGAGGTCATTTGAAAGAGAGAGAAATGGAAGCTTCCAGAGTGAAAGATCTTGGGACTGACCTTTTTCTTCCTCTTTCTCCAGCTCTCAAGTTCAAAGGTTTTTCGTAGTTCAAATAACTCACTCAAAATTCAACTCTCAGACAGACCTTGCAATGGGCAGTGTTGAATATTTGGAAAGAGTACAGAGTCTGGCACTGTAGAACTTATAATCAGTCCAAACATTTTTCCTCTGTTAATTTCATAACTATTTGAGTTAGAATTCCCACAAGTTATTTAGTCAAATAACTTCAATGTCCTTAGTAGGTTGTTATGAAGATCAAAGGAGACAACATATGTAAAACGTTTAGCACAGTGCCTGGCACATAGTATTCACTAAATGTCCTTCCCAGAAGAAGCAGTAAGTAAAAATTATAGCCTGACCCTGAGCTAAATTCTTTATGTATATGATTGCACTCATTGCAAGTCTACAAGGCAGACATTATCATTATCCCCATTTTACAGAAAAGGAAACAGACTTGTTGAGTTTAATTTGCCCAAGATTCAACAAAAATGTGTTAGAGCCAGGGTGCAACCCAGGCAGGCTGGCTCCAGAGCCTAAGATGTAACTGACTACACTACATTTTTTAATCTATTAGATTAAAATACATTTAAGAAAAATTGGCACTAGTGTTTATTCTTGGGAAATGGTGGACCCAGTTTTTGTTTGGCCTCAATGGAGGTGCTCGGGCAGGCAAGTGTCCTTCATCCAGCTCCCCGCCCCTCATCCTATTCCCCTGCCCAAGAGAAGATGAGAACAAGGCGTTTGCCAGAGGCATCTTGGAGGCAGCAGCCAGTCAGAGGCTGTGTTCCGAGGGCACAGTTAAGGTGAACTCAGAGAGCACAGTCCAGAGGCACCAAGGAGCTGAGGACACATTCCGGAGACGCAAATGTGCTGCTGCAGCACAGCCACCCCGCTTGCCCAGCAAGCCTCTGGGGAGCCATGGGCACAGGTGCTGCTGTCCCACTCCCAGATTAGCATAAGTGAACTGGGGCAGGCCAGCTGGTAGAACACCCTATATCCACTGCTGCAGACTCACTGCATGTGCACGCGTGCACACACAGATACATACAAATGATTAGAAAACATATGCAGAAGAAAAACTAGACCCATCTCCCAAAAAAGGCATTTATCAAAAGGATAGCACATAGAAAAAGACAAACTAACATGATTATTTTCTTCCCTTTAGTGACTCTGTTTAAGATGATCACAATTCCCATCACTATAATGAGCCATTTCTTGGCTGGAGCACATTTATACAACTCTCACCCAAAAAAGTGCAAAATGTATCTGAAGTAGGGACCATGTATTCATTTAAACAAATTCATGACAAACACCCACTCTGTGCTGGGTATATGCCAGAAAAAGCCAATATATATGATTCCAAAAATCTGCCAAGAACCCAGAGGTTTTTCAAATAAGTAGATGATTCATATTTCATTTTTATTCAGCTATCTTTGCACTGGGTGGCCATTGTCTGAGACAGATCCCTCTGCTCCTCAATAGCCCAAGATAGACTGGTTGAATTATGTGATGCTACTGGATTAGAAAATATTTTTTAAAAAAGGAGAGGCTTGGTTTTCCATCCTCTTTCCAAAGCAACCAATGAAATGATAAATAAATATATGTGCATGTTCCCTAGGTGTCTGACAACACAAAATGCCTTGCTACCTCCATTTTTGCTTTTTTGCCAAGACCAGCAAAGGGGAGGTGACATGGGATAACACATGAAAATGGTCTTTGATTAGCTACCTTGTGAACCATATTTCCTGCCTCAGTTTCCCATCTCAGCTGATCATGAATGGATGACCCACATATATATAGCAGAGAGCACAGGAGAACAGACACTGCAGGCAAAGGGTCTCAGTTCAAACTCAGCTGCCACCTGCCACCTCTGTGACTTCAGGTTCAGGTTTGTTACTTTGTATCCTAGAGACGTGGTTTCCTCCTTCCTATGTAAAGGTAATAATAGTACCTAAAGTTGTAAAGACTAAATGACATACACATACAAAGTGCTTAGCACATTGCCTGGCACATATGAGTGCACCATACTAACATCAGCATGTGGATGGCACACGGTAGGCTTCGTAGGCTTACCCAGATAAATCGGTGTCCCTTCCCACATTTGCAAGCTCACAATCCACAACAAGAATGAGAATCTATTGCAAGTCACTCCTATTTCATAGTCATGCAGTTTTCCAGCACATTTCCACTCCAGCATCTGTCTACAGCTATGCACTGGCTTCCTCCTCTGGATGGGAAACTCCTTGAGGGCAAGAATTTTGCCCTGTAACCTTAATCTTGTTGATCTTCCACTTCCCCCAGTATGAGCCATAGTATCACGAACAGAGTAGGCACGAGATAAATGTTTGCTGGATGGGTAAATGAATAAAATGGAGAATAGGAAGTACCACCAAAGCAAGCCCTGCAAAAGTACTGTGGCTAGTCATAGGAAGGAGGGATTGTTTTTATCTGCTTATACCAAAGTAGAGGTTAGGGGAGATCAAAGAGAGGGTCATGGAGGAGGGCAACCGAAAGCTTGGCTTGGAGAATAGGCTGTACTTAGTGCGACTGACTGGGGAGGGTCATTTCAGTCTCTCGGTGGCCTAAATTCATGCTTCCTCTGCCCTCAATAGTACAATGAAGTACAGGTGCATGAATATCAGAAGACTGGGTGGGGGTACTTTTCCTTGCATTCAAACTCATTTTTTTCTGAAGTGTCCAGAGTCCTTATCACAGGGAGTTCACATCAGCTCCGTCTTTCAAAGAGATTTTTATTTTCCACCCAACCTGGTTTAGCATCATTGAGAAGGTCTTCCATATAAAATATTAATAAATAATATAGTTAGGAAGCCTCGGATTCATTCTGGGCCCTTCAGTACCCCTGAAAGAAATAGGCAAATTGGACAGAAATCAAAGAAGGGAAGCCACGAGGATTAAAGAGAACAGCAGCAGGAGCTACTTATAAGGGTTCCCGCAGCACCAGCCAGGAATAAGCAAAGCTCAGGGATGACAAAAAGAACCGAGGATCAAATACTCTCCCTGAGCAAGGGTGTAGGCACACCGATGAAGGGAAAGAATTGCTCAGGGTCACGCAAAGGGGTAGAGCAGAGCGGAATGGGATGTAATTACAGAAAGGAAAACTTGGGCTGAATATCAGGGCAACCTTCTTAAGAGCGGGCTCTATTCGAGTGCGGAATGGCTTCCCAAGGGAGGCAGTGGAAGCCCCATCGCTTGAGGTGCATAAAGCCACTGGACAAAGAGCTGAGAAAGAGAGTGTGAGGAATAATCTGCCTGGGCAGGGGGTGGGACAGGTGACCTCACGGGGCCGCACGGCTCCACACTTCAATGACACGTCAAGATGTATTTCATCAGGCACCCACTGGCGAGAGCCTGAAGCATTGTCCCCCACACCCACCCCTTGGCCATTGTGCTTTCTCAATAAACCACTCAAGAAATATTCCCATTCACTTCAAGAGCTCCTCCATGGCTCCTGGCTGCCAGTCAGAGCCATGAGAATAATGTCTCGTCGTGGACCTGGCATGTTCACACTATAAGGCAAAATGTACCTTTCTTTGAAGGAGGAATTTTCACTCCGGCTCAAGTGCCTTGGTCTTTGCTCCTGGAATCTTGATATTTTTGTTTTGGTTTTGTTCTTGTTTTGTTTGAGACCCTTTTCAATTCAAAAGAAACTCATTATCCTTACTGCCAGATCCTGAATAACCAACATAAAATTGCGATACTTTAACATAGCCTCTGAATTAATCAATCACCTCCTTTTTGCTCCCAGGGGAGAGTCCAGCATTTCTGACATGAACCCTAGTGCCTTCCAGGCCCTGACCCAGGACAGCCTGTGCAGCTTCACCTTTCACCCCCCTCCTCCCCTCCTCTGCTCCAGCATTATAAGCTATTTAGGGTTTTCCAAACAAGCTATGTTCCCTTCTCCTCCGGGAATTGTCCCAGCTGTTCCCTCTGTCCCAAACACTCTCATGCTCTTCCCATCTTTATTACTGTCTTAGTTGGCTGGGGCTGCCATAACAAAATACCATAGACTGTGTGGCTGATAAACAAAGGAAATGTATTTCTCACAGTTCTGAAGGCTGAGAAGTCCAAGATGAGGGTGCTGCAGATTCAATATCTGCTGAGGGCTCTCTTCCCAGTCTGCAGAGGGCTGCCTTCTTGCTGCAACCTCACATGGCACAAAGAACGAGAGAGAGAGCGCTCTCCTCTCTTTTCCTCTTCTTATGAAGACGGTAATGCCATCATGGCAGGGGAGGGCTATACCTTCCTAACTTTCTCTAAACCTAATTACCTCCCAAAAACCTCACCTCCTAATAATATCACATCGGGGGTTGGAGCTTTGAAATAATGAATATTGGAAAGACACAAACTTTCAGTCTATAACATTTCAAAGCTCAAAGCTCTTCTTTTTTTAGGACCTACCCTTAAATGTTAGCTTAGGGCCCCTCCAAGAGACATCTATGACATCCTGGATTTAAGTATGGAATCACTGAACATAACGTGTGCTTACTGGTCCAACTTTCCCACCAGTCTCCAGGAGAGCAAGAGCTGTGTCCATATTATTTTCTGCTGTAATTTCAAGACCTGGCACACATGTGCTTTTATGCATCTAAATAAATCAAGAGGAGCAGCACATTAAATGGAGCCCGTGGGCACTTGGTGCTACTCATTGGCCTCACATGTACCTCAGGGCTTATTATGTGCGGGACAAGGGCTGAGTCTTCTGAAAAACACAAAGATAAACTAGAAACTAACCCTCAAGGACTTATAGCCTAGACAGAGAAAAGATGCACATAGAAATAACCTGTGCTCCAAAGTACAAAGCTGAAAGTGCCAGAAGACATGGACACATGCTATGGAAATTCAGAGGCAAGATGAGTACTTCCAGCTGCCTTAGAGGGAGCTGGAAAGCCTCCTAGAAGAGGCTGGTAGTCAACGTGAAGATGATGACCAGAAAATGGGTATACCAGATCAGCAGACCAGAATAAGCAAGGGCAAGAAAATGGAAAATCTCCAGCACACCTGGCTCAAACCTGGATTTAATTGAAATTTAGTTAAAAGGGAAGCTATTTGGTATCTTGAATGTCAAGTTTGGGTTTATTATGCACACAGGGGAATGACATAATCAGACTTTGCTCTGTGGTATGATTTGGTGGAATGTGGACATCTGCACTACAATTGTAGGAAAATCTTTAGTCTGCCACTTTTTAAGCACTCAATCAGCGAATATCAGTAGTCATGGAGGATTAACCGTGTCTGCTTTCCGGGCGGGGGTGGGGGAGGCTGCGAGGTAGCTCCTACCTCAGAAATCATCTAACAAAATGTCATCATGGAAATCTGTCCTTCTTGGACCCACAGAGCCCAGGATCCCACAGAGGCGCACAACTACCAAGCTAACAAACACCATGGATTATGAAGTCTGAATATTCCAATTTGGAATTCTGAAACAGAATACACTTATACCCTCTCAAGGAATACACTTATACCCTCTTACCACTCTCCTCATTAAAGGCTTCACCCAGGGGCTTTCCTGCTCTCTTTCTAACTGCAGCACCCAGTACTTACTTACCTGGCGGGTAGCTGTAGTGCCTTGCCTCGCCCTGGTGCATTCTGGGAGAGTTTTCTTGTTCTCACTTCAATTTAGCAGAATCACCAGCTGCAGCCTTTGCTAGTAAGAGAACCACAAAGCAACTAGCCAAGGAGCTGGGTGTGATGGATCCTGCAAACTGCTTCACCTGGAAGAGGACTGAACAACTTGGAGATTGTGTGCAGGACGGTTTCTCAGTCCACACACCTGCTGAAACCAAAGGGCAGGATTTGCCCAAGAATTGGAGGTCCCACATCAGATCGCGACGAGTCCAGGGAGTAGTAATAACTGTGACAACCTCTACTACTGTGTCCAGAACTGTGGTATCCTAGGCCACTTAAATACATCCTCTTTTCTAATGTTCTGAAGGTGAAGTGATTCGTCTGATGGGAAGGATCAGTAAACAAAAGCTTAAAGAGGTAAAATAACTTCCCCAAGGCCAGACAGCTGGCAAGTGGTGAAGCTGGGATTTGAACCTAGGTTTGTCTGACTCTAGAGCCCAGGATCTTAAGCATTTTGCTGTGCTATTTGGCTGCTGTAGTTCTTGGAACGTTCTTGGAACATTCTCAGGGAGACATCAAAGACAGGAAGTTCATACAGGCCACCTTATCCAGCCTTTTACAAGGAGAGAAGATAAAACAGGCTCTTTCCACACAATTAGCCTTCTGACTGCACCCCCTTCACCCCACCGCCCCCCCCCCCCCCCCGCAGGTCAAATGGAGGATGGACTCCAATGGAAAGTGAATCCCCAACAGAGGACACTTCCTGGTGGACTATCTCTGGAATAAAACCACTCCAGATGAAAGGATGGCCTGTATATGAATTGAAACCAATTATGATTATAATCATTATCTGTGTAACATTTGGGTAGGAGACAGCTCCTGACAGCTTTTTGTGAGAAGTTATGTCTGTCTGACAGAGCAGACTTTAATTGAAAATGTCAACCACCTTGAAGATCATTAGGGCAAAGCTCTTAGCCTCAAGAAAAGACAAAACTGAAAACAATCATCTGTTGCTGACTACCACCAGCTGTATTGGGGTGGACAGAAAAAAGATGAACATATGGCACGTGGGGCTTTTCTGTAAACCATTCACGCACCTCAGGTTTGCTGTGAGTGAAAGAGACACTCATTCCAGACACACACATTTGAGGAAGAATGATAATGTGAGGGGTTAGACCCAAACAATGCAGACTGGAGACGTTGAATCAGGAACACGTACAAATACAGCAAACCTCTCAAGCATAAATTCTTGTAGCAAGAACCCAGCTTTTCAGAGGCAAAGGAACCAATACAATGGAACCATCTATAGTCAGAGCCTAATAACACTGCAAGTTTCGAAGGAAGATATTCGTTCATCCTGTCTCTGTCCTCCTCCTAAACACACTCTATAGGGGCACACGCACACACACTCATGCACACATTTATCATCAGGATTTCCACTGAATTATCCAAACTTAACTGCTTCTTCCAAGGATCCAAAGATCCTTGATCCTAGATTTTAAGATCTAGATGCTAGAACCCAAGATCTTAACCATTTTGTTATGCTATTTGGTTGCTATATATCTTGGAACAAAGCCTTGGTATAGTGGGGGTGTGATAGCACCTGCAAACTGCCTCACCTGTGTGCAGGATGCTTTCTCAGTCCACACCCCTGCTGAAACCAAAGGGCAGGATTTGCCCAAGGATTAGGGGTCCCACATCAGATGGTGATGAGTCCAAGGAGTAGTAATAACTGCAACAACCTCTACTACTGTATCCAGAACTGTGGTATCCTAGGCCACTTAAATACATCCTCTTTTCTAATGCTCTGAAGGTGAAGTGATTCGTCGGATGGGAAGGATCAGTAAACAAAAGCCTTGGTATAGTTGTGAATAGTTTCCCAGCTGATATGTCTTTAGTAGTTTTCTGAGGAAACAAAAGGCATGTGACTATTAGAGAAAGATGCATTTTATAAATATGCAATATTCTTTTCACTACAAACACTGAAAATGAGAAAGAAAGCAGTGGGTAAAAATTCAGATATTAATACATATATCATTTAGGGGATTTCTCTGACAAACTGTGCTATATAAAATAAAATATATACACAGTACTTATTTTTAATACTTTTATCTCATTGTGAAGCAGTGTCCTAAGATATCATCACATTTAGCATTGTGTCCCTGTATATATGAAACCCCTATCTGGTAATATACAAAGAACATCAAATATAATATCATTAACTAACTGTCAAGAGCCCTAGCTCTGAAATCAGACCACCTGCATTCAATCCTAGTTCTATCACTGACTCATCATGTAACCTTGGGCAAGTTACTTCAGCTATTTTAGCTTTACAAAGTTTATTTATAAATTGGGGATAATAATAGTAGCTGGAACCCCATAGGAAAAAAACATTTAGCACAGTGTTTGACACGTGGTAAGCCCTCAACAAATGAGAGTCCTTATTAATATTGTATGTTGTTTTGCTTCACTGGACATTAGAATTGGGTAAGTGGGACTGGATTACTAGTTATCATGAATTCCAAATAGAGACTTTAATTTCAAATACAAGGAAATAGGGATCCAGTGAAGGTTTTTGAAGGAGGAATGGTCTACTAAAGTGGTCTTTAAGAAAGTTCCAGCCCGTGGGGTTTAATACACTGTAAGGAGAAATGCTGGAATAGAGTGGCCATCTAGAAAGGCTCTACAATGACCCAGGGTTGGCGCCATACATCTCCAGAAGAGAATAGTAGAAATGGCAAAAGCAAGGCAAGTGTTGTTGCAAGAATGTGGTCGAAGGAGGAGGAGGGGGAAGAAGGGAGGGGAGAGGAGAGAAAGAGAAAAGATAGTAGAAGAGGGAGGGGGAAGGAGGGGAGAGGAGAGAAAGAGAAAAGATAGTAGAAGAGGGAGGGGGAAGGAGGGAAGGAGGAAGAGAGGAAGGGAGGAAGGGAGGAAAGGAGGAAGGGAGGGAGGGGGGAAGGAATGAAGGGAGGGAAGTGGGAGGGAGGGAGGGAGGGAGGGAAAGAAAGAGAAAAGACTGTTTCAGGTGACTAGAAAGACTGATCATGAGTCACAAATGAATCCAGGGCAGTCATCTGACGAATTGAATCTTCTGTCTTTCAGGAGGTCACATTAATGCAAACAGAGGCCAGAATGACACATAGGCTAGTCATCATTCTAACTAGACAGTCTTTAGGGAATCTTTAGGGCTAACTTCCAGAGTCTAAAAGTGTACTGATAACCATTCATTCACTTCATTTAGCAAGTGTTTATTGGATACACACACACACACACACACACACACACATTCCGGAGGCACTGTGCCAGGCTCTGAGGACACAAGAGAGAAAAAAGCAGTGCTCCTTTGGATCTTAAAATCTAGCAAGGTGAAAGGCTATATAATAATTACAGAAAGAAGTAATTAATTCCAGTTGTGATATATATTATACGTGGCATCCATAACTGGATCCAAATCTCCCCAGAAAAGCTTCTAAACAGAACAGGTCTCTCTTGACATATGCATACAAGACCTCTAACATAACTTCCAGAATCATTCTGGGTTCTAGAATCAGGGAGGCAAGCTGAGCAGATTTTACCTAAGAGTGTGGCAGTGCCTCTTCTAAGCAGAAGTCTGAATTCCTGGGAAAACTGTGAACCATCTCTGAAATCTCAACTGAAATGGGAAACAGAATAGTGGGGAGGGCAGGGGGCGCCAGGGACCCTGAAATGGGAAAGAAGGCATTGAAATATTCTATGCAGCACAACTGCTCCATGTTTGGGTCAATCAAGTGACTTATAATCATTTCTCTCATAATCTATAGAAAATAAGATTATGCAAAATCAGCAGTTGGAAATGCCAGACCCTCTTGTGCAGGGAAAGCTTTATCATCACACTGATTTCCACTGAGCCCGGACTGCGCCTTCCTAGACTTCCCATCAAAGCACTCCAAGCAGCCACAAGCAATTGATTTGTGTAAGCAGGAGAGACAAAACTTATTTGAAATTCATCAGTTATTCTTTACTTTTTTATTATTATACTTTAAGTTCTGGGATACATGTGCAGAACATGCAGGTTTGTTACATAGGTATACATGTGCCATGGTGGTTTGCTGCACCCATCAACCCGTCATCTACATTAGTTTCTCCTAATGCCATCCCTCCCCTTGTCCTCCACCCCCCTACAGGCCCCAGCATGTGATGTTCCCCTCCCTGTGCCCATATATTCTCATTGTTCAACTCCCAAGTATGAGTGAGAACATGCAGTGTTTGCTTTTTTGTTCCTGTGTTAGTTTGCTGAGAATGATGGTTTCCAGCTTTATCCATATCCCTGCAAAGGACATGAACTCATTCTTTTTTATGGCCACATAGTATTCCATGGTGTATATGTGCCACGTTTTCTTTATCCAGTCTATCATTGATGGGCATTTGGATTGGTTCCAAATCTTTGCTATTGTGAATAGTGCTTCAATAAACATACGTGTGCATGTGTCTTTATAGTAGAATGATTTATGATCCTTTGGGTATACACCCAGTAACGGGATTGCTGGGTCAAATTGTATTTCTGGTTCTAGATCCTTGAGGAATCACCACACTATCTTCCACAGTGGTTGAACTAATTTACATTCCCACCAACAGTGTAAAAGTGTTCCTATTTCTCCACATCCTCTCCACCATCTGTTGTTTCCTGACTTTTGAATGATCACCATTCTAACTGGCGTGAGATGGGATCTCATTGTGGTTTTGATTTGCATTTCTCTAATGACCAGCGATGATGAGCTTTTATTCATATGTTTGTTGGCCACATAAAAGTCTTCTTTAGAAAAATGACTGTTCATTTCCTTCACCCACTTTTTGATGGGGTTGTTGGTTTTTTTCTCTTGTAAATTTGTTTAAGTTCCATGTAGATTCTGGATATTAGCCCTTTGTCAGATGGATAGATTGCAAAAATTTTCTCCCATTCTGTAGGTTGCCTGTTCACTCTGATAATAGTTTATTTTGCTGTGCAGAAGCTCTTTAGTTTAATTAGATCCCATTTGTCAATGTTGGCTTTTGTTGCAATTGCCTTTAGTATTTTAGTCATGAAGTCTTTGCCCATGCCTATGTCCTAAATGGTATTGCCTAGATTTTCTTCTAGGGTTTTTATGGTTTTAGGTTTTAGGTTTAAATCTTTAATCCATCTTGAGTTAATTTTTGTATAAGATGTAAGGAAGGGGTCCAGTTTCAGTTTTCTGCATACAGCTGGACAGTTTTCCCAACGCCATTTATTAAATAGGGGATTCTTTCCCCATTACTTGTTTTTGTCAGGTTTGTCAAAGATCAGATGGTTGTAGATGTGTGGTGTTATTTCTGAGGCCTCTGTTCTGTTCCATTGGTCTATATATCTGTTTTGGTACTGGTACCATGAAATTCCGAGTTGAAAATTCTTTAAGAATGTTGAATATTGGCCCCCACTCTCTTCTGGCTTGTAGGGTTTCTGCAGAGAGATCTGCTGTTAGTCTGATGGGCTTCCCTTTGTGGGTAACCCAACCTTTCTCTCTGGCTGTCCTTAACATTTTTTCCTTCATTTCAACCTTGGTGAATCTGACAATTATGTGTCTTGGGGCTGCTCTTCTCAAGGAGTATCTTTGTGGTGTTCTCTGTATTTCCTGAATTAGAATGTTGGCCTGCCTTGCTAGGTTGGGTAAGTTCTCCTGGATGATATCCTGTATGATATTCTGGATGATTTCCAACTTGGTTCCATTCTCCCCATCACTTTCAGGTACACCAATCAGACATAGATTTGGTCTTTTCACATAGTCTCATATTTCTTGGAGGCTTTGTTCATTCCTTTTCATTCTTTTTTCTCTAATCTTGTCTTCATGCTTTATTTCATTAAGTTGATCTTCAATCTCTGATATCCTTTCTTCCACTTGATCAATTTGGCTATTGATACTTCTGTATGTTTCGGGAAGTTCTCGTGCTGTGTTTTTCAGCTCCATCAGGTCATTTATGTTCTTCTCTAAACTGGTTATTCTAGTTAGCAATTTCTCTAACCTTTTATCAAGGTTCTTAGCTTCCTTGCATTGGGTTAGAACATGCTCCTTTAGCTCAAAGGAGTTTGTTATTACCCACCTTCTGAAGCCTACTTCTGTCAATTCGTCAAACTAATTCTCCATCCTGTTTTGTTCCCTTGCTGGCGAGCAGTTGTGATCCTTTGGAGGAGAAGAGGCATCCCGGTTTTTGGCATTTTCAGCCTTTTTCACTGGTTTTTCCTCATCTTCATGGATTTATATACCTTTGGTCTTTGCTATTGGTGACCTTCAGATGGAGTTTTTGCTTGGTCGTCCTTCTTTTTGATGTTGATACTATTGCTTTCTGTTTGTTAGTTTTCCTTCTAACAGTCAGGCCCCTCTTCTGCAGGTCTGCTGGAGTTTGCTGGGGGTCCACTCCAGACCCTGTTTGCCTAGGTATCACCAGCGGAGGCTGCAGAACAGCCAAGACTGCTGCCTGTTCCTTCCTCTGGAAGCTTCATCCCAGAGGGGCACCCACCAAATGCCAGCCAGAGCTCTCCTGTATGACGTGTCTGTCGACCACTGCTGGGAGGTGTCTCTCCATCAGGAGGCATGGGGGTCAGGGACCCACTTAAGGAGTCAGTCTGTCCCTTATTAGAACTCCAATACTGTGCTGGGAGATCTGCTGCTCTCTTCAGAGCCAGCAGGCAGGAGCGTTTAAGTCTGCTGAAGCTGCACCCACAGCTGCCCCTTCACCAAGGTGCTCTGTCCCAGGGAGATGGAAGTTTTATCTATAAGCCCCTGACTGGGGCTGCTGCCTTTCTTTCAGAGGTGCCCTGCCCAGAGAGGAGGAATCTAGAGAGACGGTCTGGCTACAGCGGCTCTGTGGCACTGCAGTGAGCTCCCCCTAGCTGGAACTTCCCAGTGGCTTTGTTAACACTGTGAGGGGAAAAACATCTACTCAAGCCTCTGTAATGGCAAATGCCCCTCCCCCCACCAACCTCAAGCATCCCAGGTTGACTTCAGACTGCTGTGCTGGCAGCAAGAATTTCAGGCCAGTGGATCTTAGCTTGCTGGGCTCCATGGGGGTGGGATCCACTGAGCAAAACCACTTGGCTCCCTGGCTTCAGCCTCCTTTCCAGGGGAGTGAGCGGTTCTGTCTCACTGGCATTCCAGGCGCCACCAGGGTATGGAAAAAAAAAAAACTCCTGCAGCTAGCTCGGTGTCTACCCAAAGGGCCGCCCAGTTTTGTGCTTGAAACCCAGGGCCATTGTGGTATTGGCAACCGGGAGAATCTCCTGGTCTGTGGGTTGTGAAGAGCATGGGCAAAGCATAGTATCTGGGCCAGATAGCACCATCCCTCACAGCAGGGTCCCTCACGGCTTCCCTTGGCTAGGGGAGGGAGTTTCCTGACTGCTTGTGCTTTCCAGGTGAGGCAGCGCCCCGTCCTGCTTCTGCTCGCCCTCCCTGGGCTGCACCCACTGTCTAACCAATCCCAATGAGATGAACTGGGAATCTCAGTTGGAAATGCAGAAATCACCTGCCTTCTGCATTGGTCTCACTGGGAGCTGCAGACAGGAGCTGTTCCTATTCGGCCATCTTGCCTGGGAACTTCCTTAAGGTTTTCTCTAATCTATGCCATGACAATCTATAACTCTAGATTCAGGAGGAACACAGAGGGATAGCAGCCAACAGAAATCGTAAAGGAGAAGTAATCATGTCTGAGCAAAGCTAAATACGAAAGTAAAGAGTTGGGATGAAAATCATTTACCTCCTGTGTAGAAATGGAGGTTGAAGGAGAACAGGAGAAATGTGGAGCCCCCTTTTAAAAGTTCCCTCCCTAAATCGCTGAAGCATCCTTACTCCATTAACAACCAGCTTTTGCTTTTAAAGCACTAGTTCTCTTGGTATTTACCTCCAGCACTGCAACAGAAAAAAATTTCAGCATATACTGAAGAACTTGTAATGATCTTTTAAGACATGAATCCCCCATTCCTAGAGGGTGAGTGTGCTTCCTAAGAACTATTCTGGAAGCAAAATTGACAGACTGTCACAGGAACAGAGAGATTCCAGTTTTTCCTGCATCGGGGTGGAGGGTACGGGTGGGTGTGTCAAAACATCACTACATTCTCCCAGGTTGGAGCCCTCATTCCGTTCTTTGCTGGGGGGAGATCTGGGTTCTTCTCACACACATGCTTGTCTCTGTGATGTAGGGGAGGCCCGAGGGCAGGCCAATGGCAGCTGCTGCCCAGCCAAAGGAGAGGAAGCTAGTTTACTACAGGATATAAATAGAGTGACAGAGCCCCTCACAGAGGGATGTACACTGGAATGTTTAAAAAAAAAAACCACTGTAGCAGGGGCATTATTCAAGCATACTGTATAAGGGCCAAAATTGCTTAAAATGGCTTTCAAAAACATAAGTCTGAGATTGCTCCTTGGGTGTGTTATTTTTATCTATTCCACTGGGATTAAGCATGGCCTAGAATCCCAGCTTGAAAGGGGAGAGCCAAATTTGCACTACCTGCTATCTCTCTGTATCATCAGGACTCATCTTCAGAAATCTGGACGTGGACACCACTGACACAAAGGAAGCACAATTAAAGCCTGAGAAGAGGCCGGTCTGCGCTCTCCCAGAGCCAAATGAACCCTCCCTTGCTTTCTCCAGTCTCCAGCCCTGCTCAGCGACCCTGCCTTTGACTGACATGTGGCATTCTCGTCTTCATGGACAGAGAAGCCGAGCTCTCGATGGTTATCGACATTAGAAAATGTCATGTCTGAATACGCTTCAGCCGGACCTTCCTCCCCTACTTCATTCCCTGCCTCCCGCCCCTCAGTTTATTTTAATTATACAATGAAAACTCTCAAGTATGGAATGGCTGCCTGCTGTATCACACAAGCCCTTAATTGTACTCTGGAGTTGGATCATGGCATTTTATCACCCTGCAATGGTAAAAGGCACATTTGCAACAGGAGTAGGTCATGGAATATTTTCTGGAAATGCCAATGGATTTCAAGGCCCTTCCTTTTTTATACTAGACATTTGTGATTTTTGTCTGTGCATATAGGAGAATAGTAATTTATATCCCCTTTTATACCTTTTCCTGTTCTCCTTACAATTCTATATAATTCCCCAACTTATTCTTTACATTGATGAATATTAATGACTTGATCCATAATCACTTGTCTCTTATCAATCCACAAAAGCATTTGAGCAGATTTAATTTTCGAATTATCATAGTTTCCACATCGTGATGGCATACCCATTTATCATTCTTCTAGTTCCTTTAAAACGTTTTCATTATGGGCAAGGTGCAGTGGCTCACATCTGTAATCCCAAGCACTTTGGGAGGTAAAGATGGGAGGATTGCTTGAGGCCAGGAGTTTGAGACCAGCCTGGGCAACACAGTGAGACCCCCATCTCTACAAAAACAACTTTTTAAACTTTTTAAAATTAAAAACTAAAAAGAAAATATTTTCTTCAGGAAAAAGAACAGATCACAATAGACAAACTATGTTCAGGCTTTTTCCAAAAGAGGCCACTTCAACAAGTAAGATAATTTCCTAGAAGATAAAAAGGTGACCCACACCCAATCTAGACATGGCTGGCCAATGTGGTACTTTGGTTTAGATGTCTATATCTGCCTCTTTCAACAAATACAGGCTTTCCCATTGTATCTATTCAATAAATGTTCACCAAGTAAATCTTCTCAGTCATGAACTTCAAATGTGCGCTAAGCCATACACACCCTACCCATATTTATCCAAGAATTCCCCTGCTCTAGTTGTCTCATGTTAGATATTCATTCCCTAATTCACACTAGGATAACAAATTCTCTCCTGGTAACCACCGCTCCCTAGCTCAATCCATACTTCCAGGAAGAACTGTGTTCACACAGTTTATAAGTCATGCTCCCACAGCAGTATTTGTCACTTGACAGGTTCACGTTGTATCACTTTTAAGCAATTCCCAGTGGTGTACAGTGGTGCCTGTTCACAGATGTTTCCCTAATATTGCTAAGTAACATCAAAAGTTTCAGGCTGGCTTCCACACAGGCAGTGGGCTAAGGAGACATGGATTACCCATGCTCTTCTATTTCCTGGCCCAAAGGTCTCCAATTAACACTGATGAAATTGGCTTCTCTTGGCACTCCTGCCTACTTCCCTTAGATGTTATTCACTTCAGGACTTGGGCAGAAACAAGGTTTTATGTAACAACATCATTCATTAATCCTAAGTGAATGTACCCAAGAAAAGGTGCTCAAGGTAGGCTAAAGTCCTAGAGTCAGTAGCCGATGAAGAATAGTAACCTGTTCTTCACACTGCCATTTATTTCACAACAAAACTTCAGTCCAGGCAGAGCTTCCACTATAGCAGTCCAAAGCTTTCCATTGACTACTGCTAGAGTCCAGCCCACACAGGACCAGAAAGAAGTGGATTTGTGTGAGAAATGCTCCGCCCAGTGTCTAGCACAGAAGAGGGGCTTAATAAAACAAATTCTGAGATCTAAAAAAGAAATACAAGAAGTCTTACGAGTAAAATTGGCCCCGTTCTGAGGACCATGCAGAAAGCCAAAGAAGTACTTCCTCAGTGGCCTGGGAGACAACCTTCTTTATCTCTGACATTTTACTCTGGAAAAGGAAAAGGCTATAAATGAGTGGCGGGAACCATCTGAAATCTCATCATGACTATACCACCAGCATGTGGAGAGTGTATTTGGTGGAGTTTGTCCAAAAGTCATCCTTCCCTGTTCACTCTAACCCATAGTCACTCCTACCTCAAATCTCTATTCCAAAGTAGGAAACTTCCAGGCAGGTGAGGTATTCAAATGAAAAATGCAAGCCCGGGCTACTTAGCTCTGGCCAATTGTTGCCATGTGGGATGGCTGGCAGCCCATGTTGGTAGACCTTCTGACTTTTCAAGAGAAGATGGAAAGTCAGATTTCTATATAAATCTCCCAATTTTTCAATATTAACTCCAACTTAGAATGAAAAAAGTTCAAGCCAAGTAAAATGCATCTGACTCTGGGTTGGTCTGAACGCATGGTTTGCCACTTTGCAATCCCTGAACTCTCTAATTCATGTGGCACTAAATCATACATTACTTTTGCATTATTTCACTTTTCACTTTGCAAGCTGTGACTTCCAAATTGACTATAAACACTTTTGACCCTGACACACTTTTGGCTGGGTGGGCCTGTGATGCCATGCGTTTACTAAACAGTGGCTCTATTATATATTGCCATGTTGAACAATGGCTACAGGCAGATGTAGCATTTCCCAAATGAGAGAAGGCAATGGCAAAAGAGGGAACTTGGCGTCAACTTGAGTGAATGCCCCTCCTTCTCTACTCCATTCTTTTTTTCCTGGCAGGTGCACGTTCACAATGGTGATTTCTCATTTAATTGCTAAGTATTTCCACAGCACAGTAAAATCCATCATGAACCAGACACGGAGTATGCTAATTCCCCAATCTCTGATAATGCACAGATTCAATGGGGTCTTCTTCCCGCCAATGTGCATTCATAAATGCCATTAATAGTAATGGCAGTCAAATGCAAAATATGACTAAGTAGGCCCTAGTGCATGAAATATATTCTCAACCACAAGGACAAGCTGCCACACAGCTCACTGCCTTGTACTAAATTAGGGGCTGGTGATTCTCTGATTGGGACCAAGAGGGTGATAATGACAAATAAAAAGAAAAAAAGCCAGTCCTCTTCTCTGCTTATCCACTACGAAGAGTATCCCTGACTTACAGGTCAGAGACAATGAGGAGCTTTCAGGCTTGGAAACAGAGACAGGACACAGAAAGATGCAAACTCGCTGTCTTGCAGGGAATTAGTGAAACACAGCTAAGCCAGTTCAACACTGTGCCCTTTAGTCATCCCACCCACTAAAAGACACTGTTAAAAACCCGCCAGCTTTTATTAGCAGAAACAAATGAAGTCGACTACCGAGCACTCAGGAGTTTTTCATCCTGAAAGTCCAGGATGGCTTTGGCATAATAAAGGTCATATCTCCTAACCACGGTAATGTTCACAGAGCAACCTGAGCTCCAGGCAGGGCCAGGCCGGCCTCTCAGTATTCCCCCTGTAGAAGGTGTTGCCGATTAAACTATCACATTTCAAAGAGCTCCTTACAGTAAATAGGAAAGAAAGGAAAAAAGAGATCCAGGGCCTTTTGTTAGTCAAAAAGCTAGGGAAAGGCGATAATTAACCCATTTTTGTAGAGAAATCATTTGGACAAAAGTCAAGGGATTTACCACCCTGTCAATTGTTAAGTCTAGATAAGGACATTATATTCCACGGCACAAAGGGTGACTGAGATGGTGAATGGAAAGTAGGCCACTACTACTACTTTACCTCGCATCTGAAAAAGGACTTTTTTTTTGTCCTCCTGGTACAGTGATGGACTAAAGAATCTTCTCCCCCTTGCACTAAAAACATAACTTCAGAGCCTGGTTTTTGCATTTTGTTAAATATTCAAAGGTATTGTGCAATTAGCATGTCATTAATGAATAATTAATTACAGCTAAAGCAGCCCTCAGATT
The DNA here is from genome assembly GCF_000001405.40 of Homo sapiens. Lineage (NCBI taxonomy): Eukaryota > Metazoa > Chordata > Mammalia > Primates > Hominidae > Homo > Homo sapiens. Next base: position 158,952,593 of record NC_000005.10, read on the forward strand.
TTTGCAGCTAAATTATTTAAACAGCAAATATAACAATACAATGCAATGCTCTCATTTGGTGTTTTGTTATTGCATTATTTGAAGGGAACAGCAATATTACTTTTCATTAGTTGCAAGAATTATGTGCAACAAAAGCTGTTTTCATTTTTTTTCTTACCTAAAAGTTGCTTCGTGTGCCCTAAAAGGGAAAATTAATTCAATTCAGATTAGATTTCCTAAGAATTAATTAGCTGCAAATATCTGAAAACTGCGGCTAGGGACATAAGGCTTAGGTATCTGAACTTAAAAGAAAAAAGTAAGCCTATTTAAACCTGTCCTTTAAAACAACTTCTGCACCAAAGTACCTTTTTTTTAGATATTTGGTTACCACTTTTAAAAGAGGAAACTTGTTTAAAAATCCTTTTTTTTTTTTAAGCAAGTGAGCATTACAAAGCTCCCCCTAGTAAACAGTCAAGAGTTAAATAGAAAGTAATTTGTTGCTACTTGCAGACATACATCACTAGTAAGACATGAGTTTATATTTATAAGCTGCACATCTGGGATCAGTTGACTTATCCATCTGCTAACTACACCAGTAAACAGTATGTCTGGGACCGTCAAACCCTTGCATCCATCACAAATTCCTGCTTTAATTGTGTGTTTACGTGGCAAACCTCTGCTTAAGTATATTTGAAGACTGTTTTAAGCAGTTGTAATTGCTCCTTTCTTCTTCATATTAACTTTAACACATTTTATTTACCATTATGACAGGCCGCGATTTTGCAAGCCTCATAGATAGATAAATGCCAGAGATCATCATGCTACCCAGGAAAAGGCAGCAGAGGGACAGAAACCGGAGCTGTAACCTGTCCAGTCCGGAGAGTTTGGGCCTCTTTCACAAAATCCAATGACTTGAGTCACAAGTTCAAATCTCAGTAAGGCCAGTTTAATCCTCCACTGTCTTGAACTCAGAAAGTTGACAATCATACACTTTCTTTTTGAGAAAGGAGCAGAAGAGAGGGAAGGGAAGATTTAGGGGGAAGAGGCAAATCACAGTTTGGAAAGATAAAATGGTGCCAGGAGTTTTCCATCTTTTTCCTTAATTAATCTGCTGTGTAGGAGAGGTGCATGAAAGCTTGAGAGATTTGTAAGGGTAGAGATTTTTCAAGCCAGTGGCAGAGGGCTGGAAGTTCTCAGGAGCCCCAGAATCAAAGAGGAGTATAGCCTGTGACTTGACTTAATTTTTAACCCTGGTTTTATAATTGAGTTTCATAAGCAAGCTGAAAACACAGGCTCAGAAATGAATGAATTCAGAAGAAATAAAAGGCTACCTTCCATAATTAGGGGAAAAATATGCACCATTCTCTGCACAAAAGCGGGGATTTTACTGTATTTTTCCCAATCTGCCTTTCACATTTATATGAATAGCAAGATGTCAGATTTCACACAATGTTGTTAAACCTTTTCTCAGGTTTAGGGAACTGAAAGTCGTATGTGCCTGTGTAATATTGTGCTGATGCAAATAGTTAAACTTTTCTACACGATTAACCATCATTTTCTCAGAGTATTCTGTTCACAGCTTTCTTCCAGTTTCCTGATACATGTTGAGATCTATGCCCGTGCGGCTGATGGGGTGGCGTGGAGGTTGTAAACTGAAGACCCACCGCGAAGCTAAAGAGTCACTCTGACGCAATCTAGTTAAATGACAGTATGGCAGTAGGCCGTTTACCCAGGCCAAGGAAGCTGTGGCTTGTCAAAGACATTAAAATCCAAATGTGCCAGCAACGGTGCCAAATGTACTCTAGGCCTTGCAAACACATAATCCAGACAAACTGAATTAAATTGCAACCAGTTTATAATTAATTTGCTTTTGAAAGTTGTGCCATGAGAATAAATGTGCCAACAATTATTTGCAATGAATTGTTCTTAGGGTGCCCCCAACTTAATAATGCCTCTGTAAGCAAGAGAGGGTTTGGTATTGGTTACTTGTATTGGCATTGGCTTCTAACCTAATGAGGGGGTACGGAGAATTTAGAGACAGATTCCAGGAACCTTAACCTTTCTGTCAACCTAATGGAGTCTGTTACCAATGCGGTCAGTAGCGTGGCCCTGTGGCCTCCCTGACCTCAGATGCCAGCCTCACTCTGCCCAAGATGCTAAGATTAGAAACATATTTATCTCGCTGAGGCACTGCCTTTCTGGACACCATTTTGTAAGCACAAATATTCACGGGAAAGGTAAAAACAGTAAGAGACTAAGGCACTAATGCTTCATGTGAATTCATTTCTCATACCATTTTTCTCTAGGACTTACGGAGCCAAGCAAAGTGTGAGCCCTGAGTACATATGAACAAAAAACTAAAATAATGTAAAAAGAAGAAATAATCCTGAAACTTAACATGGAGTGTTATGTGCCAAGCATTTTTTTTCCCCACCAATCCTCAGGGGAAAAAAATTACAGAGAAGTAATTGGGCCGGGCGCAGTGGCTCACGCCTGTAATCCCAGCACTTTGGGAGGCCGAGGAGGGCGGATCACGAGGTCAGGAGTTCAAGACCAGCCTGGCCAACATGGTGAAACCCCATCTCTACTAAAAATACAAAAATCAGCCGGGAGTGGTGGCGGGCACCTGTAATCCCAGCTACTTGGGAGTCTGAGGCAAGAGAATCGCTTGAATCCGGGAGGCAGGGGTTGTAGTGAGCCGAGATTGCACCACTGCACTCCAGAATGGGCAACAAGAGCGAAACTCCATCTAAAAAAAAAAGAGAGAGAGAGAGAAGTAATTGCAGAGTAGATGTATATTAGAGGCCTCAGGACTTAGAGCTAAAAAACAGCAGACGCAGGATTCAAACTGAGGGCTAACTCAGCAGCCTGGGACCTCCACCTTCTGCTTTTCATATCAACAATGGCCATATCTCACTGCTCCTCTCTTTCCAGAGCACAGGGGCCAGAGTGAGACCTGGAATGTGACTGACTTTTAGACCAGAGCTGGACATCAAAATGAATTCCATCCCATTCTTAATTGTCACTTTGGAAGACTGCTTGAGAGCATTTGCAGCTCTTCTTGGAAATCCAGGCAGAATGTTTTGAGTTCATCTCAATATAGTAGTTCCCTTACAGGGACGCATCATTTCTGATCTAAAATGATCTTTAATCGACTGATGTTTTACACCAGCCTCGTTATCAAATTACTGCTGGCTGTTTCCGAAACTCAGATCAACCCTCAAAGAGTAGAAGTGTGCTACCATTGAGGGGAGTCACAAGAAGATGCTGCAGGTTCAGCCAGCAGCTGAAAGGAAGAGTAGCAAAGAGTTGCTTAGCAATGGCTTACCAAAGGAGGAGTACCTGCAGGCCATTGCTTTGTTTATGCAACAAATACTTATTTCTTACAGTTGTTACTTATTTGTTACAAGCTCCTGCTTGAATATGCCAGATACTGCATTAATTAAATAAATATAAATGTGTGTGTGTGTGTGTGTGTGTGTGTGTGTGTGTGTGTGTGTGTGTGTCTTTCAGATTTAGAAATTTGCCCAAGGTCACAAAGCTAATAAATGGCAAAGGCAAGATTTGAACCCATGTCAAACTCCAGCAACACACTCCAGTCCACAGTCTTGTAGTACCAAGGAGGCTTCTACTTTGGAGCGACACGGTGTGTCACAGGCTTTTCAGATCAAGTTCTATGCTGCAGTTTCCTTTCACTGAGATGCAGCCTAATGGTCTCTGAATGTTTTTCACCAGGAGGAGAATGAGAGCTGAGAGTAACTTTCCCTGAAAGGACATTTGTAACCATTAAAAGAAAGAGAACTCAAAAAGAAGTTCAAGAGGGTTTTCAAAACTGGACTTTTAACTGGAAGCTTAATTGCAGGATGTACCTTAGAATGCACGCACACATAGACACACACACACACACGCACACACACACACGCACGCACACTTTCAGATATTCCTTCTAAAATAGCTCTTGACAATTTGTTTCAAATCATGAAATCACGACCTTAAGGTCTTCCAAGTTATCTTCAACCATCCAAACAATTAATTCTTTGAGAAAGACATACTTACTAAAAGAAAAAAGAAGTTGAAAATATTGAAAATATTATAGAAAGGTTCCAATGGAATTAACCAGAAGAGAAGGTTCTAGATGTTAAGCATGTACTACCACTCCCACTACCTCTGCCACCAACACTTCTTTTTTTTTTTTTTTTTTTTTTGAGATGGAGTCTCGCTCTGTCGCCCAGGCTGGAGTGCAGTGGCGCGATCTGGGCTCACTGCAAACTCCACCTCCCGGGTTCACACCATTCTCCTGCCTCAGCCTCCGGAGTAGCTGGGACTACAGGCGCCTGCCACCACGCCCAGCTAATTTTTTGTATTTTTAGTAGAGACCGGGTTTCACCGTGTTAGCCAAGATGGTCTCGATCTCCTGACCCTGTGATCCACCTGTCTAGGCCTCCCAAAGTGCTGGGATTACAGGCGTGAGCCACACTTCTAATGAAAAATGCTAGCAGCTCCCAATTACTAAGAACTCTGTGCCAAGCTCTCTGCTGAGTGCTTTCTATACATTATACCATTCACTCTTCACAAGCGCCCTGTGAGATAGACATTATTATCCCCATTTTACAGATGAGAAAACTGAGGCTTCATAAATTTAAACATTACTTGAACAGCCAATAAAATTATAGATATTTACCAGACTTTTCTGTAAGGTATTATTAATACAATGGTAAGCACTGTCATGGATGCAAGAAAATACTGGAATTTAAATGACAAAGATTAAGTCACATAAGAAATGAAAATTGATGAGGCAGGTCTAAGCAGGAAGTCCCAAGAGGGCAGGAACCAAATCTGTTTTGTTGCAAATTAGGTCTGGCATAATATCTGGCCTATAGGAGATGCTGAATCAACAGTTGTAGCTAAATGTAGAAAACAATACGTAGCAAGTGAGTATATTAGAACTCTCTGAACATTTTATCTCCAGAGCACTTGGTTAATCAAGGTTCAAGAAAAAAATGGTCCCAACTCTGCCACTACCATTTCAAAGCTCCTTGACCCAGGGTGTTTCAGGTAAGCCATAGTTCCATGGCATGTGCCTCTTCTTTTTATTTGGGTCTGGCACCAGAGGCTGAATCAGAAAATCTCCATTTCCCTTTGTCCCTATTCTGCCATGGACGCTTCCTCTGCCAAACATTTCATAGTTCCTTTATGGCCGCATGATATTTTTCAAGGGAAATGATTGGCAAACAGCCAATACCCCTAATGCAGAAAAGATGCCAACATCACTCCCAGGTTTAAATACCTTCAAGGAGACCCTCAACTGAAGTGGTCCTTACAACCAATCTGACTTTTTTTCACTCTCTTTTTGTGGGAATATCTTTTACACGAGGCTTAGAGGGAAAAAGGAAAAAATAATAATAAGAAAACGTAAAGAAAAAGAAAACCTGCCTGAAATGAAAAATTCCAATCTTGCCTCTGTAAAAATCCTTCAAGCCCAGTCAGCTGCCCCTCCCCCTTGATCCAAGCCTCTGTGTTTCCCGGCAAAGAGGTTAGAAAGCTGTTGAAAAACATTCTCCTGCTGAATTGAGACTGACATCTGACAGAGCTCGGTGGTGTCCTAACTTGAGTGAATTTAAATGACAAGCTTGGCTTTATAAGTAAGGGATCCTCTTTTACAATAGAACAGCATGATTGCTTCATGGCAGAGGGGGAAAAGAGGGAGAATCAAAGTTTTCTTCAAATCCCCAGTGGTGCCATTGACCTGTCAGAAGGTTGTGACCCACTCCTGTTAATCCATGCAAATCAGATGCCTCCAATTTGCGGTGCTGATTGGAGTACCACACCTTTAAATTCAGGAAGCGGCCTTAGAGTGAGGTTCCGATCACAGAGTTCAGTTCACCTCTCATTTTTTTCTTCTTCAAAAACATGATGACAGCTGACTTCCTTCCCGCCCTGCCCTTACTCAGTCAGGGAAGACTGTCTGATGGTTTCCTGATTAGCATCAAGGCAAAAGCAGCATGTTTTTCATAGGCTATCGCTATTACCTAAATTATAGGCCTGTTGCTCTCAGCATTTTCCCCCCACAGACAGGTTAATATACACATCCCACTGGTATTATTGCTTTGCGAAGTCACCCAGTCATTTTTATGACATAGAGGGGAGAAGGCCTGGAATTCCCCGGAAGAGGCTTCAGATCCAGATGAGAGACTCTTACACAACCAGAAACGCCGTTTTCTAACCATCCCATTCAAAACTTAACAACACTTCCCACGTTCAATGCCATGTGCCGTGCATATTTTAAACCATGGGTAATTTCAAGCAGAAACATTCAGAAAAAGAAAATGAAAAGGCTGGTATTTTGGATATCAGGAATATGTGATTGCCCACACGATTCGCACATTACTCAAGTTGTCCCCAAGTCATCTTGAACTGGCTACTTAAACAATGTAAGTGACCAGAATTTTTGTGCATCATATCAAGGTAATTCAAAATTCTAGTGAGAGGAGGGATTATTTAAAGGACTTCAGTGAATTTGCATTTTCCAAAGCTTGGAAAATAACTTTCTTAAAGAACCCCTGAACCATTAACATATCTGAGGAATAAATAATTGTAATAACCATTTGCCCATATTTTAGAAAATATACTATTCCTAACACCAAAAAAAGATGCCAAACATAAAACAAATCGAAATAAACTAAAACAAAAATATAAAGAAAAACTCTAGCTCTACTTAAGAATTTTTTTTTTTTTTTTGAGACGGAGTCTTACTCTGTCACCCTAGTTGGAGTGCAGTGGCTTGATCTCAGCTCACTGCAACCTCTGTCTCCAGCGTTCAAGAGATTCTTCTGCCTCAGCCTCCTGAGTAGCTGGGATTACAGGAGTGTGCCACCACACCTGGAAGATTTTTGTATTTTTAGTAGAGATGGGGTTTCACCATGTTGACCAAGCTTGTCTGAATCTCCTGACCTCAGGCAATCTGTCTGCCTCGGCCTCCCAAAGTGCTGGGATTACCGGCCTGAGCCACCAGGCCTGTTCAAGAATTTTAAAGACATAAATAATATATAATTCTTTCAAAATAGGAAGACTTTTAAGACAAAAGAATATATATGTATGTATATATATATATACTTTCAAGATAGAAAGACTCAATTTAGTAGAGATGTCAACTTCCCTAGTCTTTAATACATTACTCAACTTTCTAAAGACATTATTTTAACCAAAAATATGATTCATTCATATACAAGAATAAATAAGCAATAATAGTCATGAAAATGGGGGATGATTATATAATTAAAACACATTATACAGCCATAGCAATTAAAATCATGCAGTAAGAGAATCAAACTAGATCGACCAATCAATGGAACAGAACAGAAAGCCATGTGCCTATATATCCCTAGTTAGGGTGGCTATTCAAAATAGCAGAATTGACACCTACATTGTCCCTGGAGCTCCAGTCTGGAAGACATAATACCACACTCACTCCTTTAAATGCACCAGAGAAGCCCCTTTAAATTGATAGAGAAGGGTCTGAACTGAGGGGGAAGGAAAGGAGGGGACACTTAGAGCAGCAGATATTTACCAATCAGCATGGAAGCATTTTAAGATTTTAATAAGGGCTATAGTCATATTGTAAGTATCAGTGGAATATCTACCCTATATTTACTGATAATAAATGAGGCATTCTAAATCATTAAGAGAAAGTGAGCTTATTCAAAAATTGCCACTTAAATAAATGTTATTCAGAAAAAAATTGCTGTATCTAATTTATTTCTAAAAATAAATTATAGAAACACTAAAGAGGTTACATGTAAAAAGTGAAATCAACAAAGAACTAAAAGAAAATATAGGTGAAGATTTATCTGACCCTAGAGTAAAGAAGACATTGTTAAGCACAAAGCAAAAGAAAGACTCTAAAACTGGAAATGATTAATAGACTTAAGTATATTAAAATTGTACATCTCTGTAAAAAAAAATTTAAATTGAAGGGCAAACTGGAGGAAAATGTTTGAAAAATGTTTTTAAAAAATAGGTTCTCTAATGGTTTTTAAATATATCCACAAATTCTTCAAGAGGTGGAACTTCGTTTCTCTCTCCTGAATGTGGGCTAGAGTTAGTGACTTGCTCTTAACAAATAGAAGAAGACAAAAAGTGCAATGTGTGACTTCCAAGACTAGGTCAAAAAGGCCTGTCAGTTTCCTGTTTGCTCTCTGTAGGCTCACTCAGTGTGGGAGAAGCTGGCTGCCATGTCATCAGGATACCCAATCAGCCCCGGAAAGGCCTTGTATCAAGAAACTGAGGCCTCAGGCCAATAGCCCTGTGAACGAACTACCTTGGAAACAGATCTCCCAGCCCCGGTCGAGCCTTCAGATTGCTACATCTGACCTGAAATTCTTGTGAGACAATAAATGTTTATTTTTTGAAACCTAAATAAAAGCCCATAAGGGAAAAAAATAAGGGAGAAAATGAATAGGCAATTCACCAAAATATGCATATAAATGGCCAAAAACACAAAGAAAAATATTCGAGCTCAGTATTCAACCTCAGCAATAATCACAAAATATAAATACTATATTTCAGTTTACCAAGTTGGTACAAGTTTCTAAATGAGGTCCTTTGAGGACGCCAGTGAACTGCACTGTCTTAACACATAGTGAAAGTGTAAACAGTATAACCTTTTTGGAGGGCAATTTAGCCACATATATCAGAAGGCTTAAAAATGATCATCTCCTTCAATTCAAAGATTACACTTTGAGGAATTAAGCTTAAAGGAAAAAAAAATCATATTCAACCCAAAGATACACAAGGTGGCTCATTGCTGATTTTAACAATTGCAAAAAATTGAAAACTGACTACAGACTCTACAACAGAGTAAATAACTTATAGCCATAGGATGTAACGCTGTGCAACTATGTGTTTAAAAAATTATGAGATACACTATAATATTCACAATAAAAGAAAAAAGCAAGTCACAAAACAGCATAATCCAATTTTGTAAATACACAGTTCTGATATATACAGAGAAAATATTCTGAAAAAAATACAGATGTTAAAAAGATGATTTTTCCAAATTTTTGGATAAAAGATAATTTTTTCTTTCCAGTCTGTATTCTTTTAAATTCTCTACAGAGAATGTAAGTTACTCTTTTAATTTATTTTCTAAAAAATAAAAATCATTTTAGGAACAAGAGATAAATTATGTGCTTACCACCTACCACTAAGTAAAACTCCGACCAGTGGAGGTCATTTCTATTTTCTCAATAATTATTTCTTTATCTAAGCTTCTGAGGGAAAGAGAGCGAATTTTTTTAGGAAGAGAGAAAAATGAAATTTTGAAATCCTAGAAAGTCTTATTCCAGATGAAACAGGGAAAGCTTGATACTTTTTGTATAAACCTGAGTGGTTAGTGGCACAAATGCATCAACCCCATTTGTTTACACCTTGCATCTGTGCCGATGCACAGGCCGATCAACCATCTTTCCATACAAACGCTGAAGGTTACCAATTGTCACAGATTTGGACTGCTATCGATGGCAGCACAGGACTGTGTTTAAGTGATCTGATAAAGCCGGTGGCAGCTTGAGGGGCGGTATGCTTCCAAAATACGTAAACAACATTGTCAACAACTAGCCCATCCCATAAATGTAGCCCCCTTCTCAGATGTTTTGAAAATAAAATAGGCATCTCTTGCTTACCTTCCTGTAGGCCCCAAACAAAACAAACAATCACATTAAACTCAGAGCTTCCAATTCAAAAGCCTTGGAAACCAAGCCAATAACATAATGAAGTGAAGCTGCCAAGAGGCTGGGGACCGAGGCAAGCAGAGGACCATATACCCCATCTACAAGGCAACAACACCACAATGGCCAAACGAAACGCTTCCCCAAGCTCAATATGATCACAGTTGCCAGTTTGCAACTTTGACTCTGCACACTCCCTAGGAAGAGTTTCTAGAATCATGAAGTTTCTCAGTGCTATAAACCAGAGTGTCATTATAGAAAGCTTTGTTTTATCAGAGTACAACTTCTTATGTTCTATTCACTTTCCTCAGTTAACTAGCATTGCTTTCTGTACTGGGCTTATAAGAGAATGAAAGTAAATACTTTTTAAAGCCTACAAAGCCCATATAGGTACTTACAGTTCAGGGTGAAGAACAGTATATTAGAAGTCTGAGAGCAAGGTATAAATCTCGCCTGCGGGACTAAAAAGGTATAGGACTTCGAGCCATCTCTGCAGCCTCCCTTTCCACTTCTTTAAGGATGGGGTTTTATCAGATCGTGGGTAAGTTTCATACTGACTCAAAAGGCCCACAATTCTAAAATTTAGGAAAACAACTCAGTGACACCCCAGAGTGAGTTCACATCTAGCCCAACCTCCTGTACCTCCTATAACACTGCCCTATAGACAGACCACTATTTACCAAAAAAGATGATGAAATCCTTTTCCACCAGCAAAGCTGAAAAAGCATAACAGATCACTCCATTTCCCTGGCATTCTGGCCAGTCAAGGTTTTACTACAATCACGTATCTCCTTAACTTCTTCGGTGGCTTATAGCTTATATTTTCACTTACAGACTGTGGAGGTCCAGGAATGAATGATATTCACTAAAGAATACTATCCTCAAATGTCTGTTCCACCACTAGCCAATTATGGTATCCCACCAGATCTGAATTTCTAAAGAAAGGTTCTCTACACACTAGAGTCTTAAAAATGTTCAGAGGTTTACCACAAAAAAAACAAACATTTTCCAACAGATTTGCAATGATACTTTGCTATTAACTTTTACGGAATGACAGTACAGGTTCTTTGAAGGTTTCATCTCCTACATTGGATGACAGTAAGAACATCTTCAGAACTGACCCCTACGACATGCCACAATTCAAGCTTAGAGAATACTCCGAAGTCCATGACAAAGGCTTCTCCCTCCAACTGAAAAAACAACTTTCCTACCTCTTCTACCAGTTATAGGCCTCTGCCTACACACAAAACATATCACAAAGCATGCAATGTAGAATCACAAATAGAACGACCCCAGGGATCCTGTGCTTTTAAAGGTGCTACTAGGGAAGCTGGTGGTCACCTGATCCCCTTTGTAACTTGGGTAGGAAAAAAACAAAGATATTAAATCGAAACATTTAAACATGACATAAAAAGGCACCCATCCAGCTATTAATGAATGGCAGTATATAATGGAATATCTAACGAAAGAGTGTTGGAACATTTTCTCTGCACAATTTCTAGTGTAAATTCTTGTTGAGGTTTATTGCTTTGTTTCCTTCCTCCCACATTTATTGATTTCATTCTTGGAATCAGACATAGTACTTGGAAACAAAAATAGGAAGACAATAATATCCTGCACCCTGCCCTCAAGGAGCTCGCTGCTGGGGATGGGGGGAGTTACATGGTAAACTGTTACCAGGCAGTGTGAAAAATGCTATGACGGAGAAAGAGTGCACACTTGTACCCTAAGTTGATGGGTCCAAGAAGGCCCCTTTGAGAAGTTAATGCTGAATTTAATCCTAAGGATAAGTCAGACACAGCAAGATGAAAGCTGAGGCAAGGAGAAAGCTAAGAAGAGTATACCAGTTATAGGGGAAAACAGGTGCAAAGACAAAAGCAAGCTCAGAGTTCACGGTGAGTGTGCATCAGTGCAAAGTGGTCCAATGTAAGGAGGGGAGTAGCAAGAAATGAAGCCAGGAAGGACACTGTACATAACTCTTAAAAGCTTGCACTTTCATCTCTGGGACAATGAGGAGCCAGGCTGTCCAAGTGGGAGCCACTTTAAAGCAGAAGAGTGATGTCAGAAGCATCAGAAAGATCATTCTAGCTGCCGTGTAGACAGCAAACCGAGTAGGGTTAAGACTGGAGGCCAGGAGATAGCTAAGAAGTTACTCTAGTAATCTGGATGAGAGATAATGGTGAATTCAACTCAGTCAGACAAGCAGAATAAAATGGAAAGGAGAGAACAAACATGGGAGCTGGTTAGAAGGACCCACAGGTATGGAGAAGCTCGAATTGATAATGACAGTCTGTTAGGGTCTCTGTAAGCACAGTATTCTCTACCTAAGGCTTCCCCAATCCCAGAAATATTATATGATCACCAAAGCCCAGGGAAATTCTCTGAGCTGAGCTTGGAAGGACCCAAAACACCAATATGTAATCCTTTGAGTTCCTTAAACAGGTAGAGGCCCACGTATAACCAAGTGCTCTAATTTTCATTTCTCTTGGTACAGTGTTTACTCCAGAGGAGCAACTTTCCATTTTTTACTTGACACATGATCTGACATCTGCCTACAAGTAAAAAAATAATATGAATTTTCAAGTAGTGGAAATGCAACAAATCATCAAGATGTGTAAGAATATATTTCACATTTGTCAAACAGATCTGACTTCAGTAAACAGAGATAGCTTAACATGTGATGCGTCAAACAAATAATCCAACGTGTTGAGATATTTGGTAACCAGACTAGAGATATCGTGTTGTTTGTTGAAAATGGCCCTGAACTATGAGTCAAAAACTTTACTTTTTAGCTCTGGTTGTCACTAACTCGTTATGTAAGTTTTGTGCTCCCTTGCCTGGGAATAAGGGAGATAGAATAAAAGAGCTTCAAGGTTCTTTTCAACCCAGATTCTAGGATCCACCTCCATATTATACGGTGGTTTTCTAACTGTGTGGCCACAGGATCCATGTGGCATAAAAGCTCTTAGGTGGAGATTCAAATCTCCCATCCCCTTTGCTTTGAGCAGTCCCCTTACATCTTTTATACATATTGTTTGTTTAAAGAAAGGTTATTTGGGAAAAAAAATGCTTGCAAACTTGTGCTCAGTGGATTTGCCTATTTTCTGAAAGATCCCAATTGTACTTTCATTCCTAGGAAGATTAATATCATGCAGAAGTTTAAGCTTTAACAGAGAGTAGAGACTGCTCTGCAGCTTTGGATCTTTGCAATTGTTTTTGAAAATCCATACAGTTAAATCACGGTGATTCACTTATGCAAATTCTGCATTTATCCCAACCTCTAAGCCTTCTGTGGCATTTGAGTTTATAACAGCTTTTGTAAATGTTGATTTAAGATTTGGGATTAAAGAAGGAACACACCACCTGTCTTAAAGTTGACATAAATGTTATAAAATGGGATGCTACACTTTTTCTAATCCTTGTCTCTAACCAGACCCATATGTAAATTTCACATAGTAGTATTTAGTAGCATAATTAATCCCTACTTTATGTTATGAGTAATATTTCCTATTCCCGACCCTGTAACGTCCTTTAAGAAGATCCATGTTCCAATTAGACTAGCCCATCGGCACTCTTTTAATGAGCAGATTAATCATTCAGATGGGTACAACGGTGTCATCACAGGTTTTAAATATGATAATCTACATCCTAATGGTGCTGCAAAACCTTGGCTTAGAGCAAAAAAGGTAGACAAAATTGGTGAGGGTTTCATTTTGTTCTCTATCTGGGACAAGGTAGAACACAGGAAACCTTGAGTAAGGCAGAGGATCTGATTTGGGAAAGTAATCTTAATTCAGTTACACCAATTATTTCTAGAAGAAGTAACATTGGTTGCTTCCCTAAAACACACACTGGTATTTGTGACTCTTGGGAAAATGTTTTATATTTTCTTGTCCAAAGAGCTTTTCTTTTAGAACTTCACACCCAACTTTCCCTTCTAAGAAAGAGTATAGAAAGGGAACTTCCAAGTAACAGCGGTTTTAAAATAAAGTTAATTTTGATTAAGCCTGACCCATATTGACCAAAAGGTTCTGCCACACAGGTATGGAAGGAGAAAAAGAAAAAGTCCTTCCAATTTGATGATCACTTTTTCACATAGGGTTATAAAAAGCTATTTATTTTTCTATGCCTTCATTTCCCCTCTCTACAAAAGCAGCATTACAGTCAAATCTCAGACAGCATCAATTCTCTGGGCAATAGATGGCAAAACCACTGAAAAATAGGCTCACAGAGAGAAATATCAATAAACTGGAATTGGCGATAAATGATTCACCCCGACAAAAAGTACACTCTTAGAAGGCAATTAATAGACCCAAGAAACTCAAACCAAACACATATTCTTTTTCCTGTACCTCCTAGGGCTTTATCGTAACTACCCTGAAAGCAAGTTCCTTTTTGAATTCTTACACTGCTATCCAGCTTCCCCCATCTCAGTTAAACTTGTCCCCCCGAAAGACAGCCACCTGGCTTGGTACTGAAAACCAGGTCCAAATCACCTTTTTAGACAAGCAAGTCCTGATTATATTTTTAATACAAATAGCTGAAGGCCAATTCATCTGTATCTACAGCCAAGGGTTAGCTGCCAAGAAATCTCCAAAGAGAACATAGGCTTACTTAAGCAGATAGTGAAGGATAGTAATTTAGGGCAGATGTCAAGTATATGATAAAGGAACATAATGGGATGGTGCTGTTAATATGCTCAGGGTAACCCCAGGTTCATCAGAGGCATCTGTAATAACAACCCAAGTTTCTGGATCTACACAGATAAAAAAACCTTTTCAGGAAATAAGAGATTTGGGGGAATGTACTTATAAGGGGGGTGGGGAAGGCTGCTCCATAGTGATAACTTCATCCCTTCCATTTAACAAATGCACAGGGAGCTCCCAGGAGTGCTGGGCACTGTACATGCAGTAGTGCAGGAGAGATACAAATCCCCCTCAGATGATTTCATACAGCTCTGTTTCTGTTTTGAATTATAAGGTGAAAAATATTCTTATTTTGGAAAGGCTAAACTAAAATACAAGTTTCATTCTGGAATTATGGACCAGAATCAATATGTATCTTTACCGTAAAATGGAGCCCTTTTCTATGGAACACAAAAGACGTCTTTATTACCATCAAGATGCTTGTTGTAGGATAAAGTTTCTCTTTAGTGCTACTCCCATACCCACCTTCCAGCCTTTCAATGCTTTCCCTATCAAAACTGGCTCTTGAGATAATCTAAAACTCATCCATATACGTATCGAGTATATGTTTGGAAGAGGGCAGAGAGTTATGTAGTTGCTCAGAAGCCAAAGAATCAATATGGTAGGATTTCAGACAGCAGCAGGATTACGAAGAAAATTTTAGAGAGGGAAAGAACTGCGTGAGGTGGTTTTGGGGAATGGGGAAGTGGGGAGGGATTTCCTGTTTCAATATTCTAGATTTATCACTTTGGAAGTTTCTTTAAGGCACATGTTAGCCCTGCTTCTGAACACCCATGAAGTCACCACTGTGAGTAAACATGAATTCAACTAGTTTCCCCCTAGGGCAATGATTCAGCCAAAACTACAAAAGGGCTGAAATTTCCCAAACTCAGAAATTTCAAAAAGTTGTGAATGAATTACACATAGATGCTATTGAGAACAATGGCTTAGTATCTGTCCACAGGAAACATTTTGTAAATCTAGAAGACCTGTCTTGAAATGTGGGTTAAAATATGCAACTCAAACATGCTTGTCTCCAGTAGGTTTAACTCATTCCCGTTAAGTACCACATCATGGAAAAACACATGTCAACAACTACAAATAATTGCAAAAAAAAATTATAAATTAGTTCTAGATGTCTAAGTCAGTGCGATTCATTTAATGCTTCCACTGAGATCCCAGTCCAAGAAGAGTTAATCAAGCATAGCGGCTTCCTAATCAGAACAGTGAACTAATGATCCTATTTCTGAGTAATACCAGTCAGATAAAGCTCTCAAAAGGTAGTTAACATCACTTTGGTGGAAAGGAATGACAAGTGCAAGTCCTGGTAGGGGTAATGCATCATTCATGCCCCCTCTCATTCTGACATTTTAACGTTATCTTGTTTTACTGTGTCGGCCTAACACTGCCACTGCCGGCAAATTAAACTGTGAACTTACAAAGTGGGTGGCAATAAATACAAATTATGAGAGTTCAAAAGATGTCCCTGGAGGTGCACTGCTAGACACAGAATGTCTCTTGTTTTTCTGTCACATAGCAATAGATGAGAGACAAAGTGGAACAGGCATTTTTGGAGACAGGAAAAAAGAGAAAGAATTAACTTGCTGCTGATGAAATATCAGATAAAAATGAAGACAAAACACATACTTAAAAAATTGATTTGGGAAGAACATACCACTGAAAAAGAGAAGGGGCCTCAAAATGCTGTGTAAACATCAAAGGACTTATGATCAACTTGTCTTTTATGAAAACAACTTCAAAAATCATTTTTGAAATTGAACAGGGTATTTGTAAATTATCAACACTAATAGCTATGTATTCCAAGTAAAATTTACAATGAGAAAATATGCATTGATGCCACAAAAATCTTGTTCCTTGTATAAAGTTGTGAAATGACATCTGAAGTCCCTAGCACCCCTCCCAGCCCAGAAAAAGTAAGAAAAAAAGAAAGGAAATTTGCTTCTTGTAAGTAATTCTGGATGTACCAACCTAGCCTGGATACCACTGAAAATACAAATATCAAGAGTTTCTCAGGATTGGCTGAGCACGGTTGCTCACGCCTGTAATCCCAGAACTTTGGGAGGTTGAGGCAGGCAGATCACTTGAGGTCAGGAGTTCGAGACCAGCCTGGACAACATGGTAAAACCCCATCTCTACTAAACATACAAAAATTAGCCCAGCATGGTGGTGTGCACCTGTAATCTCAGCTACACAGGAGGTTGAGGCATGAGACTCACTTGAACCTGGGGGGCAGAGGTTTCAGTAAGCCAAAATTGCACCACTGTGCTCCAGCCTTGGGCAACAGAGCAAGACTCGGTCCCCCCAACCCAAAAGAAGTGCTCCTCAGGAAGCATTTGTAGGCTAAGAAAAGAGACTTTCAGGAATCTTAATTTCTGCAGCAATCCCATGTGCCTTCCTGGTCACAGCATCCTCAAGGGTCAATGGGCAAAGTCAAGGAGAAAAGAATAAAAATTAAAATGTCCCTAGAAAGACTGCTAGGGGCCGGGGGCTGTGGCTCATGCCTATAATCCCAGCACTCTGGGAGGCCGAGGCAGGAGGATCACTTGAGCCCAGGAGTTTGAGATCAGCCTAGGCAACATGGTGAAACCCCATCTCTACAAAAAAAAAAAAAAAAAAGCAAAAATTAGTTGAACATGGTGGCAGGCACCTGTAGTCCCAGCTACTCCAGTGGCTGAGGTGGGAGGATCACTTGAGCCCTGGAGGTTAAGCCTGCAGTGAGCTGTAATCGTGCCACTGCATTCGAGCTTGGGTGATAGAGTGAGACTCTGGAAAGAAAGAAAGAGAAAAAGAAGAAAGAGAGAGAGAGAAAGAAAGGAAAGAAAGACAGAAAAGAAAGAAAGAGAAAGAAAGAAAGAAAGAAAGAAAGAAAGAAAGAAAGAAAGAAAGAAAGAAAGAAAGAAAGAAAGAAAGAAAGAAAAAAAAAAAAAAGGCTGCTGGAAGTTTTGCAAACTTCAAATGCCTACAATGAAAATTGGAAACACACCCCAAACAAAAGAAATCTGCCCCTTTTTAGGCACATGAAAAATGACAAACCTAACCCGTACTACAGCCAGGGATCAGATTTTTTAATATCACCTAACACTGAGACTTTTTTTGCTCTCAATTTGGTCAAGTTCCACTAATGAATCTTATAAAATATTTTATCTGCCTATTCCATGCCCACAAACCACTCACAGGAGACTTGGAAATCATCATTTCTTCCAGAGTGCAGATATCAGTTGGGCCATATGCAACAACGGTCTGTTTATTTTTCCCATAAACCACCGGTTTCATAGAAACTCATTAGCATCACCTGTGTTAATTACACTAGCAAACCAATCAACAGCTCCTTCTTAATTAGGTTTTCTTTATTAAAGCCGGAAATTGCCAAGGAGACAAAAGTCACCTGGGGAAATCATGTGAAAAGGAGTGTTTATGCCAAATTACACACTAAAATAATAATAAAATAACCCAGTTTGTTTACAGGAAAAGGAAACAATATTAATATTCAAGGTCACTGGCACACTCCTTATTAATTATTCTCATTATATTACATTGTGATCATTTCTGCTTCAAGAGGGTTGGCTTATAGAAAGCCTTTGTACTCAAAGTTGACTCACATCAGATTTTAATGGCTGCGGTCAGCGATTATGACTTTCTTATTCCATAAACACAAGCACCTACGGGTTAAAGCAGTTAAGACTAATTTCATGAGCTCATGTCCCAACTGTAACTCAAAATCCTGTATGTCTGTTAGTAAACCTAGAAAGGCATATAAAAATCTACTATAAAAGGAAAAGATACACATGTGACTCTTGGAATTTGTAATTCTCCTAAAAGAGAAAGGAAAAAAGACTTCCAACCATATTCCTCTCACTTCCAAGTGCCTTTCAGCTGTAGGGAGGAGGAGTCATAGCACTGAGACCACAAAAGTAGCTTTTAGAAGGAGATTCTTTCTCCAAGTTTAGCCTTACAGGGAGGTTCCCCTGGGACATTTAAACCAAGACTGGTCAAAGCACTAGAAAGTAGATTGCAGGAGCTTCTGGTAGCATGGAGGTGAAGAGGGAGGGGCAATACCGGGTAACCTATTAGGCCTTTTCATCTTCAATTTACTATAATGCTAAGTACATTTATCATGGACTCAAAATCTATCTTCGGAATAATGAAATCTGGGCACGCCCATCTGTAAAGTGGGGATAACAATGCTTAACCTGATTCTTGCAAGAAGAATGAGTTCATATTTAGAAAGCACGTGGATGATGAAAGTCACAGAGCGAGCGAGCATTGATCTGATTTCCATGGGTCTCGGAAAATAGCCTGTCCAGGGAGGCCCATGAATTCCGGCACTGTGTGGCCAGCCCAGTGAGTGATGGTAAAAAGTCAACTAGACTTGGAAGCTGGACCTTGAAGAAAAGCAAATGGGGACTTTAAACAGGCAAACATAAACGAAATAACTTCCCGGCATCAAGGCCCTGGACCCAGCAGTACAGGCTGTCAGGGGACTGCCTTCTTGGAGTCGTGGTTGCTTTTGCTTCGGTTGCAGGACACCTCCCGCCCAGGTCAAGGCTGAAGAGGTTCCATGACTTTTCACTAAAAATCAGAGTGTTTGCCCCAAGATACTGAGAACCTCTGTTTTCTAGAATAAATGCCATAGGAGGAAATTGTCAAGGAGATGACCAAAAGACCACAGGAAAAACATCACAAGCAGTCCCAAAGCATGAAGAGGTCTAAATATAAGAAGATTTTTACTGTGGCCTCTAAAAAGCCCACAGAACCAACACGCCCATCCAGCACTGTCTTCAAGAGCTAAGCCTAGGGAGTGCTCTCCCTCACCTCCACCCTGGAAAAGTGCCGAGGACCTAAAGTCCATAACATTGAAATTGCTTCTTAGTGTTCAGAGATTAATATTAAAGATTCATACCAAAGACTATAGCCCTAATGCTAGAAAGGGAACCAGAAGAAGGACACTCATGTATGGGTAACAAAGCATTTGAATGTGAATAATAAACTATTTCTTCCTCTTCATCATTTTGCAAATTGCCACAATGAATTTTAACCTTCCTTTTGGAGAACACACTGGGTTCTCTAGAGAATGAAACTTCAGCTTACACAAAAGCCAAGGTGTCCGTGCTGATTGTCCATGAAGGGCTGATGACCTTTGTGGGAAGGTGCTCATCCTGACAGGCCATTGTCTTTCCTGCCCACCTCAATCTGTGTCCCCAGCTGCTCTTTTTCCCTCCCTGCTCTTCCATCTACCCAGCTGGATGCCCTGTCACTCAGCCCTCAGCTGACTTTATTTCAGTCACCTGCCCATATTACCCACGTACTGTCTCGTATATTTAGGTACACAGTTGTCACATAAACATAGATGGTTTCGTGGAAACTGAGTTTGCAATACGGTTGTCAAAGCGGATAGATGTTTAATAAGTACAATGGATCTGTTCCCAAAATGCATCTTTATGAATCATGATCGGCTTAGCCATCCTGTTAGTGGAACTGACCCAGAAGCCATTCTAAAAACATCAAATCACTAGTTGTAGTGGTCTTAAGGTTTCACTCAGGAAATGTCAGATGACCTGGAATACCCAAAGCCTGTTGTTGGAAACGCTTCCCTTTAGTTTAAGGCTTCTTGGCTTAACGCTAATGACTAGGTGGATATCTTCTTCATTGCTTGGAAACCTTCTTCTCATCTATTTGTCCTCCACTTTCGATGGCTTCCGATCTCACTCAGAGTAAAAGCCCAGGACCTCCATAGCGCCCACGGGGCCCAAGAAATGGCCCCAGGATGCCTTGGGCAGCGCCACCTGCTACTTTCTTGCATGCACGTTCTGCTCCTCCCCACTGGCCTCCATAGCCTTCCTCAAACCTGTCAGGCACACTCCCTGCAGGGCCTCACACTGCCTTTCCTGCCCTGTGTTTGCTTCCCCTAGCTATCCGCAAGGCTCTGTCCCTCTGCTCCTTCAGGTCTTGGCTCAAAAGCCAACCTATCAGTGAGGCTTTTTCTAGTTACTGTATTTAAAATGACAACTTCAGCCCCTCCCCAAATATTTCTTCACCCTATTTCCCAAACTATTTTCCTTGCAGAATTCATCACCATTTGACGTACTGGATATTTTACTGGTTTGTGTGTTGATTGTCTGTCTCCCTGCCCTAGAACGTAAGCTCCATGAGGGCAGGGATTTTTTCACTCTTTTATTTGTGCTAATCCCCATTGCTAAGATCAGTGCCTGGATCTTGAAAGGTACTCAGTAAATACTTGTTGAAAGAAGGGAAGGGGAGGAGAGGGAAGGATATTTCCACCCTCTTGATGCACCTTTTTATTTCTCCTCTTTCTAGCCTTTTCTCTCTTCATCCCCTATTTCCCTCTCTAGAACATTCTTCACACTCTCCTACCCCAATCCCACCCCTTCACCTACATGACTTCCATTCTTCTTTCACCACTTTCTCAGAGGTTTCCCTCACCTTCCTAACCAGCTCAAACCAACACACACACACACACACACACCTGCTGCCTTCATTAGATAGGACCAGCAAATCACCCAGATATTTGGCGTCCTCCCTTTTGTAAACTTATCACATTACAGATTTCACATTCAGGTGTGTGAATTTTAAATTTAATGTCTGAGCTCCAGAACCCCCAATCTCAGTAACTATAAGTTCCATGGGAGCAGGACCCTATTATCATTATACCCCCAAGTAACTAGCACACAGAAGGCATGCAATAAATATTTCTTGGTTGAATGAGGCAAACATTTATCTTCCGTGGTAAAAATTAATTCATATTCTATTCTTAGCTAAATGTCCCATAAAATCCTCAATAATTCCTAGTAGTAGTAGTGGTAGTAGCAGCTGTGGTCATTGTCATTGTTGTTATCACCTGCATGCCATCTTCTGGTTCTCACCACCTCTCCCCACCTGGGCCAGCTCCCTCAGTCTTTTGCCACCACCTTGTACCCTGAGGAAATGCACAGACACCTAGATCTTATGAACAGCAGTTCCGTTCTTATTCCTAAATCATTTTGCTGGTGTTTCGATTCATTCATGCCTCCATTGTAGATTTGCCACAGTGAACGTGTTTGTAGGTCTGCATGCTCCCCAAGGGCATAGATGCAGCTCATCCTCTTAATATCTCTAATTCCTAGCACAATGATACAGTCAGTACGTTTGAATAAACCAACAAGTAGTTGCCCTATTCAGACTGATTTCTAGCCCTCCATGATTGGATGGCAACCTGTGGTTCAGAGAACCCAATATAATCAGAGCCTTCTCTTTTTAAAAACTTCAGGCTTGAGGCAGAAAGTCTGGAAAATTACCTAAACCTTTGGTAACCTATGTTCACAGCCTCAAGGAAGGTAGCCAGTGTTTCTGAGCTTTCAATCCTGAAATTTCTCAGTTGCCACTTGAGAGGCATTGCAAAAATCCTCAACTCTGAACTGTCTCACTTGGATGATCTGTCTAAATTTCAATTGTTTTGCATAATTTCTTCAAGTTTATTGGTGAGAAAAAAATCCTCATTGGAAACATACACGGCTTCGAGATGGAGTTTTCTTTTTGTAGACAATTTCTTGAATACACACACACATTATCTCCCTGATAGGCAATAATGGCTCTTTAAGGCGCTGTCATGATCAATCGTAAAAATACATATTTAGAACATTTTTTAAAATGTGTGTATTATAAAAATGTTTTAAAATGAAAACTATTTACCCAAAAGACTATAATGGTTCCAAAGAGTATTTTGTAAATCCATATTTGAGACTTTAAGGAGAAAAAACAGCAACAATTTCTGACCTGGGAGATTATAAAGACTTCACTGAAGCTATTAACATTTATTGTCTTTCAAAAGCTAAAAACGTTGCTGGGGACATGCTTGCAGGTTGAAGAAAAAACACAGCCCATCTTCTAACAAAGGGTCTTCGATGCACCTCTCTGTCCTGCCCCAAAGGCTGACAGACACCAGTCCATTATACTAACTAATGGCACACTTAGAAGAAAATGCCATCCAGAGATGTTAGCCCAGGGACCTTGACTAATGGGTACTGTCTAATGTTCAAAGACCCCATCAGCTCTGGTCACTGATGAGACATTCTAAGAGTAGTGCATTAAGAACCTTGGTAGAGAAAGTCACTGTGGGAAATCTGATAGGATAAATTGAATATTTGAGGGGAAAACCCTCTTTATCCCTTTTGTCCCAAGCCTGATTCAGGAAAAAAGAAATGATTAATGATCTCACATTAAAACCCAGTCTCCTACACCTCCTGTATCTCTTTCCATAGTCCTGACCCCACTCCCCCCAAAAAATATTTGAATAAGACCCCTGAGTCCTAATACTTAGTACATACCGTATGCTGTGTTTACTGAGACAAGAAAACAAAAGACTTTCTGGTTCACAGGGAAAAAATCCAGGTCTGTTGAATAGCAGAAAAATAGATCAGATCAGTGCTAAAGTTGTGAATGCTGTGTGGTGTCTTCATATATTTTCCAACTTTTTTAAACGAAAGAGTTTTTGGTGTTGTAAGGAAAAAAGGAGTTGGGAGTGAAATGAAAGACAGAGAGAGGCAGGAAAAAAAGAGTGAGAGTGAAAGGAAGAAAAGAAAAGAAAAAGAAAGGCTGAAAGATTTCAGGCATCTGTAATATTATATGCTAAGTGCTGGCCTGAAGCAAAATGTCACAAGCAACCTACAAATGGAAGTTTAAAATGGAAAGAGGGAGAAACTTATCCACAGCCACATGAGAAACACTGTTGGACATAAACAACTGGGGGGTCAGAGCTGGAAGGGGCTCACATTGACACATTTTTCACATTTTTATATTGTAGAATTCACAAATCTCTACTTGGCTTCCTCAAAAACTTTACCTGTTGGGACCGAATGACCAGCTGGGTTTGATTAGGACAGCAAGCACGCCCCCATCCTCTCATTGGAGATCTGGGATGATTGGACTCAGCTTTACACCAAAGGAAGTTAAGTCCCTAATAGTTAATGAAACGAGGTGATTTCCTTTCTTGCACCTGAAATAACCTGCCTCCCAGAGCCTGTCCAATAGACTGTCTCCAAAAGCAAATAGATCCAGCAAAGAGTACCTTCAAAGCCAAGCTTTCATTTATTGTCAAGACAGAATGAAATTGGTCCTTTTTATGTAACACATGAGTTAGGCTGACCTAGCCATTCATACATAGCAAAGTAGTGATTCATTGTGTTGGCTTTTTTCCCCTCTCCTGTAATGTTACAAAAAGAATCTAAATAACTCAAGGGCTCCCAAGCCTCTTGATGAGAGTACTTAGCTCACATCAATGGTAATGGGACTTAAACCTAGGCATTTTAGGCAGAATGGATTTCTTTGTTGGGTACTTTTCCTCCTCCCCTCAACCCCCCTCCAGCTTGATTTCACACCAGTTATGTGTGCAAACCCACAATAAATCACTAGGAATGTAAAATACACTACACTTCCCCACCCCCACCCCCAAGTTGGCCTAGGTCATTTATCATTCTGTGGATTTCAAAAAGATGGTAGTGTTTTTATTGCAAAGGCCTTGTCATTACAGAAACTAGAAAAGAAAGTATTGATCACAATTAGATCATATATTAGCAGCCCTGATGCTGGGACTGCTAAGGATTTCAACCTAGATCATTCTGCCCTCTGTTAAAATTCTGGACAGCAATTTCTTTTATGTTAGAATAACTAGTATAAACCCATAAAATGTAACCTAAAAATGTAATTATAATTGCCATGCCAAAAGCAAGCCAGTCAATATCTTTGAGATTCTAATAGTTTCAAGCACTATTACCTTAACGGTCTCACATCACAGTACTGATTAAAGAAACATTTTGTATTTTTATCTGTATGGAATGGCCAGTGTAATCACTGAGGCATAGAGAGCTAAAATATTTATTAGTGAGTATACATCTTGGTTCAGGCAGTGAATGTCAATTTAGGGTGGAAAGTTACAGCAGAGCTCTCAGTTCAATTCATTTTCAGGTTCTTCTACTGCTCCTGGGGTAGTCATCCCATGCACAGAAGGAAATCTCAGAATCTGCCCCTACACCCAAATGAACTCCTCCTGCAGATTTTCCAGTAAGAAGCTCTTGTTGGGAAATTTCAAACTGGTCTTAAATGGACAGCGACTATCATGGAACCAGAGTGAACCAACACACCTGAAAGGAGGCAGAGCTGAGTAGATGCAAACCACAAAGTGAGGCCCGCCTGACAGCCAGTTCCCCAATCCACCCTTCTTATCCCTCAAAACAGACAAGCAAGCAAAACTATTCATTTGAACCTTATTGATTTAAAAATAATGTAATCTAAAATACATTAATAAAAACCTATCATTCTCTCACAGAATACATAATCTATGATTTATAGCTTGGAAACTAAATACTAAACTCACAATTAGAAAGTACACGTAAAGGGTTTCTTTAAGTTAGACACTTAATACGGTTTCTTTCAACAAACTATGCAATCTCATGACATGGATTTGGAATGTAAGAAATATAAAAAGGTGTTTAAAAATGAACAGAATATTCCTGATCATTTCTCTGAGAATTAAAAATATACGTTCTCCCAATTAGTAGCACAGGAAGAAAATTTAGCATCCTATCAGTTCAGAAACATCAGCACAGTAGCCAAATAAAATTTCTACCATGGGATATGCACTATTAATTTCACAATTAAACTTATCTGTGTCATGTGCGTTTCCACAGCAAGATATGAAAGGGGTGGTTAAAAATCTGCTTCATTTAGGGAAATATACTCTGTGACTTAGTAAGAATGCCATGGCGCTGACCTCCCAGTGGGCTGCCTGGGAATGCATCCACTTTGACTTTTCACTGGTTCTTAAATAAACAGGGTACCAGGCCTCAACCCGCCCTGCCTTAGGAGGAGGGAGGAGAGAGAAAGAGACATACACACACACAAAGGCTAAAGGAAGGGAAAATGGGTGATTCTGACTCAAAAATTAAGTGAAAACGCCAACCCTGTCATCCCGGGATGGCCAGACAAAGGGAAGAGGCTGCCTCACACCCACACGGTCTACCCGTGGGTAAACTGGCATTTCTAATACTTTTCACCTAGTCTTGACTTGACAGATGCCTAACCTTAGCTACTGAGTGGAGACAGGCTGATGGGCCTTGGCCATACAGGGGGAAAATTTTTGATGCTTCTCACTTATGACATGATTGATTTTCTTTCAGCGGCCCTTCACTTTGGGAAGTGGCGAGGGCTGGCTCACTGCGCCCCGGTGCGCCCTGACCCCCGACATGCGGCCGCTGTGAGGCTGGAAACCGATGACGGCAGAAACCTAAAAAATCAATAGGCCCTGTCAGTCAGGGGCCAGGCGGATGTCTTTTAAAAACCCAATCACGACATGTATTTGCTGCATGGTGTGGAACTACTGCACACTTGAGAACACACTGAATTTCCCCCTTCCCTTATTTATTTATTTTTTTGGATCTGCTTTACACTTCATTTTGCCTCTTTTTAAGGTTGGAAGGGGCAGAAGCCTTAACCTTTAAGGCAGCAAGGGAAAGGGGCAAGCCATGTGGTAAGTTCTGTTCATGATTTTTACAGGAAAAATTCCCTGGAAACTATTTGAATAGTATGAAATAAATAGAGCACCTTGCCGCTGCCAACATAAACAGTGACATCATTTTTTTTTTTTTACATTATCTGGAAAGAATTTAGATATAAGACTTTTAAGTCTAAAAACATATGAGGGCAAAGCTGCTTAATAGGCTTGATTAAGGAAAGACTATTGTTTGATTTTTCTTTGGGGGTTTCTTGAAGGTAAAAGAATTGAAGATACACACACACACACACATACACACACACACACACACACACACACACACACACACACAGAGAGAGAGTCCACAGTTCTCTTTTGGGAAAGAACAAGCACTAGGAGAATCACTCAGTTTCCAAGCAGGGTCAGTGTAATATTCTCCATTCGGTGTAGAAGAAAAATCAAATATGCATCCTTTCTTTGAGAGACAGACAATGCAAAAGGTGGCATTTAGCTTCTTCCTGATCTGAGGTGGGAAGGATAAATATCAACTATGACAAGCCAAAAAGATAAGAGAAATACCATCAGCTGGAATGTTTCAGCATAAAGAAATCCACACTCACACAAAGAGAAAAAAGAAGAAAGTGAAAAAGGTTTGGAGACTATAGGAAAACAGAGAAGAATGCTATTAGAGACTATTAAAATGTATAAGATCTATATGAAAGTGGATGTCAGAATTTCTGCGACATGCTTTTCTCCTTTCTTTTCAGAGAAATAGATAGGTATATTACACATTATCTTAAAATTCACTTAAGGTAAATATCATACATTAAAAATAAAACAAATAAACAAAATCTGTGCCTGAATTCCCAAACTAAGCCCAATTAAAGGTTTCTTTATGGCTGTAAACCTGACAAGCTACAATTTCCCCCTGTTGCAGTGGGTGTGTGTGTTTTAATGTAATATTAATGAGCCAGGATGGAGGGTCATAAAAAGTGATAGGTTTTTGCGATGGTAAATTATAAATCGGTATTGATTTTTCCCGGCACTAATGCAGCCAGCTTATTGTAAGACACCACAGGCAAAGTGCACTTTATCAGATTAGACTGGGGCCGGTATCAAATATACATGAGAATAAGGATGCATTTGTGAGTTAGACTAGACTTTTCTTCCCTAACAATGCATGAAATTTTTAAGGAAAAAAAAAAAGCAGACAAGGATACTGGGAAATTCAACTTTTTTTTTCTTTTTCTAAAGCAAAAATTTCCAGAATTGTTGCTCTTGAGATAATTTGATTCAAAGTGAAGAGAAGGCAGTAATAACGCTAATCAAATTATAAATAGTTTTATTTAAGGCTGTTCTAAGTTTCTCTTATTCATTTGTACTTTAGGTTGGTGCCCAAAATGCAAAGGTCATTCTCTGGCCCCTTCCCTGCGTTCACTCTCTGCTTGCAGCATCATTGCTTTCCTCTACCCACAAGTCACTGGGAGTGTTTTGTTTTTTGTTTTTTGTTTGCAAATGACCGAGGTTCTTCTCCGTTGGTATTTTATAGTCAGAAGGACTTCATTAGGCAATTGAGTAGAGATGTTCAGCCATAGAGAGAAAAAGAGAAGGCAAAGAAAGAATAATAACAGGAGGAAGAAAAGAAAATGACTAGACCCCATTTCCTTCAACAAAGATATTATTATTTGTCCTCTCTCCAAACCTGGGTCAGCGTCTGACTCACTTCACGTCTCATATGTCAACAGAGAAGAAAGTCCTCACCCTGAACGTGTGCTTGCCTTTTGTTCTTTGGAGAGACTTCTCCAGCTTTGTTGGGAATGCTAGCAGCCCTGTTTCCAAACACTTCCCGATTTCTTCCTAATAACTGCTGGCACGCTCTCTATCAAAATCTGCCACTTTCCTCCCTGCACAAAAGCTGTGCTTCCACCACGTGATCGCAAGCCGTGCCCAGCTCTGAGGCCAGATCCGCAGCCAAGACTCCTCTCTCTGTCTCCATGGCGTGAACAGGAATTGGAAACCAGCACACTCAACCCCAATATAGTCTTTTTTTAAGAAGTCGAGAGAACATGTGTTTATTGACAGTTCATTAACAAATATCAACCCCCCGCAAGCTGTTTACTAAGGAATGTAGTTAAGTGAA
Organism: Homo sapiens; assembly: GCF_000001405.40. NCBI lineage: Eukaryota > Metazoa > Chordata > Mammalia > Primates > Hominidae > Homo > Homo sapiens. Next base: position 158,980,625 of record NC_000005.10, read on the forward strand.
GATGTGTGAATATAAATAACTAACAAAGGAAGAATGGAGAGAAAATATCTCATGGCATTCCCCCTTTGAATGTAGTTTGAATCTGTTTTATTTTCTGCTAGAAACATGTTGCTACTGAAGGTGTCTCTATGACACCCAGAACAGTAAAAACAGCAGGTGTTTGTGTGCTGGTATCTAGAACACTTAAATAAAACTCTGAAAAACTGGAGTATGACATGCCTTCTCATTTTTTTCCCCTTGTCTATATCAAGGGATTTAAACAATTATTTTAAAAAGGAAAAAGAAACTAGTAAGTTTCATAATAAGGTTAAGGCTATAATATAATTGCTAATTTCTAAAACATGATGAATATTTAAAACCACTGCAAAAGTTTACAAAAACCAAGCCCAAATCTTGAGGAACATAAAATCTTAGTTGGGGATAAGAGGAACCAGCAAAGAATATATACTATTCAATAAGGTGTTTCTCATTTGTTACACCAATACTCAAAATGGGCCATATTCAGCAAGGGTAGCTAACCATTTCCAAATGTTAAAAAAAAAAAACTGACTATAATATCCTTGCATCAAAATGACTCCAACAATTACAGAAACAAGGGAAAATGTTTTGAGACAAGAACAAATCAGGTAAAACCTAATAAAGTCAAAAGGAAATTAGAAAAATAGAAGGTTGTTTTCATGGGAGTTTAATCTTTTCACTGGAAAGTGATCTTTATTGTATGTCAAATCAACATTTTAAGGTGCTTTTTTATAAAGTTATGAAAGTAGAAGCATACATTTTTACCTATTCTAATTTAACTGTATTAGTGGTGCCAAAACCCTCATTTACATTTTTCATAAAATTGTGAAGAGGTTCTCTCTGCTTTAGGGATAGAGCTAATAAACAAACACATAAATTAGTGTATTTTAATTAAACATTATCCCATGAAGTAATATTGTACACCACTGCCTAATACAAGAACAACTTTCTTACTTAAAATCCAGTATAATATTAAAATATTAAAACTCATTAAAAATTAATTTTAAAATACTTTATAAACATTCAAGTACCCTGAGTTCTGTATTTTTAAAGGTTTTATGTTGTTGGTTGTGCACATGATATAATCCACAAGCTCCTAACAAAATGGCGCAAGAAGCTACAGTTACTTTGCAGAACTGCACTGACTGATGTAGAACAATTACTATTGTTTTATTTTAAATATTTCATCAAAACAGTGCTGATAGAATCTTACTAAAAATAAAAAAAAAATTAAAAGTCCAGCGGACACATATAGCAAAACAGCATTGACTAATGACTTCAAATCATTAACATACAGATCTGAGACTTGACTCATGATCTAGCTAGATAAGCCTCCTGATAATATCATTTTAAAATTGCATCCAGTTCACTCAATCAGAACTTGTTTGTGTTCCCACTATGTGCTTAAAATGGGATTTCATTGTCAAATTATGGTTTGGGGAAAAGGATTCAAAATAAGTTACAATGGCCTAGACCAAACTACACGCTAATTGAAACTCTGTAAAAAAGGTAGATAGGTTTTAAACATGCCTAAAAATATCTTTAGAAATCCTAGGTCAAATAGATAAATGCCCTGAGACAATGAGCTAATGAATGTAAATCATTTGACATTTATTAAATAAACATTAGCTGCTACAGTTGTTACTAATAGTATTATTTGCACAGTAAGGCTCAATCAAAGGTGCAGATTTACCAAGGCTTAAAAACACAGATGAAAAGGATGCACTTGGGCATACTTCACACTCAAGTTAACAGTCATTTATTGAGGGACTATTGCATGTCAGCCACTGTGTCAGGCAACGAGGATATAAAGATTAACAAGATTAAATTACCTGAGGGCCATAACTTTTTAGTCTGCCTTACTTAGTGTTATACATCCAGATCCTAGCACAGTGCTTGGCACCTTGAAGATACTTGATAAATATTTGTTGAATAGATGAATTAATAACAAAATAAAAATCCCTGTTGACAAGGCATTCACAGTCTAATTCTTTTTGCTTTACACGGTACTTAAATTTTTCCATCACAAGTCCAGCTTGCTTTTTTTTGGAAAACTCCCTAGCTAAATATAATTTAATAAAGTGTCCATGATCCCTTGATTCCGAGAATATAATCCTGTTGGTATTTAAAGCAAAAGATATATATATATATATAGTGGTCTAAAAAGGGTCAAATTCCCATTCAGCATCCTATGTATGAAACTCTTGATTTAACCAGAATTATCTTGGGAGGAAATCCAAAATAACAAATGGTTAGAAACTATGAATCCTTCTGGTCTGCTCCCCTATGAGGAACTGCTTTGTTACCTCATAGGGCAAAGCTGTCCCAGGATCTGCCGCCCCTGGCACCAGGCTCCACCTGCCACACTTTACCTAAGAGGCCCTGGATATCCATCTTGGGGGCTCCTGACTCCCTCAGCCCTTACTCTTTCAGCTCTCTAGTAGGTCTCTTGTCAGAAAAATACCAGCTTTTCATTTCAATCAAATTACTGTGATGGCCCAGAAGGTGGTAAAATAGTATAAGGGTTCTCTTTGTCAGGAACCTTGAAAAAGCTGTATCTTTTATTCGGTTGAAATTTCTACTAACCTGAAGACATGAAAGAAGAAAGGAACAATAAGTCCCAAGGAAGTATGTAGGGGTTTTTTTTCTGTATATAAAGTGTGTTTTGAAGAGGTATATTCACTTATTAAGTTCTCTGAAAGTATGACTGACTTGATATTTCCCATACGACTAATTTACAACACAATTTGAACTCTGCTGCATCCACTCGTGGAGGCAGGAGGCATCTTTTCCCAATATTGGTGGAATGTTGTCTAGAGTAGTATTGATTGCACAGTGATGGGAAACTATAGGACAAACCTGAACTAATTAAGCAATAAGCTCAAAGACTACCTACCTTCAATAGTGTTTGAAGGTACATTTAATTATTGCGTGGATGCAACGACATGAAGAAGAACATGTCATTTAGGGAAATGTATCAAATAGCATTGACCGGGTGACTAAGACTCCCTATTGGCTCTAATGTCTTTGGAAAAATCAAAGGGAATATGAAGCAAGTGTTTCAATTTGGAAAATGAATGCTACCACATGGGTGGGAGTGAGATACGGAGAGAGGGAAAAGGTATGACCAAATCTGAAATAATGTGCTCAACCAAAATCTAGAATAGATTCCAGGCCTAGGATAGTAATTTTTATAAGTACCTGAGAGTATGTTAGTACTTTATCTGGGCAGATTCTCATCCTGCAACTGTAAGAGTGTGTGTGTGTGTGTGTGTGTGTGTGTGTGTGTGTGTGTGTGTAACCAAATAAAGAACATAGAACTATGTCTCTTCCAGTGGAAATTCAATAACAAAAAATAGAATTAAAATGCTGGTTACTGTTATAATATTTGAGTCCTTTAGTTAGAAGCTTATTTGCCATGAATCTTCCAAATCATACCTGGAATCTCAAAAGAAAGAGTAAAACAGAATCTCAAGAAACACTTCTTAAAGTTTCCAGCTCCTCTAAATTCAACTTATTGCTTTAGCTGAGAGCACTACCTACAAGTCTGCTAACAACGATATATCAATGGTGGCCAAAACCATAAATGTTAAGATTCTCACCTGATTTGAAAATTGATTTCTATGGTGCTGTTCATGATTAGTTCATGTTTCTAACTCTATTCTCTAAGTTTCTCAAGTCTCTTGTTCAACGACCTGAGTTTATACTTCATTTTTCCATTTTGTAGATACTGACCTTTTTTTAGACTACTTTGCTTATTATATAAGCACTACCATCACTTGTTAAGGGAAATAAAACTGTACCAGTAATGTGCTCAGGACAATTCTAATGGTACAAGGATATGAGCATTAAATAATATGGAATCACATAGTAAGAGTGCCGTTTTCAATTTTCTCTTAATTGTTCTGATTACATCAATGAGGGAGTCTCAGTTTGGTGCTAGTATCTGGAACACCTACCACTTACCAATCTCCATGTTTAGCAGAGTCATTGGCAGGCAACAGCGTCCAGCTACAATCTAACGACGCTGCTTTCTTCCTTTTTTTTTTTTTTTTTTTTTTTGAGATGGAGTCTCACTCTGTCACCCAGGCTGCAGTGCAGTGGTTTGATCTTAGCTCACTGCAGCCTCTGCCTCCTGGGAAGCGATTCTCCTGCCTCAGCCTCTTGAGTAGCTGGGACTACAGGCACGTGCCACCACGCCCGGCTAATTTTTTGTATTTTTAGTAGAGATGGGTTTTCACCATGTTAGCCAAAATGGTCTCAATCTCCTGACCTCGTGATCCACCCACCTCGGCCTCCCAAAGTGCTGGGACTACAGGCATGAGCCACCAAACTCAGCCCAATGCTGCTTTCTTTTCATTGAATTTTTCTTGTGGTTACCTCCCATCTACGGCAGGTGAGGCTGAACTGCTACTTACTGCGGCACTATAGTTTCTTTTCAAATAAATTCAAGTTTAAAGAGTAAATTGATGTAAATACATTTGTTTTTTAAAACAGTACAGATGATATAAAGATATGGCAATAGTCATGAAAATGATACGAGAATACCATTTGCAAGGAAATCTGGTGTAAAATAAACACCTGGGCTGAAAACTGGCAACCTGGATTTCCAGTGGTAGTTCTGCCTAACCAGCTTTGGGACCATGTGAAAGCCACTGAACATCACCTATCTTGACCATAAGGTGAAAAAGTTAGATCAGTGTTTTCAACCTGACTGCACACTACAATCACCTGAGGAACTTTTAGAAAATGCCAGTGTTGGTCTCTACCCCATACCAATTATTTCAGAATCTCTGGAGGCAAAGGCTAGACATCAGTATTTGCTTTAAAGATGGCCAGGAAATTCTAATATAAGTCCAGGGCAGAGAACCATTGGGAGAAATGATCTCTAAAATCTTCTGAGGCTTAATATTGCATTCAAAATACTTTTAAAATGCAAAGATCTCTTTTCTCCCTGCATCTACTTTTTTGTTTGTTTTTAACCTTCCCCTCCTTTTCTTTCAAAGTTCTGGATCCACATATCCTTTTTGAATTTTGCTGATGTGACATCTCCCAAATCACTATTATCCACAAAAGCCATTAATGTGCTATTTGCCTACTTCTCAGATCAGTAATAAAGCCATTAAAGCAGAGGCATCAGAGTCTAAAGTCAGAAAGCCTGGACAGGCAGTCCAGCTTCCTAACTCCTAGCTCAGTGTGTGTGAGAAGGGCAGGAGGAAGAAGGTATGATTCCTTGACTTGGGTGCCAAGAGGACCCATGGAGGTCAGCACTGTGCAACAAAGCTCCTGGAGATGGGGTAAACTGCAGAGGCTGGGAGTGAGCTCTAGGGCACATACCACTTAAGCCCCTTCATCAATAACCACTTACCCCAGCAATGGCACATCAGCAAAGCCATTCTGAGCAACTTGGCTCTCCTGTCCGGCACAGGCCCCGGGTGGAGCGGGGAGTTGTGTGATAAATGCTGAGCCACAAGCCATTCCGCTCCCAGCCCCTGTCTCCTTCCCAGCTTAATTAAGAAACAGCATGATTTCTGTCCTTCTCTCTCTGGTTTTCCCTTTTATCTCCCCCTTCCTTGGTCTGCAACAACGGGTGCTGCTCTCTACTTCTTAGTATAATAGGTGGAAGTAAATGCTGATGACAAGTCCTGGATGAAATGGGGAACAGGTACAATTTCAGGACTAGACTTTTTTTAAGATTAAAAAGAGTCACTTCTATCTCCTCCCCTAGGTTTCCTAGGCTGACTCTGGTGTTTCTCAGGCAGGGGCCTCAAACTCAAATGCCTACAGGAACACACAGAAGTGCTGCATCCCCAGGTAAAGAGAGCAGCTATACTCAGCAACAGCTGGGGATTGCTGGGCAGGCATGTGAGCCCATAATTATACATTCTCCAATTTTATAAAAGCAGCCAGATATATGGATTTGAATGTGAAGCCTGATTTCATGATGTTGGCATCAAATTCAAATTCTTAAAAAATATTCTGCCGACCAAGCCAAATGCATCTGAGGACCAAATTAAGTTAGGAAGCTACCCATTTGTGGACTTTTCTCAGTTGTGAGGTTGGGGGAAGGGGAGAGAAAATTCCTAAGAATTTAATCTCTATCATTTCATTGGGCTGGCCAGATTTATATAATCTTTGCCTGGACCCCAGTTTAGAAATTTAATCACTCATTCAACCAAATATTAGTAATTATTATTACTATTTCTATAACTTTGCATGTGCACTTCCGCTAAAGACACCTATGAATAAGGAACTACTATTGCCACCATTTCACATAAGGAATCTGAGGCTCAGAGAGACTGAATAACTCAACTTCAATCACACAGCTAGGAGGTGTCAGAGACAAATGTGAAGTTGAGGTTGTCTAATTTCAGCTTCCACATTTTTAACCCTACATCTGCTGTGGAGCTTCCAACCCTAGCACTAACAGATCTGAGAAATATGAGGGAGTTAGACAGGGACAGCATTCATTCATCTAGTTGGAGAGATAAAGTAGACATGTATTCATTAAAATCCAGGCTTATGCATATACCAAACCATAAGCCCCTGGGCAAACTATTTTACTTTTCTGAGCCTCAGTTTCTTCATCTGTAATATGGAGATAGCATCAGTATCTCCTACAGCCACTACTGGGTGGGCATTCCAAGCATAGTGTCTGGAGTATAATAAACCCCAGATAAGTTGCACCACTATTGTTATTTTTCTATTATCTTTACTATAGAGTCATCATTCCTCATGTTAAGCCCTCTAGCCTTCAGCCATAGAATCTTAAGCCCTTGGGGTTTAAGAACACTTTTAATTTTTCAAAGCCTTTTAATACCCATTATTTCATTTGATCCTCCCAACAATACAAGGAGGTAGGCAGGGCAGGGATTACCTTGTATGACAGATGAGAGAATGAAGGCAGGAAAAGGTTCAGAGGATGTCCAAATTCACACAGACATAGGCTCCATAACCCTGTGTTTTCTTGTAGTTATTAGACACTCCAAGGAGGAAGTGGGGGATAGGGAAGACCACTAAAAGTAGAAGCATTACATGTGTCCGTGGGTGCCTAGACATTTCACAGGGATCACAACACAACTAACTGCCCAGGAAAAAGATATAAGAACTCTTCTGAAGTAACATAAATGAACTGGAAGTAATATACTGCAAATTATGTAGATAAATACTTATAGGAAAAAATTACTAGAAGCAATTGCAACCAAGGCTAGATAGTAAAATATGGAAACTTTCTGAAGGAGGAAAGTCAAAGGCCTAGATCCCCTTCTATGCGTATCCTCCATTTACTAGCATTGGGAATGGCATCCCCCCGGGGCTCACTGGAGCAGCACTGTGGAGAAAACAGGCCACTCTCCCCAGCTCCTCTGTTTCTGAAGCACCGTTTATAACACAGACAACTGGAATATTAAATACTGTATTTTCAGCATCTAGCACATTATCTGGAACATAGTAGGTGCTTAAAATAGGTGGAATGGATGAGTGAATGAATGAATACCTCTGGTCACAAAGACGGAAGAAACTATGAGCCAGCCATCCGCAGTGGACCTGGCCCATTCTGGTGGAAGTCTGTTATTTTTCCTGCCCAGTGCCCCCCCTTCTCTTCGTAATTGTACTTTTCCTTTCGTAAACTGCCCCTGGTCCATTCTTCATGGTCTTAGGGAAACTGATAACCATGTCAGGCCATTCTCACTCTTTCCCTATACGCTGACTCTTGAGAAGAGTGGGACCTAGGGGAGGAAAAAGGAGGAGTCCAGGCCTCTGCCAGGCAGCATCCTGAGCGACTACACCACAGCCCCAGAACTGCCTCACATCCTCATCTTCCCAACACCTCCTTATTCAACTCCTCTCACTTCTAAGCTCTCCAATAAATCCCTTTCCATTTGCTTAAGTTGTCAAGAGTCAGTTTCTATTGCTTGTAAACCAAAGGACTCTGCCTAATACACCCACCACCCTATCTTTGAAGGGAGGAGTTGAGGGGATAGGGTTGCTATTGTATCAGCTGATGTGATTCCAAGATGCTTTAAATAGGCCCATTGTTCTTCTGAGTCTGCTTCCCGAACTTATCAATAATAATATAAATATGACAAGAAGTGCATAGCCTGTTCAGGTTGCCCCTAGCTGATGCGAAGGAGAGATAACTACTTCAAATATTTTGCTCCTTTTCTCTCCATCTGGCTTAGCCTTTGCAAAGTGTAGCCAGTGAAATAACACAGAGAGGAGGGAAAAGAATTTTTTAAACCTTCAAAGGGGCCTTCACTCTTTGCCTCATTCAGCAGCTGGTATCTCCAGTTGAATTAGTTCCTGCATAATTCCAACAGAAAACCCTTTGGCAGCCACTGGTCTTGCCCACCGCAGGCTTAGGCCCTCTTCTCTGCCCCAGAGGAACATCGTTGACGTGTCCTTCAGTGTCATGCATGTTTCCAGGCCTCTGGGGCACACCAGGAGATGTGTGTTGACTTCCTGGCTGTCTGATACCCAGCAAATCCTCCCACCCACCTCCAACACCTAATTGAGCGACAACCCTCCATATCACAGCAGCTGGACAGCGACAGTCTGTACCTCTCTTGTTCCAGCACGAAACAGAAAAGAACAAATTGGAGAAGAAGGGCTTTCTGCAAAGCCTCCTCTTCAATCCCCAGGTCAGAGAGCTGTGCTTAGTTTTTAACACAATGCACAGTCGGGCCTGAAAGCAGGCTGCTAGGGTGGGAGATTGCTGCTCCTGAGCCAAATGATGGACAATTTCTTGTCAGACTGGAGAGCAAACACAAACCTCTTCATGTCAAATGATGGATACGAGTGATGGTGAGGCTCTTGGAAAACCTCAGACAAGTGCTTAGTCACAGACATCAGTGTAATCCACCACCATTTAAAACCAATTGCAGGCATCCCTGTGATCAAGGCAGACAGAAACCTGGCGGGGACACAGCTTTTCTTACTAAAGCCTTCCTCTGTTTGTGTGCAGCTCCAAACCCAGCTCATGGTCAGAAGAGCAGAGTGGCCATGAGGAGAGAGGATCAGCAGTAATGACTTCAAAACTTTCACTCTTACTCCCCTTTCTCAAGTCTGTAAGAGGTCAAGTGCCTATCACAGCCATTCATTCATGTGTTCATTCATTCAAGACATATTAATTTATTATAACAGCATGTCTGACATGCTATAACTCACTCCTTCCCTTATTCCAGACAATATCCGTTGACTGCCTGACCTCCCCTGCTAAGTGCTATGGAGTGCATTATTTCTATGCAAAACTCTAGATGGTACGGCCCTTCAGGAACTTGCAGTCTTGGCAGGGGGAATAAAACATGGAAAAGACAACGAGAATACAAGATGGAAAATGATGAGTGTTATGAGACATGCAAACAAAACACAACAACACTTCAGAGAAACCATTGGAGGGGGTGATTAAGAGACGGATCAGGAAGCTTCAAAGAGGGAGCGAAATGTGAACCTCCTGCGGCAGGGTGAAAATGATTCTAGACATGGGATTGGGGCACCAAGGGGTTCAGTCAAAGTGCAGGTGGGGCAGCATAAAGAACGCAGAGAAACACCACCCTGATACCAGGATGGCACTCTTCTGCTGGTGATGGAGCACACTGTGGGGACATCCCAGGGAAACCAGCCTCTGGGTTCCTACCAGGAAGGCCTTGGGGCAACATTCAGCAATCCTGGCTCCGTGAAGCCAGCTCAAGCTTCTTCACTGGAGAAAGGCATAACAGAAGAGGCACTTTAAAGATCTCCCTAGCTGCAGTGTGGAGGAATGGATTAGAGGAGGAGACTATTTTAAGCAGAAAGTCAAGTTAGAAGGCAACTGCAATAAGACAGGCCTTGAACTAAGGTTGTGATACCAAAGAGTAATGACACAAAGACAAGCTCTTATTGTGATGTCAGTCATACAATCCCAGAAAATAAGCACCAGGCTTGGCTTTGAAAACTAATGTGATTCCATACAGAACTGGGCTCCAAGTCAGAAAGTCTTGTTTCCAGCCCCAATTCAAGTAAAAACCAGCTGTGTGACCAAGCAAGTCCCTTAGTCTCCCTGTGCCTTGTTGTCCTTGTCTGTTCCTATCCACAGTAACTCTTAATGGGAATTGCATAAATATGTTTTCACTTTTTTATAAGAACTAAAAAGACAAAGGCTCATAACAGAATTCTACTATTCCTATAATGTGATCTGTCGAGGCTCTTTACTCTCTTAGTTTCTCTGTCAGAGATAATCTCACTCAAGACATGGGCTAATCTCAATTAAACCCATCAATTTCCATTTTTCTCAGCACCCATGGGCCAATTGATAACAAAAGCTGGTATATAAGAACTACACTAATGGATCCCAACACTGAGCTTTAGTCATAGGACCTGCTCAATGTCTCAACGTCCAATAACTGCAGAAAGAGTAACAGACATCGTAGGGAAGGGAGGGAATCATAAATCCCTGCTCTGCTATGTACTATCTGTGTGATCTTGAGCAATACACTACTGAACTTTGATTTCTACGTTTGTTAAATAGAGTTAATAATCCCTACCCCTGGCACTAATGAGAGAATTAAAGAAATATGTTCCACAGAGCACAATGCCTGGCACATAGAAAGCACTTGATAAATGGAGGCTATCATTCATTGTTATTTTTATTATTGATGACATCATAGGCCATTGTTTCATGAATTTCAGACTGCAATATTTTTCATATTCATTCTAGCATACCAGATGGTTGCTTAAAAATATCTGAATCACAAAACAGCTTTAGACATTCCATTGAATAAAGCAAATTTATTTTTTAAATTAAAAAGTCTCATATTTTATGTAAGAGATGCCTTTGTAGAGATAGTCTCTTTAAAAACACTACCACATGTTTTGCCACTACTTCTTGACAAAATGTTTTTCAAGAAAAGAAGAAGCGCGCACACACAATTGTTCACTGTCAAGAAAATATATCAAGCCTGAGATGTTAACATTGCCAAAAGATGACAGTATTTGGCAGACCTAAAAGTATTTGTCATCTTAAAAGTATTTATGCAAAAGCAAAAAATAAACAATTCAATATTTTAGTCACTTTAGGTGATTACGGCAAGTCATTAGGTTTTTGTTTAAAATGTTCTTGGAGGAAATGCACCCTTTTCAACCAAGCTAGTTTTATCCTTTTGCATATAAAATTCAAGCCATTTCTTATGTTGTGTCTGTGTTACCTGTGGAGTGTTGGCATTTGCACAATGCAAGAGCTGAACAAAGCCCCTCCCTGCCTGCCCATTTCACCCCTCTCCAATGTTTTTGCAACACATTTTAAATTAAAAGCATTTATTAGCTGAACGACCTTCAGCAACTCACCAACTTCCCAAGACTCAGTCTCCTCCTCTATTAAAAAGTTGAGATGGTGGTAGGGTTGAGGGGAGATAGACTACTAAATCCTGCTTGGCTCACCACACGGGGCTAAGAGAGAACGGATCTGAAAAATCTTTTTGTTAATGGTAAAGCCATTTAAAGGAAAAAAGGAGGTTGGGGAACGTTTAAACCATGAAGCAACAGCTTATTCAACTAAGACTTTCCTCAACGTTTGCCTTCCAGAATCCTTAAATAAATCCTTGTAAGGGAAAAAAAAAAAAAAAGTATTCCTTTTACCTAAATGCAAGTCACTGTACTGTGCTCATGTAGCAGTGGAGGCCAAAATGCTCTCAATGGCTTTCCCTAATGATTTTTTTTTTTCATCAGAATTAAAGAAATGTATGCCCTTTTGAAACTATGAATGTGTATCTTGTGAAGTTATAAATACATTTAGATCCATTTCTCTTCCCTTCTTATAAAGACATTGATGTGTTTTTTCTGACATGCCTCATGAACTCAGTCAATCACAAGTCTTTCTTAATGGAAACCACATGTCTGCCCAGAACTGTGTAATTATAATGCTAGGATTCTTGGCACTGCCAGGAAAAGGGGCATTGTCAAACCAATTAAAGTTTATTTACTTACATACCATTTCTGGATCAGAATGTTCTTTCTTTTATGCTGATGCTGAGAAAATATATATCTCATCAAGTTGTTGCAATTGTTTTTTTTGGACAGATTTACGTTTCTTACCAATTATATTCCTGGTTTTCAGTTCCTTTGCATGTAACTAAAAATTTCTTTAAAAAGACATCTGGGAACAGCATCATGAGATGTTCTGTAAATAAGACTTTGCACATTTCACACCAAAATTACTGTGCTTGTCTATTTTGCTGCTGAAGTGTAATTTTATAGGATTTATCTCCACTAAGGGGTATATTAAGAGCCCTGCTGTTTCTTTCTTTTTTTTTTTTTTTTTTTTTTTTTTTTTGAGACGGAGTCTTGCTCTGTTGCCCAGGCTAGAGTGCAATGGAGCAATCTCGGCTCACTGCAACCTCCGCCTCCTGGGCTCAAGCGATTCTCCTGCCTTAGCCTTCCAAGTAGCCGGGATTACAGGTGCACGCTGCTACACCCAGCTAATTTTTTTGTATTTTAGTAGAGATGGGGTTTCACCTCCGCCTCCTGGGCTCAAGCGATTCTCCTGCCTTAGCCTTCCAAGTAGCCGGGATTACAGGTGCACGCTGCTACACCCAGCTAATTTTTTTGTATTTTAGTAGAGATGGGGTTTCACTGTGTTGCCCAGGCTGGTCTCAAATTCCTGAGCTCAGGCAATCCACCCACCTCAGCCTCCCAAAGTGCTAGGATTACAGGCATGAGCCACCATGCCTGGCCCTGTTTCTTTTAGACTTGTTAGGGATTGAGTGTGACCTACAAAGAGGTCTCTGGTTGGTATCTGGCACAACTACTGAATCGATGGATTATCAAGGGGGAAAAGTTTCTTAAAATCCTAGTGTTTTCCCTCTGAAAACAGGGATAAAAATTCTACTCACAGGCATAGCAATGGTGATGAGAAATACCATGATTAGTAGAGAAAATAGTGGAATAAATATTTGGAGTTAGACATCAACTACTCAAAGGGCAAGTCATTTCACTACTCTGAGCCTTCTTTTCTTGTCTGTAAAATGGAACTAACAATACTCATCCTATGAGTTCAAGGGATTGCTCCAAATGTAAAATGACATAAGGAGAAAGCACGTGTAAAGATTATCACTGCCAATCTCTCTGACTCTGTCCAGCCTTCCAAGTCTAAGTCGAGAACCAAGATCACAAACCAGCAAAAGCAAAACCAAGGAACAAACTTCATCTCAGATCATGGTCAGACCTAAAGGATTAAACAGACTGATGGAACATCTCAAATTCCAGTCCAACTGGGGAGGAAAGGGCAAGTCAAAATGTAAGTCTGTCCTAGGTAAATAGGCAGGCAGACAAGGAATTTGCAAATGCCTATGGTTGTCTCCGTCACTTTAAGCATTGTGGATAAATGACCCCAGTTATCATCACAGCAGGTGGGAAGATGGGTGAGTTACTTGGGTTCTCCTATCTCATTCTATGCTGGTTCCTGCACCTCAGCCAAACCCCCTCATGTGGTGGGTTAATCATTCCCCTTCCTGCAGGTGGGTGCGTCTCAGAAGGAGAACAACATGAGCTACATCTCTATCCCACCAACTTAAATAACTGTGAGATTCCTCTTTAACTTCCCCACCCAGGAAAGACAAAGGGGAAACTCCAACAATATGAATAGACCAAAGAACACTCTAATTTTCTATAAGTACAATGAGCGATCTGATTCCAGATATTATTTGGGTACTGTGTACAGTGGCTTTGCCCAAACCCAGCAAGCAAGCCAACCTCAGCCTCTTTTAACTCTTGATCTTAGAGTCAAGGGGCCTTTCAACTTACAAAATCCACTAAGTCTAAATGTGTCTTGTTAAAGGGAGCTGTGAAAACACAACATAAGCAAGAGTGACACAACCTGCGGAGCTGTCACCTGACATCATAATCTACTAATGACAACTCTGGAACATCCCTTGCACGCCTTTTGAGTAAAGTATAATATTTCTTGGAACTCTACGCCTAAGATTTTGCCTGGCTTTAACACTTATAATCATATGAGCCAGAAGTCTCATAACGAGAGTGACTGATCTTGCATTACCATTTTACATTTTATCATTGGAATGGTTATTTTATCAGAAATTCATTTCAACCTCAAAATCCCAAACATGTCATTACATTAAGAGATCCAGTAGGGCAAAAAACACAGTTTTGCTCAAACTAATATGGCAGAAAATTCATGGATGACTTTTTGCATTAGGCAAGAATTCTTCACTCTTGACAATGCCAAACAACAAAGTTCTCTAAGTTCATTTTGATTATCAAAAATTTATTCTGAATTTAACACTTCAGAAATGAATCAGTGACATGAGAGTCACACTTTCAGACTCCAGCAATACACAGAGAAAGCACTGATCCCTCTGACGAGTTCTCAGCTATCAATCAAGAGAAGCCAGGGCCTTCTAATTGGTTACCCTCTGCTTTGCCCAATAAGGCATCCACTTATATCCTGGTCAAGCTTTGAGGAAAACTCATCTTCTGTCTCAGAGTTCATTTCCTCCTTGATGGGAGAATTTGGGGAATAGGAGTAAGTAGTAGAAAATTGGAGAAAGAGCATGCCAGGTGCTACCCCAGATTTTCCTTTTTCTACTTCTCCCCAATAACACATTGTCCTTGGATTCTTACTAGTGGCATAAAATCACCTGAACCTAAGTATTGGTGGTGTCTTCATGATACAGTCATATTTTATTTAACAAGGCACAATGGTTTCATGTGGAATAGTCACTGCAGGGGAAACTTTTAGGCACAGTAGCAGATCAATGCTAGGGGGACGCTCATATGCTTGGCTTAGAACTGCTGTGAATTCAGCAGCAAATGCACAGGTGTCAGGATTCGGTGACTATATAATCTCCAAGGCTCTTCTGAGTCCTGAGTCTAAAAAGCTAAATAATCTTCCAGTGCAAGAGAGGCTCTTGACACCCCTCAGTGTGGTGTTGAGGAAAAAGCCCCGAACAGGGCATCCTGTGGAGAGCAGAATGACTCCAGGATCTGCCATTTGTTAAGCTCTGTGAGCTTGGATATATGCCTTACCCTCTCCGACCTTCTTACAGGGTCATTGTAAGGATTAACTGGATGATTTAAGAAAGAACCCAGCACCCTGCCTGGCACAGGATCACTGCATGATAAAAATCTCAGTTCCTTCTTTCTTCATATCACAGTGCACTCTGTGCTACTCCACCTATGGGGAGGGTGGCCCTTGCCTGAAACGATGAGCTAAGAAAGATGATCTCATCTTCGGTCACAGACTCGCAATGCAATTTTATCACATGACGTGCAGAGCCCCCCAAAACATATTAGTGAAACCTACTAGATTCCAGAGGTGCAATAACGGTGTCAAGTGCTGCATGAAGAGGACTTAGACTCCCTGAGGATCTCGGCCCTGTTTCTAGCTGTCTGGCCTCCAGCCTAGGAGAATACAAACAGCTATAACAGATTCTGGGCCCCAAATCCAACTTTAATTTACTGGTGACCTCATGGCTTTCAGGAGCATTACACAGGACTTATCTGGAATTCACTCTTTCCAACACCCTTTCTTTTATTAGAGAAATCTGATGATCATGCTGATTTATCAGATCTTTTTATCTAGAAAGGAATTTTTCTGGAAGTACTTAGTGTTGTTTTAACCAGATCAACAAACATGTCCGGGACTTTATAAATAACTTGTAAGCATGTAATGTCTTAATATACTTCCTGGGTAAATTAGTGATGGCTTTGCTACAATTTTCTCTAATTTTTATGAAATTTTTAACTAACTCTCACTTTATAAGTTAACCATAAAGATTGTTGTCTAGATTTGGACAGTTGTGATTTCTGTCTTTTACCCAGAAGTAAGGGGCAAAGGATATTGTTTCACTTTCTTCAAATTTGGTTTCTGAAAGTAACTTTAAAATGTGAGCTTATTCTAAATTACTTAATTCAGTTCTGGGTGTACATTTCTAAGGTTGTGGGGAGGCCAAAGACATGTAGTATTGGTGGAAAGTGAGGCGAATCTTAACACAATTTCTTGAAAACACTTAATATTTAGTAAAAATCCACTTAAGCAGCCTTACAGGAACTGGACACTTCTACCATTTATTACTGAGTTTCTAGTTTAAAGACAACAAATGCAAGGAATTATGATACTCAAGCCCATTCCTAATAAAAGAAGGCTCACATCTTACGTGTCTAAATATTTAAAAGCTATAAAACAAGCTAGCAAACTTTTAAATGAAATATGTTATACCTCCTGTCTTGACAAATACTTCTTTATAACAACCTGGAAAGCCAACTTCGATTGTAGAATTTTCAGTTCTTCAATGTTCCTCTCAAGTAGTCAGTGGCATAGGGAGGCCAGCCCCAACTACACCCCATCCTCTTCTCTTTCCACCTCTGGCTCTGATCCAAATCTCAAGGATCAGAACACAGCACACGTATGAACACAGCAGTGCTCACATCCAATCTCCCTCCTCATCCTCCACAAAAGCCCTTTGTCTACTCCTCAAGACTCAGGGTGCACACATGAGTACACCCTGCAGAACCAAGCCTTGAAAGTGAACTCAGGGCCTTTGGAGCAGTGAATTCCTGGGTCCCAAGAACGCTGAGCAACATCTTACAAGAGTGGGCAGTTTCCAGGTGGCCCCAGGGGTCTCTCACTCCCTGAGGAGAGCCAGACTGGGACCCTCTAAAGAGCAGAGGCCAGGCGGAGGACCCTTGAACTGGGTCTGTGAGCAGTGCTGGACATTCAGCCCCATTCCGAATAAATACTTCACATTCTACGTAGCTAAGTATTAAATATTTTGCAGTTTCCAGTTATCTAAAAATTGCTAATCCACATACATAGAGTTGTTTATCCTCCGTCTACTCCTCAATTCCCCAAAATCCAGATTCTACCCTCAATGCATAAATTAAGCTGCTTTAAATTCACCAATGATGCCCATTCTGCCAAATCCAACTGACTCCCTATAGCTCTTTTCTTCCCATTACTTCTTTCTGGGTCTTGTTGAATCCATTCCTGATTTTCACTGGTGCTTGTCCTTACGCCATGCAAATTTATTCTCCAAACTAACACAATAGTAGTTAATGAATGAAGCACATGTAACATGTCATCCCTCTTGTAAAACCCTCCAGTGGATCCCTGTGGCCCAAAGGAAGAAGTCCAAGCCTCCCAGACACAGGCCTTTGCTAGCTCTACAGCAGGCTCTCCCTCTACTCCTTACCTCAACGCTCATGTTCTTGCAGCGTCAAAGCACTCCTCACATCATTTTTGCATTCAACAGGAATTTACCAGATACCCACTATGTGCCCCCTCAAGGAATGTTTTATACCTTTGCATATGTTGTTCTCTCTACTGTAAATGGCCCTGTCCTGCCACCATTTCCTTCCCCTCCCCTGCTACCTCCTCCTCATTCTGAAAGGCTCAATTCAGGACACTGACCTCCTCTAGGAAATCTTCCATCATATTACCTCCCATCAATTAGGACAGCCATTCCTTTTTTCCATGCTCCCAATGTCTCCTCCTTGCATCGCTTTCACTATACTCTATCTTATTAAATTTTAATGAAGTCCTCCACCCCCAAATTATGAGCTTCTTCTGGCCAGTCTTTTCTGTATTTGTTTTCCAGAGCCAAACACCCCATGTGTGATTGCAGAATGAACTAAACCCAATCTGTCTTGCTTTCTGCTCAGATGCAACCTCCTCGACAAGGCTTTCCTCCACCCTTCTCTAAAACTGCCCCTACTCCGCAAGCTCTAGCCCCTAACCCTGCCTTATTTTCCTTTACGACACTAACTACCTGAGATTATAGCATATATTTATTTCTCTTCCACATCGAGGATGAGAGTTCCACAAGGCCAGGGACTTTGTTCCCACTATTGACTGCCTGAATCCACAGAATCTGGAATAGACAGGTATTCGATACATAACGTTGAATAAGCAAATGAATGCACTAAGTGTCTGAACTACTTCAGCTTCCGAAAACTTCAATCATTTGTCTATCATTTTACCAACCCACCTACCGCCCTTATTGTCATTTACTTAATAACTTTTCTTTAAATTGACTAGCTATTTTCAGCAAAATTATTCTAAAAGGAAACTATATGTAGAAAACCATTCAACTGAAGGGAAGCACAAAAGTAGGCATATAATTATTAAATTCAAAATGCCTGTGTATCTCCTGAAATCATCTCACAGGCCAGCACCGGTGCTTTTACTGGTAGCTTACCACACTTTGGGAAGTGCTATTGACTTGATCAAACAGATCTTTGATTCCCCAACTGTGCCGGATCGCGATGTATATTATGTATGCTTTTCACCTAGTACTGAAAAATACCCACAACCTGAAGAGTTTAGTGCCTACACCCAAAGCATTTCTCTGTCATGGAAGCTTCAAAGGTTCAGTCCGAATACCACACTTCTCAAATTGCAGTGAATGAACCTCAAGCACACACAAGAGTTTTTGTGTTTCATTTTCTCTTTGAAAGAAAAAAAAAAATCTGACAGAAAAAGAAACAGAATGAAAGCCATATTGATGGCTCTTACCCAGAGACTCCACTCTGGGATGAAGCTATGCTGCAGCCTGAAACACTGGCAATTCCTAAGAGTGTATAATGCCCCAAAAACAGAAAATGTGACCAATAGTTGTTCCAAGCAACGGAGACATAACTTCAAAAGCATTAGTACTTATAATTAGTTTCCATAAAAATCCCAAATTTTCTTCACTTCAACCAAGACAGGTTTCTTCTTTAAGACAAACTACTTTCGAATAAGTTGTTAAGTCTTTTAGAGAACTCCTTACATCCAGTTAAAGGATCTGTCTTCAAATCTTTTTCTCTCTCTTGGCTAAGCGGGAACATGAGATGTTTTCAGTTAGAGAACAGAAAGCTTTCCAAGCATTTGTGAGAAATTGGTGGGTTTTGCCTCTTAAAATGCTGTAACTATACACAAATATTTTAAATCTATTCCAAGTGGCAAGTTTTCAGGATTATAAACAGAGAACTGATCAGTGTGTTCCAATGTTGACATGGTAAAAATGAAAACTAAGTTCAGCAGTTGCTGATGGTCTCAAAATTATGCTATCCACTGATCCGTAGTGTATTTTTTTCTTTCTTCTTTGAAATGAAGCACAAAGATTCAATAAGAAATAAAAACCTACTGACATTTTAACGAAGCCTCTATCCACCATTACAGACAGACATACATATAGAAAAATAAGCATTAAAACTTTATTGTAAGAATAATGGTATCCAACTCTTTTCCTACTGTTCACTTTTTCTGCTGTTTTGCTACAGAAAGCTGTTGATACATCCATCACTGGCATTTTTGAGAGACAGTATTGTGTGGAGCAGCAGTTCTCAAATGTGCTCCTGCAGAAATCTGAATGTCTCTGAGTCTCTTTTATGGGCCATGGGGTGAAAACTATTTTCCTTATAATACTACTGACCTGACATTTGTGCTGAAGGTGCAAAAGCAATGATAGATGAAGCAATTCATGCCTTGTGAAAATCATGGCAATCATGCCAAACCGTACTCACTAATCATTGTATTCTTCTCCATCACACACTTGCAGTACAGACACACACACACACAAACACAAAGCATCAAAGCCACTTCATTTAAGAATGTTGTTGAAGTAATAAAACTACTAATTTTATTAAACTTTTTTAAATATTAAATTTTATTAAATCTTGACCCTCCTTACATCTTCGTAGTATTCTTTGAGATAAAATGATAAAATGAGTAATACAGATAAAGCTTTTCACTGCATACCAAAAAGTACAATGGTCATGTCCAGATAAAGCATTTGTGCAACTGTCTGAGTTGCAAGCTGAAGTAGTTATTTTCTGTTTTGTTTTGATTTTTCCATAGAACAGCATTTTTACTTGAAAATACAACTGACAAACTATGGCTTTTCAAACTTGTGTATTGCAAACATTTTCTCAAAAAGTAAGACTGTCACTTCAAAGAAAACTATTGACAGCAGGTGTTGCCAATAATAAAATTCACCTTTCAAGTAAAAATTAGAATTTTGGAAAACCTGGGTCCACAACTATGAGATTGGCAGCTCTCCAATACCTTTTCTGATGAGATCAATGGTGATATTAATGAACATAAATCGTTGATATTGTCTAACAAAGTATGTCACATAACTCAATGAACATAACTCAGTGAACCAATATTTTTCAAATGACCAATGAGTGATGTTACAAAATGATGATGGGTAAAAGACCTATTCATAGTGAAAGATATACCAATGTATTTTAATGTAAGGAGTTAAAAAATTCATTGATATTGTTTCAGGTATCACACAACTAACTTTTGAGAAACTTGTTAAGTTTTGGTGTGGTATCAAAGAAGAATAGTCACAGCTATCTGAAAAATAACAATTAAAATACTCCTCTTTTTTTCCAACTATATATATTTATGAAGCTGGGTTTCCTTCATATACTTTAATCAAAATGACATCCAGGAACAGAATGTAGAAGCAAATATGAGAATACTGTATTCTATTAAAAGTCAGACAATGTAAAAATGTAAAACCATGCCATTCTTCTAACTAAATGTTTTTGTTTCAGAACATGGAGTTATTTTATCATTATAAACTGTGTTTATGTTAACATGTGATGGGGTTGCTATTGTTATTTTTAAATGAGTAAGAAAGAAATTTTTTTTAATTTCTCATTTTAATTTATAAGACAGTAAATATGGATAGACATAAGCCACATCCACAAAATTTCTTTAAATCTTCAACAATTTTTAAAAGTGTAAAGGAGTCTGAGGCCAAAAGATTTCAAAATCACTGGTCTAGCATTGAAGAGACTGGAATCTGTAGTTAAGAAAGATCCACAAATTATGACTCAACCATTCACTGACTGTGTGACCCCTGGTGCAAATCATTTCATCCCTCTGAGCCTCAGTTTGCTTATCTGTAAAAGAAACGATATTCCCCCACCTCACAAGGCTGTTATGAGTCCTTAACACATACTAACCCCCTCTAATAATTGCTAGCTTCTGATATTACCTTCATCTTGTCCTTTTTGGCCAACTTATTAAGTTGACACTAAAGTTGTTTAGATTTTTAAGGAGAGGATAAAGTGCCCTCCCCAAAACAGATGAAGGTTCCTCCTCTCAGGGGCTATAGGACCACATAGCTGTTAAGCCTGAGTCACAGTTCACCACAATATTGTTTGATACAGTGATTTCACCAGGGCTTAGTTAATCTCCTTACCAACCTGTTCCTCAGGAGAGTGGGAGCTAAACATGGGAGAAAATTCTATCATTTCCTGAGGCCACCAAAGTATTTTTCATTATCACCCGTGTGTGTGTGTTTGTGTGTGTGTGTGCCTGCGTGCACGCATGTGTGTATGTGTTTAAGCTATGGTGGGTGCTCAGAGTAGCATAAAACCAATTACTTCTAATTCAATTTTGTAATGGTTGCAGGGTTCCAATACAGTTGTTGTACATAATCTCTGAAACTTTTTGCCATGATCTTAGGGAAAGACAACAGCCCAGTAGAATAAGGTGAGAAATAAAAGAAACCACCCTCCCCCAAGCCTTTTTTTTTTTTTTTTCATTTTCCATTTACTCTTCAAGTCCTGTGGGATAGGTACACAAAGTACAAAAATAATCATTTCTCAATTTTCCCCTATTACTTTTTCCATAATTTGAAAACATAAAGCTCTTTCCACTGGCTGCCTTTCTAATTCTCCTTTCTATTCCTATTCCAGTGCAAAAGTATTTTGCCAATGAAAGTGCTATAAACAGCCATGCCCTCACTGAAAAAGGCAATATGCCGTTAGCCTGACATATACCTCGCTTTTCCGCTCATTGTCAACACAGTGATTGATGGTGTAGTTCATTAATGTGAGACGATTGTCAGCTTTTCCTGAATAAATATAAAAAGAAACAAAGAAATCTCCACCCTTTTCAAGCCAGAGTGAATTATTTCCTATTTTCCAGGCTTATGTTTAAAAATCCATAGGGCATTCATCTTACAGTAAATAATGAACATACCCTTTAATGGAAGAAATTTTAGTTTGAGTTCAAGGCTGACATAGTTTTTATATATATAGAAAAGGAGGAAGGAGTGCTATTCAAAGGATGAAGCCATATAGGCACCTAAAATTGTACTTGAAAGCAGTACTTCATCTTTAGTATACATAGTCATGTAAAATGTAAGAAATTATCACCTTTGGAAATCTGTAAAGTAAAAAGGATCTGTCATGTGCTAAACTAAAATGTAACAAGAATCATAAGGAAAGAAAGCAATAGAGTGGATGGAGAGCTAGAGGACTAATTTGCAGCTGTGTAGGAAAGTTGATTAAAATCGGTGCACATCAAAAGGAAGTTTTGTGAAAATAATCAAAACAGATTTTCCTTTCGATCACTCTTTACTCATGATGCAAGTTTGGGATGCTTCTACTGCCAGATACATTTATATATATAAGCTCAAGAAAGGTAAGATCTTGGTTCCATTTGCCCTTTTATCAAGGGTTATTGCTGCTGTGACTTTTCTCTGCACTGGCATCTTTATCTTTCTGTCTGTTTGAACTGCTTTAATTGGCTCTTTGCTAACTCTGTTAGTCACAAGATCAACAAACATCACTGGGTGTGTCTTGCTTTTAGCTTTGGTGTACAAAAAGCAACAGCCGAAACAAAAACATCCCCATACATATGGCACCCACAAGCTGATGAACATGCAGTGTCTCACTCTGGGCATTCTGTTCCTGTACAGATTTTCTTGGGTGGTAATGTGCTAATGACAATAATAATTTATTCTGAAGATGTGCTAAATTTCTTGAGTTGAATTGTGAAGTATTTTGAATACCACTAGAAGGCACAGGAAACACAACTGCAGGAAAAAAAAAAAAAAACTGGCATTCTGCCACCACTTGAAGATTTAATCTGATTGTAATAGAAGGTGATTATTGAGGACTAACCAGAAGACCTTGGATGATTTCCTCTTAAAATGACAGCTTGCCTGTGTATTGTGCATTCTTAGAGCACATATGCACGGATCTGTTTTCAGAATGTTCTAATTCTTAGCAATATAGGCAGAGGGACTCAAAGCGTGACAACAGCTTACATTCATTGAGGACTGAGCACATGCCCACAAGCCATGTGCTCAAACTTCATGAATCTCACCTGGCTCAATCCACACTTCAGCTCTAGTAGGTGTGATCTATCACTGCTCCCGTTCTAAAGATGAGGAAGATGGAGCTAAGATTACACAAGTGGCTCCTTTGAGATCATGGATGAGTAAGTGGTGTAGTCAGGGTTCTCACCCAGCCCTGCCTGACTGCAAAGCCAGAACTGTGAGACACTAAAATGTTGGGAGAATTTCTATCAAGGAAAATGGCAATCATCATTTGGCTTTAAAATGCTTCTCAGTGGGCTGGGCACAGTGCCTCACAGCTGAAATCCCAGCACATTGGGAGGCCAAGGTGGGCGGATCACTTGAAGTTGGAAGTTTGAGACCAGCCTGGGCAACATGGTGAAACCCCGTCTCTACTAAAAATACAAAAATTAGCCAGGCATGGTGGCAGGTGCCTGTAATCCCAGCTACTTAGGAGGCTGAGGCAGGAGAATCACTTGAACCCAAAGGCAGAGGTTGCAGTGATCCAAGATCACACCACTGCTCTCCCGCCTGGGTGACAAGAGCGAGACTCCATCTCCAAAAAAAAAAAAAAAAACTGCTTCTCAGTGATATCAAATTTGAGGTCTCATTTCCTCCTCACTCTGACTATATTAAGTCAGCAAAGCACATACTATTATGTTCCTTTTACAGATAAGAAAAACAAAGTCCAGGGAGGCTACAGGACTATCTTAAGGTTCAACAGCTCTGACTTACAGGACCTGGGACCAGAATTCGGGTCTTTCCAGAACACTATCATTTTGCTATAAAGTAGCAAACCAAAAAGACAGAGAGGTAGTAGGTAGGTAGGTAGGTAGGTAGGTAGGTAGGTAGATAATCAAAGTCTTTCAGAGTCACTGAGTAGAAAGGTAGTTATTGCTGCCATATTTCAATTTACAACTGCTTAGCTTGTTCTATAATGAATTCCATGTTTCCCTACTAGCTGCCAAGTAGGGAACTGTGCTCTGGAAGTCTCTGCATCCACTGAATGTCACATTATCTCAATAGCTTCAGGTGATAAGATCCTGGATTCTTCATGGTGAAGGAAGGCTAAGAGTCTTGATAAGCTTGAGGTGGAAGTGGCAATGCTGCTTGAAATTTACAGCCAGACTTACCATCATGGGAAACTCTTCCTGTAAGAAGCCAGCCAGCAATATATCTGCCCATACTTCTCAAACAGTCATAGCAACACTCCCAGCATGTCACGGAATAATAAAAACCAGTTGTGAGGAATGGAGAATTTTAGAGAGAGAAAAGTGCCCTTCAACAAACTCTAGGCTTTACACGTTACCATGACCCAAAGACTGCAATAGAAAAGTTCCCATGGCTTAACAGCAAATTTAGATGGACAAGCTTTCTGGAATCTGCCGGGGCTAGACCTTGACATTCATCCAGAACATCCCACAAGGGAGGAAACAACCCACAAGAGCAGTAAATTTCTTAATCAAATCTCAAAAGTGCCCCCAATTAATAACACTACTCACTTTTAGGATTTTAATACCAGAGAATGAAGCTCCACCTACTACTGCTTTGACTACAAGAACTCAACTCACAGTAGTTCACAAAGTATGTGGTCTTCCCCTAAATATTGTCAGTAAGGGAGAGTGTATGCACTTTTGCTTCTTAAAGATGTGTTGAGTTGTGGGCCAATGAGAATATAATGAACCAACACTGATAATGTACATAGAATGAATTTATTCTGTATTCCAAGGGACTCTTCCTATTTTCTCCCCAGCAAATTGAAAATGATATTTGTAACCTGATTTTAAAGCACTCTGAGTGTGCATTTCTCAGAGCTATTAACTGAGTTTGGATAGCGTTTTATATTTCTTTCCTGTACATTTATTATAGGACATCCAGGAGGGGGAAGAAATTAAAGATCATGAAATATCAGAGTTGTACATGCTTTTGTCTTTTCTGCATAAAAAAAACCAGAATATCAACTTTTGAAAGAAGACAAAAAATTATGATGATAGAATGCAGTGGTTCCTTAATCTTTTATGGCAGTGGACCCTTCTGAGAATTTGATAAAAGCCTCTCCCTAGGAAACTGCCTATGACTTAATAAAAAATGTTACAGCAATTTTAGAAGTTTCACTGCCCTACCCCTGAAATCTAGTCTTAAATTGCCTATAGGTTAAGCTATAGGTTAAGAATCCCTGAATTATAATATTCCCAACACCATAAAAAATCAGTTCACCTAATTGACTTTTCCTGTGTACTAACAGAATCATAGCTCATGTTTTGCTATGGCAAATTCAGTGGCTATTTAAATTTTACTGGAATCTAAACTTCCTGACCTCTCTCATCCTCTCTTCTTCCTTGGATGCATTACTCAGTTTATGGATAACGGTATAGAGGAGAATTCAATTAGAAACTCTGTCTAGAAGGCTGTTTTTGCATCTCTGCCACTTAAAACGCAGACCTTCAGAGAGGGGTTTCCCCATCAAGAGAAAACTGCATGTGTTCCCAGGACAATCAAACTGAAAGAGTTACACTTCCAAAAGATAACTGGGGCTGAAAAGGAAGGCCAGCTCTTTGGGGAGCTGGGTGATATCACAAATAATTAAGTGATAATTTCCACTGGAGTATTTAGTGGGGATGACACCATGAGTCCTTCACCCTTATCCCAGAGTGGTGGCCACTCTGTCCATTTTTACAATCTAATTTTACAATAGGTTAACTCTGGAAAGGCTAGATGGTAAAGAGGCTATAGGGGGCATATGAGTGGAACTGACCAATTTGGTCATTAGTGAGTGTGGCACTTTTATTCCTCTCTTAGAGAAGTCAAGAACCATAATCACCAAATCACAAAGCAACGTGGGAATCCGTTTCAGGTAATCCCATCTTTGACACCACCCAGAAATTAGGTTTGTAATTTCACAAACTCATATAACCAATCATAGCCATGTTAAAAAAAAAAAAAAAAAAAAAAAAAAAAAGCCTGGGAATCTCTTGGGTTCTCACTAATGATGAAATTTAAACACAGAATTGATTGGTCAGACCACACTTAATTATACCCAACTATACCCAAAAATACTCAAAACATAAAAAGTTTGGTCCATAAATAAAGCAGGAGAACAACTCCAATTTCTATTCTCTGTTAACAGAAGGTTTCTGTCTAACTTGTTCTTTTCCTTATGAAGCTGTAGAAATGAGTCTGGCTTGAAGAATTCTATTTTTAAAAACTCTTCCTATTTACATATGCTTTACTTCTCAAAAGAATGTCACCTTCCTATTAATGCAACACTTAACAAAGGCAATGTCAGAAATGTACCGTTGGTGGGGGCTTTGTTTCTCATTTGCCATTTTTTGATTGGAATCTGTGATAATTCATGTGTCCTCATTGTGAGACAACTAAAAATTATCATTGTCAATACAGTTTCCTAACAATCCCAGAACCCAGGCAATTAGTTATAAATAAGTCATTGTTGGCAAAATAAAGAATGTCATCTAATGTCTCAGATGAATTAAAGGAACAGCTGGGAAAGGAAAGGAAGAAGCACAGAGAGAGAAAAAAAGGGGACACAGACTTCTTTATGGGGTCCCAGTAAAAGGAAAAACTTTATATGCCTAAATAAAGACACCAAAAAAAATAAACATGCTTGAGAAGTCATTATCCAATACACTTTTAAGCCAAATCCTAAAAACAGCTTTTCTGGAATGCTTTTGGATGACTGTTTATATGTTAAAATCAACATTTAAATTGTGCTACAAAGCTTATTGTGTACTACATAAGCAGTTCTAAGACCTCTAGAACAACATAGCTTTGGGTCTAATCCACTGAAAACACACTCTGTGCACATGAAAATTTGGTTCGCTCTGGTTGGGAAAAAGTGAGGAATGTGCTTGCCTCCAAATTAGAAGAGGGTCAAGAAAGCATTTAAAAAATATATTCCTCCATGAATGACCAAGTAGCCAGGGCCCCTTCGTGCACCTGAGAGATTTGCCAGCCAAGATGCAGATCAATTCCTGAAAGAAGCATTCATACCTTAAATATGCATTTATTCTCTCCCCCTCCACCAAAATGCACAGTTCCAATTTTTTTTTTCAAAAATAGGAGTTCAGAAATGAGGGGTGTTAGAAACACATAAGTTCTATTTGTTTAAACCAAAGTTAAGTATCATGAGATATGAAGGAAAGAAAAATCTTAGCAACCAGATAGATCCCAGTCACCCAACAAATGTTAAAATTGATTTTACAAGTTATTTTCTCCAAATTGGAAAGCAGCTTTCTACCATAGCATACCAAGTGAACAATGATCCATTTAATCATGATGTGGGAGATAGATTTTATTTGCTAGCATGTAAGAGCTGCTTCAGGTTCACTACTCTTCAATACTATTTCACCTAACAGTCTGAACAACTCATCATGGTTCCATGTGTAAGAATAAGAGATTATTTCTATTGAAACAAGTGGTACCAAAAAAAAGTAAAATAAAATGAGATCACTAGAAGTTTAAGAAGTCAAACTTTTGACCCAGGAATTCCATGTCTAGAAATCTATTCTAAGATTGTAATCAGAGCAACAGTTGAAGATTTATATTCAAAGGTGTTCATCACATGATATTTATAACCATGAAAAACTGGAAATAACTAAAATATCCAATAGCGAGGATCTTTTTAAAAATCACACACACACACACTTTAGTTAACAAACAGATGAGGAGACTGATATGAAAGAAAATAAAAGAAAAAGAGAAAATACACCTCAAATGCATTTATCTGGGAGTTGGTGTGAATAAATCATTTTGGTCTCCTTTTTAAACGTTTTCTTTTCTTTTTCTTTTCTTTTTTTTTTTTTTTAAGACAGAGTCTTGCTCTGTTATGAAGGCAGGCTGGACAGCAGTGGCACAATCTGGACTCACTGCAGCCTCAGCCTCCTGGGCTTCAACGATTCTCCCGCCTCAGCCTCCCAAGTAGTTGGGATTCTAGGTATGCACCACCACGCCCGGCTAATTTTTTTGTTGTTGTTGTATTTTTAGTAGAGACAAGGTTTCACCATGTTGACCAGGCTGGTCTCAAACTCCTGACCTGACGTGATTCGCCCACCTTGGCCTCCCAAAGTGCTGGGATTACAGGTGTGAGCCACCGCGCCCAGCCTAAACATTTTCATATTTTCCAAGTCCTCTATAACAAGTAATATTAGCAAAGGGACACTTTAAAAATGTCAAAATGGCTTTTATCAGTTTAAATTCTAATTAACATTATCTCTTTTAGACTCAAGGAATGTAAGATGCTGGAAGTAGGAGGTGATTTTGACCTTGGCCAGGGGGAAGCTCAGCCAGTGGAAAGCTCTCCCAGCCTCATGCTCTCCTCAACTACAGGAGCTCTGCTTTTATTTACTTTAATTATATTTTTAACTTGATGTCAAGCCAAGCCCTTTTTAATTTATGAAGGAGAAAACCCCCCAGAAAAGTTAGAAGTCTTGCCTAAAGTCACACAGCTTGTTAGTTGAAGATCTCATATTAAAACTCAGATGTCTTCATTCAGATAATCCTGTGTCCACTTTGTGGTTCTGTCTGTCCAACAAAGAGCGCATGTTTTCTGTTAATTGTTTTATAGTGTTAAGAGACCCACACAGAACTACCCAAATTGTCTTGCACAGTATTTCCTCCTTCAAAACCTACCCTCAACCTCGTGATTGTGTGGAACTTGACAAAAGAGCCTCGTTTAAGAAATGCCACTAGAAGCCAGTTAACAATAAAATATCACACTTTCTTTACTATGCCAGCCCTGGTCTTAAAGTATCTTTGTAAATGATCATGTCTCCTTAAACTTTAGAGTGAGAATTCATACTATGAATACGAAAAAGATGGCAGACTTACTGAGGACAACTTCCTGTTATCCAGGAGATAACTATTTTAGACATCACACAAAAAACAAGCAAAAAAAATTAGCTGGGCACGGTGGTGCACACCTGTAGTCCCAGCTACTCAGGAGGCTGAGGCAGGAGAGTCCCTTGAGCCAAGGAAGTCCAGGCTGCAGTGAGCTGAGATCTGCACTCCAGCCTGGGCAAGAGAGCAAGACCCCATCTCAAAAAAAAAAAAAAAGCAAAAATAAATTAAAGATGATATAGTACGTGATATTAGCATAGCTGACACTTGTTTTTTCATGCAAAAGAAACGTGGAAAACCTCAAAATTATTTCATTTTATCTCTGCATAATTTGTGGTTAGATTTTGAAAGTGCATCAGAACTTACTCCCTTTGCAATTATGTATGACTTACTCAAAATCTAAAATTCAGGCAATCCTCAAAATATTAACCATTGTACCAAAATACCAAATACAGGCTTGACACTTAAGTACTAAGCTAATGCTGAAATCATATTTGAATGATGATGCCAGGTGAGCATGAAAGTATACAGCCCGAAAGAGTAAAGTCTAATTATTGAAACAAAAGACAGAAGTTATGCTAAGTCATGGGCAAATTTTCAATAAGGTATCTGACCAAAAAAAGTCACGATATCCTCGCAGATGAGATGGAGATGAGTAGGAGGGTGGACAGACACAGACAGAGGAATGTAGTTTGCAGAATTCTGATCTGGATAAATAACCTTACCTACAGAGGTTACCAAAAGCTCTATGGGCAAATGCAAAACCAATTTCTGCTCTTGCAACACCTTCAGTATATTACCTGTCCACTATTTACACAATTGCTTCTTCTGTGTTCTATTGTTCCAAAAATTATTTATCTTTTTGCAAACAAAGAGGAAATGGTCTATGCTAGGTTTAAAACCCCGGAAAATACTCCCCCCCAGAAGCATGACTAGTTTGCATCTTTTGGACAGCTAAGATCAAAGTGATTTAAAATGTTTATTTTTAAAGTAAACCATTTATACTGATCTTTGAAAAAGCTCTTTCGCCCTTTAAGAACTGTATTTGTCTCCACAACTCTTTTAGAGACATACTAAAGTCACACTACATTCAAGATGGCACCATCAGAATTGTCCTGCCTGATTTATCTGACACCATCTCAATGTCAGCTCCACAGGGAGTAGATCCAAAGGAGGGCAGGGAAACGCATAAGGCTGGACCTGTACAGCAAGAGCCTCCATGAGCCCCGTAACGAGATGATGTACGCCACAGGGCTCTTTAATTGAAAAAAGCTGCAAAGAAACAATACCAAGGGGAAATCATAAACAGTGTTTTTTGGGATCACTTAAGAAAGTAACCTTCGTGAATCTCCAACTTCTGTTTACAGAGAAGGAAGTTACAACTTAAAGTCCAGTTCCTTGCAAATTATAGACACACACCATAAAACAGTAGATACAAAATGCCACAAAGACTTTGCGGGGAGGGTGAGCCCTGCTCCCTTTCCTTTTCAAATCTGGAGTGTGATTTGAATTGCATCAGGGTCACCGTATCTGGAGGAGTTTTCCCAGCCGCCTAACTTTATTTCACATCTCAAGCACAACGCTTCTTTTATGAAAACCCAGCTTAAATATTAATGCGTGTTTTCTTAAGGAAGTTGAAGGCAAATCAACTTCCTGGTACCCAGGGTATCTGATTTCTAAAATGGTCTAACACTGATTGTCACAGCTCCGCCAGATGTGAAGGGTGAAGCTCTGTAAAAAACGGAAAGGCCAGCTTTCAGGCTCTCTGCTGTGCAGGTCCCACGCCTCCCTGAGCTGCATCCTCTGAGAGTATATTTTTGTTAGCTGGCTGCCGGAAGCCCTCAACTGCCCGAGTTGTTTTGCGATCCTATAAGGACCTTCCCAGCCCTGCTGTCAGCCCTGAAATTAAGAGTGTGTTTGTGTTGGTAAGTTTGGGGGGCTGGTTAAAATAATAAGTATTTTCATCAACATCGCTGTTTCAGCAGAATGGAAGCGGGTGGGGTACCAGAGCAGGGCTCCAAAGTTTGCTAAAAAGCCTATTTTGAGAAAACCTTTGTTCTAAATACTCTTGTTACCTCCTGCATCAAGAAACAATGTCTTTTGTTAGAACCCCCCCTTCTCTGACTGCTGCGTTTGTTTACTGACATTTTCAATACTGGGCAATACAAAGAGCATTTCCTCATATTAACTCCAAATGTCACAAAGAACAAAATCTGGTTCTAAAGAAGCCTGTCTAACCAGATAAGATGGGTTCTGCTAAGAAAAAATATAATGAAAATAAATCTTGCGCTTTAATGTGGCCCACATAGCCTTTGTGGAGCCTTTTCTTTGACTTTCTTGCTGTGTCATTCGGAAGCCACTTGGCTTTGCATCACTCTAACCAAGAGAGACCTTACTGCAATGACCCTGGTCTCTGCTTAGAAAATGCTGACATGTGGCCGGGTGCAGTGACTCACGCCTGTAATCCCAGCACTTTGGGAGGCCAAGGCAGGCGGATCACAAGGTCCAGAGTTCAAGACCAACCTGGCCAACATGGTGAAACCCCATCTCTACTAAAAATACATAAATTAGCTGGGTGTGGTGGCACGCGCCTGTAATCCCAGCTACTCGGGAGGCTGAGGCAGGAGAATGGCTTGAACCCAGGAGGCGGAGATTGCAGTGAGCTGAGATCGCGCCACTGCATTCTCGCCTGGCAACAGAGACAGACTCTGTCTCAAAAAAAAAAAAGAAAAAAGAAAAGAAAAGAAAAGAAAATGCTGACATGTGATTTGAAGAACATTTGGCTTCCATATTAGTTAAGAGTCTAATCATGGCCACTGCCATGGGCTGAATTGTGTCCCATTCCACTCCAAAATTCATATGTTGAAGTCCTAACCCCCAGTACCTCAGAATGTGACTGTATTTGGAGAGTCTTTTTTTTTTTCTTTTTTTAGACAGGGTCTCACTCTGTCACCCAGGCTGGATGGAGTGCAGTGGTGAGATCTCAGCTCACTGCATCCTCAACCTCCCAGGCTCAAGCAATCCTCTCACTTCAGCCTCCTGAGTAGCTGGGACTACAGGCAAGCCACTATGCTCTGCTAATTTTTGTACTTTTTTTTTGTAGAGTTTTGTAGAGAAAGGGTTTCGCCATGTTGGCCAGGTTGGTCTCAAACTCCTAGCCTCAGGCAATCCTCCCAACTTGGCAACCCAAAGTGCTGGAATTATAAGCATAAGCCACTGCACCCAGCCTTGGAGACAGGGTCTTTAAAGAGGTCATTAAAATTAAATAAGGTCATTGGGGTGGGCCTTAATCCAATATGACTGGTGTCCTTATAAGAGGAAGACATTAAAACACAGACATGCCCAGGGGAAGACCATGCAAAGGCACTGGAAGAAGACGGCGTCTACGAGCCAAGGAAAGAGGCCCTCAGAAGAAACCAACCCTAACAGCACTTTGATCTCAGACCTCTGGCCTCTAGAAGTGTGAGGAAATAGATTTCTGCTGTTTAGGCCACCTGGTCTGTGGTACTTTGTTATGGCAGCCCTGGCAAACCAGTGTGCCCATCATGCAACTGCTAAGCTTTAAATATATATTTATATTAAAGTCCTTTTTGAGCAGCCCTTCTAAGTTACCAGAGGATGATCCATAAGTAATATATGAATTTTCAAATTGGTTTATTCTGCGGATATTTGTGAAGCACCACGGCAAGCACAGGGAACAAGAAGGTCAGCAAAAGCAGACACAGGCCCTGCCCTCAGTGAGCTTACAGACTAAAGGAGGCAGGCATGAATCAAATAGTCTCCTAAGAGGACTCTAGGCATGTCTCTGAAGGACACAGGCCCAGTGTTATAAGAGTGAAAACAAAGAAGCCTGACAACTCAGGAACTCAGAGAGGCTTTCCTGGAAATAGCATCTGAAGGACGAGGAACACTTGAAGAGGCAGAGAGGCAAGGAAGGCACTCCAGGTAGAGGGGTCCAATTGCAGAAGGACCCCAAGGTACAGGGAGCATGAATGAGGCTGGAGGGCCCACAATGCTGTGCCTGAGATCCAGGCTGAGGCTGGTGAGGCAGAAGATCAGACCACTGGAGCCCTGTGGTGGTGCAGTGGAGACTGATCCAGATGGGTTCATCCAGTGGGAAACCAATAAGGACTTTAGCTTAACACCCCCACCCATCCCTATCGGCTGTACTAACACCTTGAGACTGATCCAAACTGAAGGCATAACACTCTCTGTCCCATGCACACCTATCCTTCCAGCTCACACTCCTCCCAAGCAAAGGTGTTCAATTTTAACACCACTTTTCAGCGCTCCAAAGAAGAGTTCCAACTTCTGGCTGAAAAAGTATGCCTCTCTCCTAAGCCAATCTAAAACAGTGGTAACCTGGATAGATATAAATATAGATCCAGATGTGAAATTTCCCAATTAGCCCACTCCTTTAAAGGGTAAGTTCCAAATTATTTTAAATTATAGTTACATCAACATTGGGCTTCCTAAGCACACAACATAAAATTGAGTTCTACAGAGAAAGGAACCATCTGTGAGAGTATCAACAGAAAGAGAAAGAAAGTCAACATTATCTTTTATTATTTCTTCTTCAAACTTTTAAAATTTCATGATCAGTGAATCTTACCACCTCAGCCTGACAGAAAAATAGATATTAAACTAAAGTTACATGGCAGGCAGAAGATTCCAAAGTATTATTTAATAGTGAAAACAGATCACGAAGGAGAAAATATAGAAAGCAAGCATGTTTCTCTAGTGACTATGTTACCATGTCCCCAAAATTAACAGAAATACGGAAGGCTTTGCCATGTTTTAATTAAAAAGAGCTATGTTTTAAATGATGCCAACTATAGGACATTATGCTAAATGCTTTCCAAAGTCTCACTTACTCCTCATGACACCCCTAACTAGAGTTATCCTAACTCCAGGAGTGTTATGAGGCACAAGTGAGAACAAGTAATCATCATTTTCATTTTATAGATGAAAAAGCAAGAGGAATCTAAGTGACTTGCCCAAAGTCACTATGGTGACAAGGTCTATTGCTGACCCCAAATATCTCTTTGCTCTTTCATATGAAGTTATAACATCCTCAATGTTTATTTGAGTACATGGCTGCCCATAATAAAAACTGTATTTCTCAAACTTCCTTAAAGCTAGGTAACCATGTGACCAATTCCTGGCCAATGAGATGAAAGCAGGGTGCTATCTGTAATATGCAAGCCGTATCATTAAGAGGAAGGGTCTGCCCTGCCCCTTTCCTTCCTCCATTCTGCTGCTAGGAATATTGCTGTAATGGCTACAGCTCCATCTTGGAGAACAGGGATGAGACCACCCTCTAGGGATGGCAGAAGAATATGCTAGAGGGAACCTGGCTGGAGGGCTTTGGGGGAAAGAGCTTCCACCTCAGGTCTAGGCTGCTTACTTCCAGGCTTAATTTATGTGAGAGTAATAAACTTCTGCCTTATTTAGGCCACTCTTGTTTTGTTTTGGGTAGGGCCAGAGGCTCCCTCACTTGCAGCCGAATCTAACTATGGCTGATGCAGTCACCTAAAGAAAGGCATGGAACACTGAGCAAATGATTTAATCTCTCTCAATTTTCTAATCCGTGAAAGAGGATGAGTAAAACCTACCTCAGAGTATTGCATGAATTAAATGTAATAGGATGTAACTTTAATATGTAGCACAGTCCCTGGCATATCATAAACCCTCAATGTCAGCTACTGCCACTAAGTTCCTCGCACAACAGAACTCATGGTGAACTCCCACTAAATGGATGAATTTCACTGTATTCCCTGCAACAACCAGGAAGCTCCAACATCCAGCTATACTTAAGGTTGAGGGCCTCATAACTGACACTCTTGGAAGCTGCAGGAACTCAGCTTGGAGCTGATCTTGAAGCAACTTCTAGAGATAAGGTGAGCGTGGCTGAAGTGAAGCCAAATACCTGGAGGACCTGAACCTCAGGCTGGGAAGTTGTCTTGGGCCGGGCTGTTCTCTTCAGGATGCCTGTCTGCTGCCACCTCCATTTCCAAAGAATGCCTCCCCATGCCAGGCCAGACCTCTGCTCCTTAACTTCAGGAACACTGAGACTATTTAAACTTCAGTGGGTTTTCTCCCCATCCCACCAAAGCCCACATGAAGAACACACATTATTCTGTAAGCACTGGGGACAGTGGCTATACGGTCCGCATCTTTGTGTCCAACCACCTGGAGTTGTGCTCTAAGAACTTGTACACATTTAAACGAGTTCCATTTAGCCACAAAGTCGGGTCCTAGACTTAGCCTGAAAAGCAAAAATCACGTGTAGTCAAAACTACCCTTGAAAATCACTTAGATTACCCATAAAACACCACACATGTGGATTTGTGTTTACAGCCTACTAAAATTTGAGCACCACTGAGCTGGACCAAAGAAAGGAACAAAAGGAAAATCCATATGCCCATATCTGGGCACTCTAACTATCCTGTCTTTAAGAAAATTGTTAAATCCTTAGCATGTCTGGAGGTGGGTAGAGACTGTCAAGTGTTCCTCCTTGCCTCTCTTAAGATTAAGCACATAAAACCTCAGTAGAGGTTACTAGATGTGTTTCATGAGGTGAGAATTAAAAGAGGTGATGTCTGTACAAACATTCCATACAGAACCTAGTCCCTAGAAAGTAAAGCAATAACATTTCCTGGACTTGAATCTAGAGCTTGCTTGATGAGATCTACAAACACACTGTGTTCTCTGAAAAGCTGAAGAGAAGAACTTGGCCAGTGGCTTCCCATCTTTCCAAGTTGTTTTTTTCAGCTATGGCCCCTCAGACTGGTTACCACCCTCTTGCCTTTCGGAATTGCTCTCTCATAAATTAAACTTCTTGAGGTGAGGCTTGAAAGACTTGAATCAATTAAAATGTGGGCCTCAATTTAACTCAAAATGTGAGTTAAAATGTGACTCCAATGATAACGATGATAGGAAATTTTAGGTGCTTGCTCTTTTTCATCTAATAGAAAATAAGATTTTAAGCAAAATGACGGCAAACAAAAGAAGTGTGATTCCCAGGAATTTGCCACGCCTTCTGAAGAACCTAGGCACCAAGGACTCCATGCCTATGACTGCAATGCCAGGTGTCAGGGTCATCATTACTGGCACTTGGGTGAGGACAGCTGGGCATACACTGACTAGCCAATCGAAACCTGAGCTCAAAGCGTGAGATCCATCTTTAGCTCTATCCTTGGATCAAAACTGACCCGGCTGGAGGGCCCCCCAAAAGACAGACCTTTCTTGACCTTAGGTTGGTCTAAGAAGGAAGAAAGGACAAGTAGATAAGTTCATGGTCCTTCACCCACAGAAAATCACAAACACACTTTGAGAGATGACCTTAGAGGAAAAACCCAGCTCAAATTCTCTAGAGCAGTGAGTCCACCAGAAATATAATACAAGTCACACATGTAATTCAAAATGTTCTGATTGCCACATTTTAAAAAGAGAAAATAACCAAGTAAAATTAATTTCAGCAATGTTTTATTTAACCCATGATATCCGAAATATTATTTTGACATGTAAGCAATATTAATGATTATTGATGCTTTTCATAATATTCCAACATCAGTGTGTATTTTATATCTAATGCGTATCTCAATCTGTGCTGGCTACTTCTCCAGTGCTCAATAACCACATCTAGCTACCCTGCAGCTATAAAAGAAAGTTGACAAACCAGCAACTCACAGACTAATTTTGTTTTGCTTTCATAGTGATTTAAATTTTTGAAAATTAGTTGCCATCACTTAAAATCTGATTTCACAATAAAATACCTTCTGGCTTCTATCAAAAAATCATATCTGATAACCCTGGGTTCAAATTCTCCAACAGCAACGGAGCAGAGAGAACTGAGAATGAGCCTCAGCTCTTCCCATTAGAAGGCACACTGGCTTCCAGCTTGCCATCTCTCTCAACCCCCATTCCTTCAGTACCTTACATTTCCTGCCTGGACATATCCCAGTAGGTCTAATAAATAGCAAGGTCTCAACCTTGTGGAGATAACATCAAAACTATTGGCTTGTTTAATGTGATAAATTTTGAAAAAGAAATGTATTTATGCATTTGTACTTTATTTGTTTTCCTACCAGTTACCATTTATGTTACCATGAACTCTGAATTTAAATGGGGTCATACACACAAAGAAGAAACAAATCCTTGCTTACTGATTCAGGAAAAGACGGAAATCAGCCTAGGGAAGGAAGCTATGCTATTTACTTTGTTTTTCAAATAACTGAAGACATAAGACTGAGAAGGCTAAGGAGTATTAGGACACCTTGTTATTCAAATGCATCACTGAAAGGACAGTCTCTAAAAATACTAGTGCCTGTATAAACTTCTTTCTCCCTGTGTTGCTTATTTCCCACATGGGGCTAAGCACCCAGTCGGTCTCTCTGCGGCTCCCATTACTCAGAGGCCCATTTCCTGTCTCCCCCGTCCCTGCCCCAGCCTCCTGGGCAAGGAGCCATGGCCCCTCCCAACACCTCCCATCGCTAACCCCACCCCCTCTTCTCTCTCTCCCTCACACTGGACATTTAAGGATCTTTCACCACTTCTCCCCACTAACTGTTTTCTCTCCTTATCAAAATCATCCAAGGACATCTAGATCTAATCCAAGGTCTCAACTGTAGCTTCCAGTCACTCCATCAGCTACCCTATTTGTTCTTTCACATCAAGCCAATAGTAACACTATCAACACACCAACAACAGTGGCTTCAACTATGATGTGGGAGTTAGTGTCTCAAGTCAGGGTATAAGATAAAACTTCAGAAAGTCTAAAAAATCTTTGCAAATCCCTGAAACTACACATAGAGTGCAGTATGCATGCGTTTGCAACCTTGAGCATTAACATCTATATACAAAGGTCTGATCACCAGCCTATTTACATTTTGGGCTCACTAGGAGGCAGATACACAGTGAGTGTATGAAGAACATTATTTAAACTATTCTTAGCATTCTTTTCTCTTTTTTAATTTTTTGTTCCAGCACACATAGTTGAAATCAGAAGGATAATTGCATGCACAGTGAGAATCGACTGTGATGATAATTTTATAACAGCTAACACTGGCTAAGCACTTTATAATGTACTGGGCCCTGAACCAAATGCTTAATAAATATTCTATCATTTAATCCTTACAAAAACTCTATGATGTAAGAATTATTCTTTTTGCCTCCATTTTACAGGAACAGGATTGGAGTGGCCAAGTAATTTGCCCCAAATCACGTAGCTAGTAAGTAACAGCGCTAAGAGTTGAACCCAGGTCTGTCACAGAGTACCCCTTTTCAACAACAAAGCTGAAGTCCACAGCTTCACTCCTCCTGTCTTCTGTCTATAAACTGAAAATATGTCTATAATTGCCATCTACTGAGTCTGAGCATTCACTCACCTCCTCCGCAAAGACTATAAGCCGCCCCGGATCTTGGAGCTGTCCTATATTCCCTTTGCTACAAACATGCCTGTGTCTTCTCCAATCATTGTAAGTCCAGTAAGTGTTTACAGATGGCAAATGTTTAGTACCAAAAGTTCAGAAGACACCCAAACCAACCATAATTCCCACGACCAGAGAAAAGTTTTTAAATGTTTATTAAAGTCTACTGGGGGTAAAACTCCTCCCCTTCTCTCCCAAGACTCCATGAGAAAGCCCTTTAGTAAGCCACCACATAATTTACATTTTCTTCTGTAAAAATTCTAAATCTCTGTATAATTTCCCACAACATTTAACAGGAGAATATTTAAACTAAGAAATGTCTTGTGGATATAAATGTCGGGCTCATATAACTAAGTGTGTCACATTATATAACTAAATAATATCCTAGACTTTCTGTGTATACCTGCATAACAGTACTGCAAATATAAATGAAAAATAAGTAATAATTTATGAAAACTGATTTGCATTTCCAAATATAAAATGTGTAAAATCCAACTAATTAGCACGAGTGAGGGCTGAGGTGTTTCTATAGCAACTATAAAAATGCTAAATTATTTTTTCTCCAAAGTGTTTTATATCTGCCTCATTAATGTTTGTTTTTCCCATTTGTTTTGTGGATATTTCCAAAGTGAAAGGTTTCAAAGATTGCAAAGATTCTCTGCTTTATCGCAAAATTCAAGAAGAGGTTTCTCACTAAGAAGTGTCTCATGTGCCAACAGCGATTTGCATTAAAACTGGATTTGATAGAGTTTCTTTCACGCCAGTGGCTCCATCCTTTGTTCTTAGCTTCTTCCTAAATTCTCCTTTTCTCTTACTGCTCCGATTGTTCTCGGTGCATCTCTGATAAGGATACGTTAACATAGGTCAGTTTTTCATCTTGCACCCTTTGCTGCCACCCTAATAATTCCTGAGAAAGTCAGATCCAAGCAAGAAGTTTCCATTAAGCTAAGGATAAAAAAGAACCCCTAGGAACAACTTGGGGAGCTTGGGCAGTGACCTCAGCCCTGGGATCTCAGTTTCCCCACCTAAGAATGAGGTGGATGGACAATGGCCCATCTCTAACGTTCTCTATAGGTCTTTTCAAAGGACCCCTGTTGCCTCCTATGTCAGTCAAACTCCTTTGCCAGGATTCTAAGTGTCCTTACCTCACCCCTGCAAACCAGCCCACCTTAAACTTATGGCCCACATTCCCATGAGGCAGCAGTTCTTAACCTTGAGCCAAAGGATCAATTGATGGGCTTCAGAGGGACTGAGTTCCTTGAATTCGGTGCAAAAAAATTTTTATTCCAGTGGAAAGGCACATAGATTGAGAATGGCCGCAAGAGGCTCTAAGTCCCCTGAGGGTAGCACAATGTCTTACCCATTTGTGTCCCCAGAGCCTAACACAGGACTTGGCAGAAACAAGGCTCTGCCTCAACCCAGCAGGCCTTTGCAGTATCCGCCAAAGCCCACTGCTCAGTCCTCTCTGGGACTTCACCCTCAATCGAGCGATGCGGACTCCTCTGCTCTCTTTACCACCTCCTCCCACCTCCTCCTTCCTGCAGTTCTGTGTCCAGCTCAAGTCCCATTTCCTGCACGCTCTGTGGCCAAAATACCTCACCTACTTTGTCTCTTCTTTAAACTTTTATTATACTCATGACTAGTACCATGTAATCTAGCTCTGAACAAGTTTCTCTTTTCTGTTAAAATTGCCTATTCTTCCCAGCTGGATTGTAAACTCCCTGAGGCAAGAGTCATGTCTGATATGATTCTTCCCCCTCTCCAAAGTGCCTAGTACAGTGGAAGTCATAAAGTAAGTAGATGCTCAGAAAATATATCTGATCTAGGCAAACTATGGGGATAAGTAATAACAATTAATTAGCTACAGTTATTTAATTTATACAATGAAGAGAAGACATATATAGTATAATAGTTATGAATAATATATGTGAATATACTTAATACGGCAACCTACCTGTTCTTATTTGCAATGAACACCTTCTGACCCTTGACCTCTTCCCGAGAAGACTCGCTCCGGGGTGTGTTTCAGTCTTCTCTCTCTTGCACCCCTGACAATACTGGAGTTATTAATTCATGCCATGTTCATTATTCGAGCTCAGTAGCAACTTTGAATTTATTCTCAAATTTCTCTCTGCAACTTCCTTACTTCAGTAAATTGAAATTGAAGACCCTGGTACTTAATTATTCCCTAAAGCAGTATCCTGTTGTTTGGGCATTGAGGGAGTTAAAATAACTTAACACTTAATAATGCTACCAACCTTGGAGGAAGTTCTGGGAATCTCCCGCCAAAAAAAAGGGCAACTGCACTCATAGGAGGAAAAAAAATAGGAGACTAATGTATGCTGAGGATTATGAATCACTCTTCTTTCTTAAAAACGTGGTTTCCAAACAGAATTCTCATTGGCATTCTAACACTAATGCCCTAAATTCTGCCAAGTTCCAAACAGAACAACCACCTCGAACAATCCAAGCAACTCTAATTAACTTCTGGGTCCACCTGTGCCTGTGAGGTCAGGCAAAAGTACACAGCCGCATGCAGCGCATGAACACAGGCAATCCCGTGTGTGAGCACACGTGCGTGTGTATATAAAGACAAGGAGGATTTGCCCAAGAACTACTCAGCTCCACTTAACTCTAAGCCAAGTTTAATCAAACCCTAATTCCCAGTCTTTTTGTCGGATGTTATTTACACCTTCAGTAAAGCTCACGGCAGCACGTCTAAACGATCGTGAACAATAAGGATATCCTTAAAGGACTGTACTGTTGACAAAGAGCATATACAACCAACCCAGCTGGAAGGGATTCACTTATAATGCCCTTTTAGCAATAGCCGTAATAATTTAATACCATTAGTCTCAGTCTCAACTGTAAATGGCCTTAATGGACCCTGTGGTGTTCCTCCAGATTATATACTGATATTGGGGCACAGCTTTAATGCCTGCATTACCGCTGCTAATTGTGAAACGCTGTGTTGGATACACTCGAGTGTTGCAATAAGTGTCTTCAGTTAACTTCTTAAGGGCATAGCTTTAAAAGGAACATTTGTCAGCACGATAAAAAAAAAAAAAAAAAAAAGGCAAGAGAACGTTTCATCTGGTTTCAACATCCAGGGGGATCCTGCAAAATCTGATTGCCTCGCTCCTGACTTCTTTGCAACAAGCACTGTTGCTTCAAAACTTGTTAGCAGCCATCTCTTCAAAGGATTTATTTTGATAGTTCATGAATGTGTTGTCACACAGCATAATTAAAGCTTACAGAACTATTATCAAAACACAGAGGAAATGTGCTCGGGGAGGCTGATGGCTACCCGGCCGCCTGTGTCTGCCGCTTCCCACAGGATGTGCGCTGACTGACCAGCTGGCTTCCAAGTTCTGACACTAGGCATATGGAGGAAAGTCAGGCCTCGGGGTAAAGTGCGCGGGCAGGCTTCAGTGAGCAATCAATTACAAGTAACAGCCAACTCCTCTCAGTGACTGTACATATTCCCACCATCACACACTGCCAGCTTGCCTCTATTTTGAATGCAATAAAACTTGTGGGGAGCCAACGCATGTGCAACTCTTAAAGATATATGGTAGGGATTAACCGTAAAAACACTAATTAAGGATGGGCTAAGGAATTAGGGGACAGGCAAAAGGGCTTTCTGCCTTGCAGTTTGTATATAATGAAGAAGAAAAGGGACTGAAAAAGGAGTCTTTTTTTTGAAAACCAGCCGCTGGGATAAGAACACAAGCTATTTAGGCAATGCAACGCCACTTGTTTCTCAAAGTCACTCCTCAACTCAGACATATTCAAAGAGAGACAAACGGACAGATGGACAGAGAGGAAAAAAAAGAAAAAATGCAAGAAGAGCCTTCAATGCAAGAAAATGCAAGAAGAAGTACTCGAAGTTTTCTCTTTGTTAGCATTTGACTTTTAAAAAAATATTGTAAAGTCATCGAGCCAAATGCTAAAAGAAATTATGAAATTAAATGATTATATTAATATTTCCAAATGGCCCTGAATTGAGACCTTGCCTTCCCAGTTCTCCCTTCAACATAGCAAAGATCTTGCGCTTGTTTTTCTGGTTTGGGAATCGTGAAAGCTTGGGGCCATTAACAGTAATAACAGCTGTGCTTCACTGCAGAAAACAGAACTCTTAAGCAGGTATTAATTTATTTTCTACATCAGATGCCAGAATTTTCTCACTAAAAAAAAAAAAAAGCTAAGTTTGTGAGACTCATTTTATGCAAATGGCTTCAGAAAAAAGAGAATCAAGAGGCTGTATCAGATTCTATGATCATTACATGATAGATACAGCACTAAAAACCTTATGAAAAACAAATTGTGCCCATTGTACAGATAGGGAAATGAAGTTCAGACTGAACCAAGCAACGCCTTTTGACTGGTGAGGAAAATACAGAAATTTAAACCCAATTCTGTCTGATGCCCACATTATGCTTTTTAAATTAGTCTCCCCATTGTCCCTGTGCCTCATACTGATAGACTTGACCCCACTGTGTTCCACGGTCTGAAAACACATCTCCAAGGAGTGAAGCCCTTGGAACAGAGGCACCCTTCCTCCACCATAGTGTATTGGCAAAGTTACAAATCTACATGGTTTGTAACATGCAGATAGTGATTGGAAAGGAAGATGTTTGTTTAATTTTTATGTTACGTTGCCTTTTACTCGCAAAAACAAAATTCTAGCAGCTAGTTTTCCATACCACTCACTCTGTTCAGATTTATAGGGAAAGTCTGATGCATCCTAAAAGAATAGTCACAAATGTATTGCTTACCATTAAATGGCATGATATATGACAAAGAAAGCCCCAAAACAATCAGACCTCATTGTGTAAATAAAACTATCCTAAGTTGAATGTGGAGTTGGAGGAAAGGGTGGGCAAACAGGAGGAGTGGAAGGTAGGAATATGAGAAACTCACATGTTCTCTTTAACAACTCACAGCTTTATGAGTATGTTTCTTTGGAATAAAAGTTCTTTCTTTAGATTGCTAGTGGGATTATTCAAGCAAGGAAAGAGAAATTGTCAGTGAAAATAGTGTTTGAAGGCCAGAACCTTATCTCCTAAGAAAGGGAAAGCCCATAGTATTCTGATAAAATCTCCATGACTTGGGCCACCCCAGATGCTGAGATCCTGGAACTCTTACACTTCACAAACCAGTTTCTAGAGTTCCAGGAGCTCAACAGATCCAAGCAAAGAAGGCAGCAAGGTCACTTTTCGTAGACTACTAATTCCCTGCTGGAAGACTCTTCCTGAGAATAGAAACTTCACCTTCAAAAACTCATTACCTGCGTGACAGTTGACAAGCTAGGACTATAAAGTGATAGGCTGATGCTTAGTCAACACATCTACCAGAACCTAAGTCTTGGAGAAACTACGTAATTTTTCCAATTTTACGGCCCTTGCTTGATATATTTTGGAAAGCCCTTGACAGTCCTATCGAAAACCAAACCAAACAAAAAAAATCAGTGCTTACACTTCATAATCTAATGCAACAAAGAAAAAAATCACCCAACGTGATCACCTGTTTGACTCCTAATGTTAGGCTCTTTCCAAACACAGATCCCAAGGATGGAGGCTTGTCCCTACCAAGGATAGTCAAAGTAATATGCCACAGGCTGGGAGTCAAAATAGGTTTGAAGCAATGGAATAAGCCCTCAACTTCTCAAAAGAGTAATATTGACTTAAATGTGTAAGTGGGGTGTCCTTCTTTAAAAAATAAATACATCATATGATTCTTTGTACTCATGCTTTATAGAATTGTCTCTAAGTAAGAGTGACCACTAACCAGAAGCATTCTCCATAGCCATTGAGTCTGGAAGTAGACAAGAAACAATAAAAGTGAGGTCCACAAGTCAGCTGGAATGGCCAGCCATCAACCAGTTAAAACTGAGCTGGAGCCTGGCACTTACACAGTAACATAGGTGCGCAGAGCCACCTTGCCTGCAAGATTTCCATCTAGGGCACAACAGCAAGTGTCTATGGCTGTGAAGGCATTTCAGCTGCAAGGTCATCAAGGCTTTCCGTTACTTACAGGAAATACACAAATGTACAGAATAATCTGCAAAATCCTTTGGCCACCAAAGCCCTGAATTTTCCTGGTCAGCTGGGCAAATACAGCCCACACAAAAGGTATCTATCTGACCTTCCTTTCCAGGGTAGAGGTCAAAGGGGACTGAAAGTGAATCACCTCCTTGGTGTGGTGGTTTATAACTGCCTTTCTTTGACATCAGGTGCTAAGCTACCCTGGCTCTGCTCTTCTTATATTTTACACAGTCTGATAGATGTTAGAAAATTCTTCTAAAAGGGGAGAGAGTAAATGACTTCCAGAGA
Source organism: Homo sapiens (assembly GCF_000001405.40). NCBI lineage: Eukaryota > Metazoa > Chordata > Mammalia > Primates > Hominidae > Homo > Homo sapiens. Next base: position 159,025,337 of record NC_000005.10, read on the forward strand.
GAAAAGGGGGCTGTTGATGTGTCCAAGTAAGCATGTAAGATGCCCAAGGAAAGCATCTGGGATGTCCCACTGAAGAATTCCTGCAACTACTGCCTGAGTACATGAGTTATGATTTTTGTTTTTCCCGCACTGTGTATACATGACATGACATGCTTTATTTATTGATGCTGATTTATCCACACCGCTTTATTGTTGACCAGCTTTTATTTCTTCTTTAACCTTATTAACCCTTGCTGGTATTTGACAGCTTAACACCCTCCATCACTCTGCAACATTCACTCTGAGAACCGATGTGGAACTAATAGCAGCCTTTTTATTTCCAATCTTTGAGGTCACAAGCAGTTGCCCTAGCCTGAACCCTGTAAGATTTTTCTATAGGAAGCTCTCTTTCAATGGGTCATCTCCTTAATGTATCTCAACAGGTCTGCCTGGATGTTTGAAATGAGATGTGATTCCTGCTAACTACTGTCACCACCAACATACACCTCTGAATAGGAGGAATAAGTTTTACCTTTGGAAAAAAGCCCTGGGCAATTCAAGTGAAGCAACAACTTGGTGATTTTCTTCTTGGGCATTTTATCACCTTTCAAGTTACATCCAAGGAGCATCTATTTGGGGATATGTTTGATTGTCTCAAAAAAATACAACAGCGAAACAAAACTCACAAATGTCTGTTACGTGAAGGAAGTGTGAATGAAATAGAGCATGGTGGGAGAGATTTCCTAGCTCCGTTTTTCAGCCTGGATTGATTAACTCTAATAAATTCAGGAAGGTGATTTCAGATGATGCCCGTCAAGCTGGATCTTATGGCCCAGTTGTTTATTATTTCACACTGCCCCGGGCTCAGTCTTTGACATTCACAACCCTAAAAGGTCATGAAGTGAAATTCTACAGCCAGACTTAGTCAGTATTTTGGTGAGTAGGCTCTTGTGTTAATGAAGACTGTTTTTTTTTTTAATATAAGTTGGACTTAGGGAAGAAAAATTCCAGGTTAAATACAAATAGCCTCAACTCAGGAAATTCATGCTTTTAAATAGCCAGGTCAGTGTAAGAACATTTAAGACTACAGGAGAAGGAAGAGCATACAGAGGGAAGCCAGTCAGTGCTAACAAACCAAGCAAACATAGGAGTTAAGAACTGTGGGGGCAGAAATAACATTTCCCATTAGCAATGCTGGGAAAACTAGAACTGACACCAACAGAGTCCTAGGCTGGCCACCATTGCTCTTACCATCCCAACGAAGTCCAGGCCTTTATTCCCCAGCACAGAAAAAAATCCACCCCACATGCTGGACTCACATTTCTCCAGAACTACAGGCCTTAGAAGGCATGCATGTTCTCAAATCAAATTTTTATTTCCCTAAGCTAAATGCAGCCCTAGACATCGAAATCTACTACATCAGATCAGCAGATAGTTGATCTGGGAAGGACATGGCCCAGTACACAAGCAGAGGACCAATGTCGCTTTATTTTCTAATAATCAAACCTTCCTTTTTCTGCTCCTTGCCCTCCCTGTGTCTCTAAGCTAAGAGAAAAAAGTAGGCCTCTGCCTGCAGCACAAACAAATTCCCACTTGGGGGGAATCAAACAAACTGAAAAATGAAGAGAAGAGGAGATACAATCTATTTCATTTAGTTTGGGCCCTGCCTAATTTCCATTAGCCCCACCCAGTTGGCTTTTCTGGCCTCAGGCATCTATCTGGACCATTAGTGCATATTTTCATGGCTGTCCTGGATCCATTCGTCCCTCCATTAGAAAACAGGAAGAGGGTATGTCCAGCATTTCAGCAGGGGCAGTGCCACTATGTAGCCTGATTTTTTTCATGAGCAAGAAATTCCTACCTGTACACTCCTCCCATTCCTGATGTTGTAGACACATGGACATTGTGCTAGTTCACACTGATGACTTGAACACTTTTCAGAGAGCTACTAAATTCCTCCTCCTATTAATCTATCATTTATCCAAGACCAGGCCTCAACCCCATCCCCTCCTAGCTAACCCTTACTCCTCCAAGTTACTAATACAATGTCGCTTCTTCCAGGAGCCTTCTCAGACCACTGTTCATCCCCAGACCAGGTTAGGCTGCCCTAACATACCCTCTCCTAGCACTTTGCTTAACATTCAGCACTCAATCATTATTTTCTGTCTTTCTTTCTCACACTACCACACCAGTGTTCTTCAGACCTTAGAATGCAAAAGAATCTAAGAGGAGCTTGCTGAAAATGCAAATTCCTAGTCACCTGACCCTAGATATTCTAATTCTGGCTGAGGCTTGGGAATCTTCATTTGACCAGTTGATCTTCAGATCACACTATCCCAAAACGTTAGTTCTTTATCATAGTCACTGCCTGACTTCTCAGCACTGTGTAGCAGCTGGCATCTGAAAAACACTTACTGGATTGAAACAAGGACATGCTGATTCTGGTTCCTACCCCTCTAGCCGGAATTTTCCAGCCTTCCAACAACTGTCACTCAGCAGGGTAGGCCACAGCTGAATTTTGAGTAGATCTTTGCAGCTCCTGAGTTGTACAAAGTACATGCAAGTTTGTCACACCCAGGGTTCCCCCAGCTCATATGGATCTTTCATTTACTCTCTTCTGGAAAAATGAACTTTAGCCCATTTATCTTCCAAATAAAGCTTGCAAGGGAAAAAATGACACGGACTTGGTAAATAAGAGTTTCTATTATTAAAAGCAGGTTGAAGTTGGGGCTTTGTGCAACTGCTTCCTACTTTCTGAAGTGTCTCTATTTTAAGTATGTAGACGGTGCTTGAACAATCCCAGCAGGCTCTAGATGAAAGAGCATCCTCCTCATTAACCCTAATGGGAACTGGGCTCATGCACTAAAGGAAAAATACATCCTTTGGATCAAACCTCATGAGTGGCATCATGGCAATAGGAGGACTTGGGGTAAGGATAGAGGAGAGAGGATATTCCCTCATTTCATTCTATCCAGGAACTTGGTGACAAGGAAGAGAGAGTAAACCCAATAAATATACTGCTGGACTAAGAAAATCTAAGCTTCTGAAAAGATGCTATCAACATACCAAGCAATTGTAATGGTACCGTACTAGAGGAGGAGATTGCAGAAGGGGTGGGCTTAGAAATATTTTTCATTCAGCAAATATTTATTTAGAAAGTATTGGGCTGGAATGTAATGGTGAGCAAGAAGGATAAGGTACCCGTTCACACAGAATTGCCATTCTACGGGTGGGGGTGAAGGAGTCACACAATTAAAGAAAGAAACAAATAAGAGTAAGATATTCAACATGAAAACAGAGAGACTTCATCTGTTTTGTTCACAGCTGTATCCCCTGCACCAAGCACAGTGCTAGCACGGAGCATGGATTCAACAAACATTTGTTAAAGGATAAATGGAGGACTGGATGACTGGGTGGCTTGATGGTTGGATGGAAGGTTGGAAGGAAAGGAGGAGCTTCTCTGAGGTGATATTTGAGCTAAAAGACAAGAAAGAGCCAGTCATGGTTATTCTGCAGGAAAAGTTCTTGAAAGAAGGAACAGCAAGTTCCCAAGGGATGAACAGGTTTGGCATTTCAGAAGAAGGCCAGTGAGGCTGGAGTGTGGCAGAGTGGGTACTGGGAATAAAATCACAGTTGTTTGCTTTGCAAACAAAATGGAAGAATCAATCATACGTGTTTCACAACCCTAAAGTATATATATTATTTTTGATAGCTATTATCTTTATTCTATAAAGCCTTAAACCAATTGATAAGCAAAATAAGATCTCCATAAAGAATGAATCAATGGGAATGAAATAGAGAAGTCACCAAAAAAGACATATAAATAAAATATGCACATATGGGAAAATGCCCAACCATACTCATAAGAGAAATACTCATGTAAGTAAAGCCCAATTTGAATCTATTAAGTTAGGTAAAAGTAAATTTAATGATAGATACACGATGTTGGCAAAGATTTGAATAAGTGGTATTCTCACAAATAACCAATAGAATCGAGCACTGGAGACTCAAGTTGTTGGAAAACAATTTGACATTATGCATTGAGAGCCATGAAAATGTTGAAGTGTCTGAAGGAGTAATTCTTCTGAGATTTATCCCAAGGCTTTCAAAGTATTTTCTGCAAAGCCCTAGGATTCTGCAGAGGGGCTTCAAGATTTCTGACAGCAAAGTCCAGGGAATGATTATGAAAGGGGAAGAATGCGTGGGGCTATAGGGATTCTACCTCCTGACAACCAGCACAGTTCTGTTGTAGAAATTCAGATTCTGTTTCAAGTTTACTTGAAAAAGAAGTTCTAATAATTTTTTAAAAATCACCCTACTATCTTAAAGAAATGATCCAAATTATAAAAAATAACTAGGCCGGGCACCATGGCTCATGCCTGTAATCCTAACACTTTGGAAGCCCAAGGCGGGTGGATCACTTGAGGTCAGGAATTCGAGACCAGCCTGGCCAACATGTGAAACCCCTTCTCTACTAAAAATACAAAAATTAGCTGGGTATGGTAGTGTGTGCCTGTAGTCCCAGCTACTCAGGAGGCTGAGGCGAGAGTATCATCACTTGAATCTGGGAGGCAGAGGTTGCAGTGAGCCAAGATCACACCATTGCACTCCAGCCTGGGCAACAAAGAGCAAAACTCCTTCTAAAAAAAAAAAAAACTATAAATATGAATATGTTCATCAGTATTATTTGTAAATAATAGTTGAAAATGAAAAAACCTCAATTTTCAACAATAAGAAGGTAATTTATTATCCATTAAACCTAGGCTATGTAGAGACACAGAAAAAATATATATATACTTTGTTTTACATATATATATATGAATGTAAAACAAAGAACACAAAATTGTAGTTGCAATATCATAATTTTTTTAAAATGTAGAAGTGCACATGAATTAAAAGTGCAATAAGATGATTATAATTGGATTATGGGGTCTTTCCTTTTTTATGTCTTTTCCAATTTTTCTGTAATGCAATTAAATTACTTTTCTAACCTTTTTTTAATGTTTAAAAATAACCCTTGATGGCCAGGGGATGGTATATTATTATTCATCTCTACATCCCAGCATAAGCAAAGGAGCTGGCATAAAAGAAATACTCCACAAATATTTGTTGAGTAAATAGATATACTTTTAATTAAAATCTGATCATGAATGAAGCACTAGAGAGAGGCAGGACAGATTCCCTCCAGAGGAGCTGGAGAAAGCCTCCTGCAGAGGCGAGCCTTTGTGTGGATCCTTACAGGGACAACAGGATCCGATCTGAGCGGAGGGCCAGGTGGGAAAGGCAGCCCTGCAGAAGGAGCAAGGGGAGCAAGAAATTGGCGATGAGCAAGTACTGAATGTGTCTGGGAAAGAGAAAGAAGTCTGGGTCGCAGAAGCATGGACACTCCTGAGCACATTAAAGGAATATAAGGCTGAAAAGGTGAATTTAAGCCCACAGGCCAAATAAGTCAAAGCAAGAGGGTTCCAATGAATGTGAGCCACAGTGACATGTTCAGAACAGGACTTTATGGAGAGTAGCATGGCTGTAGTGTGCATGATGGGCTGGTTGTGGGGCCGTGAAGTATGAAAACAGTAGCCGGGCATGGTGGTTCATGCCTATAATCCCAGCACTTTCGGAGCTCGAGGCAGGCGGATTACCTGAGGTTGGGAGTTCAAGACCAGCCTGGCCAATATGGTGAAACCCCATATCTACTAAAAATACAAAAAGTTAGCCAGATGCAGTGGTGTGTGCCTGTAATCCCAGCTACTCTGGAGGCTGAGGCAGGAGAATCGCTTGAACCCGCGAGGCGGAGGTTGTGGTGAGCTGAGATCATGCCACTGTACTCCAACCTGGGCTACAGAGCGAGACTTCGTCTCAAAAAAAAAGAAAAGAAAAGAAAAGAGTACAGCCCAGGGACAGGCTGGGATGTGGAGAAGAGGTCAGGGGCCTAAACAACATTTGGAGCTGTCGGAATTTATAAAAGAGGATCACCAACTAGAAAGGGATCCTGTATGTGGAATTCTTTAACAACATGTCCAGAATCCACTAAGACAGATAATCTGTCCTGAAAAAATCTGGACATTTGGGGGAAGCAGTAACCCCCTCCTCACCTCCCATCTCCACCAGGCTTTCTTTAATGCCCAGCATATGCATATGCACCTCCAACAACGAAAGCCTCCTTTCTTACACGTATTTACTAGCAGTCCCAAATGTTTCCTGTGCTATATAAAGTCTACATTTGACTTCAACTGGGGAAGTGAAGGATGGAGCTGGGAGAAGGGGAGGAGGCAAAGTCTGTGGCACAGTCACTAGCACATCTCCAGTTTTAAAATCATGCATTCAGTCTGAAGCCCAAATCGAAAGGTCGCAAACTCACATAAAGCACCGGTGATTTAGAGCTTGCTCCTATACACAGTTCAGCAATGCGTGGAATGTAAAAATACATGGAAACCACAACACAGCAGGGCTCTCGCTGCGCTGCTGGCAGAAGTCTCTGTTTCCCACACAGGCCCTAAATCTAACCCAGCAATGAAACTTTTAAAATTTGTAAAAATAGAACAGTTGGAAAATCTTCACCACTTTTAGTTAAAATATAAAACAAAACCCGCCATCTTTTGTGGGTGCAGTTGCAAATCAGCCACACTCCTCCCGTCTTCGAAGGAATTTTAATGATAAAAAAAAATTTTCAAATGTTGAACTATGTATTTCTTCTAGGTTACCTGGTGAATACATTCTTGGATGCTCTGGTATGTGTAGGTTGTTTTCAGTTTAGCATCTCCACCAAGAAGAGTCTCAAAATGTCCAGTCAATATCAACAGGTGTAACAAATGCCCTGTTTAATTTTCTGAAGAATAACAATAGAACAACTACCACTTATTTATACATTAATTTGTGCCAGAATCATCTCCTGTAATCCTGATTCCTAAATCCTCAGTCCAAAATCCTGTGAGTATAGGTATGATTATCTCCGTTGTACAAATGTAAAAAACAGAATAATTTACTTAATTTTTCCAGGTACAAGTGGTAGCCAGGATTCAAACCCAGGGCCATCTGATTTCAAAGACTAGGCCCTTTCCATTATATTTATTGCATAGGAAGGGATTTCCCTCACCCATTCAAAATGGTTATATTTAGAAATCAAGACACGCCACTGGCTCCTCGATCAGCTCTTAGTTTCCTTGGACTATTACATAAAGCTGCATAAAACCGAGTGATTATTTCTAGCCTCTTCAACAGATCTCTTTTCTATACATTGTTATTCTTAAACATAGGCAAATCCTGTGCCTTATGGCAGATTCCGGGTTACATTATAGAAGAATTCTATGGAAACATAAACCAGAGTCTGTCTGTCTCCCTATCTCTCCGAAACCACCCTCTCCCTTCAAAGCATCTCACTAATATTTATTTTGGAATTGTCATGAACAGTATTATGACATTGGCTTCCTTAAAAATTTAACATTCATGATTAGCACTTGAAATGAGTATATCCAAAGAATGTATTTTGCTCAGTGCTTACAACCAAATTATCTCAAGAGGCTATCAAGAGCTCTCAAGTCATTTTGTTAACTATGTTCTCTATTTAAAGGAGCCCCACACAGAGAGAAGGGAGGGGAAGGAAAGCAAGACTTAAAACCTTGCTTAAAAAAAAAATCAAGTATTCTATTCTGTCTCTCTTTCCCTCCTCTACCTTCTCCACCCTCCCACATCCGCCCCCACCCCCAAACTAAATATAGAGACCAAACACCAAAACCCAAACTTGAAAATTTCCAAAATGATAATCAACAAATCATGGTAACATGGAACACAGAAATTAAATGTAATGCCCAAATTCACAGGAGCAGCCGCCTGGAAGCGGGAAGTGGGGTGCACCTGAGCATGCTTTAGGAAGTTCTGCACACGTTTACCCGCTTTGCAGCCATCCCTTCCTTCCACTCCGCAGCACAGGAAAGGCAGATTCTGAGCATAACTCCAGAGCCCCAGCTTTTCCTACCATTAATCGTAAGATTAGATCCTGGATACAGAAATGCTAAATGATCAACAAACATAGTTAGCTCTGAACTCAAATGAATGTTTTTTTCCTTTCCCTTTCATTGAAGAGAGGGGAAAAAAAGCTTCACATGGCTTCCTTTCCTTGACCTACAACAAATTCCATTAAACCTCAAAAACAATGCTTTGAGATGCTAGAGGATGCAGACAGGAAACTGAAGAAAGACTTTACACAAAAGTTAAAACGTCTTTTTCGGAGGGAGTTAAGGAAGGGTTGTATCTTGACAGTGAGAGCTCATGGCAACTGAGAACATAATTAGATTTGAATGTCATGTAGTTGTGCCTGGGATGCATAGCACATCAAAACAGATTTACTGCTCAGAGTAACAGAAATGTGCAAATGCCATTGGCTGGTAAATAATTAATGATTGCCCCAAAGTTTACAAATGCATAAAATGCCCTACAGATAAAATTCCATCATATTTTCAAGTTACTGAAAATTAGCTTTTTTTCTGGAATAAATATCAGTTATCTGTCCAGGATTGATTCCTCTTTAAGACCAAAAAAGTCTTCATTCTACCCAACGACCTCCTACACCCCTTTGTCTCCTGGGACATCTAATTTATGGGTGTTTAATGTAATAGGGTAAGCTTTCCAAAAATGGTGTAATAAAAATGGGCTTAGATGTCATCACTATTATTACATCTGTTATTATAATATGTAGTGTTTGCAGTGAAAACCAGGCTTGCATCTATATTTCATTGGCATCCATACATTGAGGCCATCTTGAAATTTGACTCAAAGGACTAAAATTCAACATCAAAAAAACTGCTTCAAAGGGATATTCAGCATTGATTTTATTGGGCTTATTTTGGGGAGCACTCAAACTATGCTTTTTTTGACTTGTTGGCCCTAAAATGCAAGAAGGGTTAATCTTGATTGCAAAATCAAGAAACAAAGATACAGGCCTATTGTGCAATAAACAGCCCACATTTCAATGAATAAGTAATATTTCTCACAAACCCAAGTTAGATAGTGGATTTATTTAACCTCTTGGGGTCAGGTAATAAATACTAAGTGAATTATTCAGCCCAATGGCTAATCAATACAATTCCATGATATATTTTTTGTGTTTCATAAAAGGTTGTACACTAAAGGCAGTGAGCAATTATGGAAATTGGGCCAGAGCGCCTCTCAATTCCTCTCTGGCTTGAAACCCCAGCAGGCCACCTTGACAGCAAATCGATTAGTGCTCCAGTGAAGCGGCTCAGTGACCCCTGACCTGCTTCCAGCGAGGCCTGACAGAGGAGAGAGTATTTTATATTTATTTTATTGAATTAACTCCATCTTGCCTGTACCATCGCTTTACACACATTAGGCAGCAAGCTACAAGCTACTTCATTGTCGTTGTTTTCCATTGCTCTTGCTAACCAAGCCCCACCCCTTGCCCTGCAGATTTCTTTGTCCTGGTTTTCCTTTCACTTTTGGCCTCAATGCAAGATTTCAATCCACCCTGAGACTCATGATGGAGCTCCAGGTAATAAAAACCAAGAGCAAGGCACAAGATCCTGCTGCCTGATGCTTCCTGCCTACCTTGTCCAACCAGGACAATGCCCTATCCCCATTTTTCCCCTCATGTTGAGAAACAAAGACCAGTCAATAAAAATCTGGCTTCACATGGTGCTCTTTGGAAAATATATGCAAGAGAACATCAAGGATTAGGGGTATTTCCTACTAGAAAATCAAAAAATAAACCAGAAGCCACTGGTTTTCTCTATTTTTGTGGCCTAATTACATTATTGACTGATTGAAGCCATCAGAAACAGGGGGAAAGAAAGAGAAAGAAAGAGAGAGAGAGAGAGAACGAGAACCAAGGCAGCTGAGTTTAGACCACCATTTCATCAGGGGAGCAATAAATCCAAAGGCTCATCAGCCATCAGTGACTGAAAGCTTACAAGAAGGGAAACATCTCTAAATCACCAAAAATTTTCTGTTTTACTTCTGCTAAATGGAACATTGGTAAAAAATAAAAAATAAATAATAAATTAAAAAAACACCAAAATAAGTGAAAAGTAAATGCCAGGAAGAAACCAAGAGTTTTAAAGTCAGAAAATCTATTTGGCAGCTCTAGATGTTAAATGATACCAAAGGTTAAGTTATCAGCAGAAATTTGACGTTATAAATCACAGGATTGAAGGATCTTGGACCATATTTGAAGGAGGCAGTACAGAGTGATGGTTTCATACTTAGAGGCTGAAATTAAACTACCTGGATTCAAATCCCAGTTTTTCTACAAACTAGCTGTAGACTTTGTACAATTCATCCAACCTCGCTAAGCTTCAGCTTTCCTCACCTATACATAAGGATGACAACAGCTGTTGTCACATAAGCAATGTTGACTGACATTATCATTTTTATCAGATCCCAAATTATTTTATATGGGTAGGCAAGAAATCACTTTTCAGACTTGTTTTATGAATGGAGAGGCTGAAGAATGTGAGGAAACAGAATTTGCCTTCCAAATTATTGCCCTTCCCAGGGTCATGCATGCACAAAAGTATTGTGATAATCACTCACTCCCTTAAAATCTCCTTTTGGGGTTCGAAGGACCTTGAACTTTACCATTAAAAGATTCAGTCCTTGGGTTGATCTCCCCAAAGATTTAAAAGGGAAGTTCTCCTTTCCTGACCCCCAGTGGTGGGGGACATGAAACTATTTCACTCTATTCATATCACCTTGCCTTTCTCAGGAGAGACTTGGTTCTTAGGGAATATTGGCTTCATGGGTGCAGAGTAAGGGATAAAGTTTGTGATGCAGGATAAAAGACTGAAGACAGTGATTGAGAGATCAGAAGAGAAGAATTTCAGAGTTGCACTTCAACTGCTCAATTGTCGCATCAGGGATGGGTTGGCACTTTTAGATACCTTGCTTCTGATAAGAAGATCAGCTCCTCATTTACAGATTCAATGCCATCCCCATCAAGCTACCAAGGACTTCCTTCACAGAATTGGAAAAAACTACTTTAAAGTTCATATGGAACCAAAAAAGAGCCCACATCGCCAAGTCAATCCTAAGCCAAAAGAACAAAGCTGGAGGTATCACACTACCTGACTTCAAACTATACTACAAGGCTACAGTAACCAAAACAGCATGGTACTGGTACCAAAACAGAGATATAGATCAATGGAACAGAACAGAGCCCTCAGAAATAACGCCGCATACCTACAACTATCTGATCTTTGACAAACCTGAGAAAAACAAGAAATGGGGAAAGGATTCCCTATTTAATAAATGGTGCTGGGAAAACTGGCTAGCCATATGTAGAAAGCTGAAACTGGATCCCTTCCTTACACCTTATACAAAAATCAATTCAAGATGGATTAAAGATTTAAACGTTAGACCTAAAACCATAAAAACCCTAGAAGAAAACCTAGGCATTACCATTCAGGACATAGGCATGGGCAAGGACTTCATGTCCAAAACACCAAAAGCAATGGCAACAAAAGCCAAAATTGACAAATGGGATCTAATTAAACTAAAGAGCTTCTGCACAGCAAAAGAAACTACCATCAGAGTGAACAGGCAACCTACAACATGGGAGAAAATTTTCGCAACCTACTCATCTGACAAAGGGCTAATATCCAGAATCTACAATGAACTCAAACAAATTTACAAGAAAAAAACAAACAACCCCATCAAAAAGTGGGCAAAGGACATGAACAGACACTTCTCAAAAGAAGACATTTATGCAGCCAAAAAACACATGAAAAAATGCTCATCATCACTGGCCATCAGAGAAATGCAAATCAAAACCACTATGAGATATCATCTCACACCAGTTAGAATGGCAATCATTAAAAAGTCAGGAAACAACAGGTGCTGGAGAGGATGTGGAGAAATAGGAACACTTTTACACTGTTGGTGGGACTGTCAACTAGTTCAACCATTGTGGAAGTCAGTGTGGCGATTCCTCAGGGATCTAGAACTAGAAATACCATTTGACCCAGCCATTCCATTACTGGGTATATACCCAAATGACTATAAATCATGCTGCTATAAAGACACATGCACACGTATGTTTATTGCGGCATTATTCACAATAGCAAAGACTTGGAACCAACCCAAATGTCCAACAATGATAGACTGGATTAAGAAAATGTGGCACATATACACCATGGAATACTATGCAGCCATAAAAAATGATGAGTTCATGTCCTTTGTAGGGACATGGATGAAATTGGAAATCATCATTCTCAGTAAACTATTGCAAGAACAAAAAACCAAACACCGCATATTCTCACTCATAGGTGGGAATTGAACAATGAGATCACATGGACACAGGAAGGGGAATATCACACTCTGGGGACTGTGGTGGGGTGGGGGGAGGGGGGAGGGATAGCATTGGGAGATATACCTAATGCTAGATGACGAGTTAGTGGGTGCAGCACACCAGCATGGCACATGTATACATATGTAACTAACCTGCACAATGTGCACATGTACTCTAAAACTTAAAGTATAATAATAAAAAAAAGAAGATCAGCTCCTCTCTCAACCCCTCCAAGCTTCCTTATCAATAAGGACCACTGCCACCATCACATTTGCCACATCAGCCATCCTCTGATCTCCTAGGGAAAGAGGACTGGGGTTCAAGTCAATTTGCAGGGACTGTTTCTGCACAAATACCCATACCTAGGTTCGTGTGCAGTGCCAGAGTGGCAAGAGAGGCTGGCTGCCAAGGCTATTTTTGAAGAACTCACCACACTTCTCTGGGATACTGTGAAGGAAATGTCTTGATTTTGCCCCATATCTTTCCTTGTCCTTTGCAATCCCAGAGATTCAAGACCATTTCATTTCTTATCTCGGCAGTCCTTTCTCCCTAAACTCACGGCCCACCATCACCATGACAGACAGCAAAGCAATCTCACCTTTCTCTTTAACCTATAAGCTTTATGGCAAAAAGATAAAACACCATGGGAAACAGTGGAGGGAAATGAGGGGGGAAACCCACCCTACTCTGACCTTGCCCTGCCTTCTCCATTCTGCATTTAGGTAACAGCCCAGATATTTTACACTTTTAGAACCAATGAAAGAGACTTTTTATGTATACATTCTCCAGTCGAGATGGACCTACCTACTCATATCAAAGGGAGACATTAAGACTCACGGTCAAAACAACTTAAAAAAAATCAAATGCAGGGTGGCACTAGTATTTCCATACAGGAGGAGAGTATGGGGGTGAAAGAAATTAGCAAAGAGGCCATGCCTCACAGCAAGCAAACACACATTAACTTAGACTGCATTTAAGAAGGCCAGTGGGTAGCTGATAGAGACTATGGAGAGTGGGGATCAGACCTCATTCCTAAGCCATTCCTTGGTGTAGTGCTGATCACCTCATAATATTTGCGCTGTTTTGGGCTGCCTGACCTATTAGCAAGACTATCAACAACACTTTGAAAGTTCCCCTTGATCTAGTGTCTGAGCACCTAATTGCTGTGGAAGTCTCAGAAATTCCACCCTAACTCTTCCCAGGAGGGCTAATGGGATGGGGTAGAAAGAGATCCTGGTTCAGATGCCCACTAGCTGTAGGATCTCGGACAAGTAGCCTCTTTCCTGGGCCCCCATCTACAAAATGGAGAGGCGATTTCCTTCCAGGATAAACATATGATTCAAAGTGGTGTTTATCTGATGTGTGAGAAGCCTGAGATGGAATGTTTACTTCCTTTAGAAAATTGGAATTTAACAGCCAAAAGAGTCCTTTTTCCTCTGAAGGAATAAAAAAGAAATCCATTTACTCAATCTGCTAACCCCAAAACCAAAACAAAGAGTCTGTGGTATAAATGAGTTGGCCAAGATGCCTGCACGTGCTGGCTCACAAGTCAGCCCTCTTCCCTGAGTCATTCTGCAAAATGGCACAGCAGATTCCTCTGGGTCCGTCAGAAAAGAAAATCTTTTACACTTTTGTATAACTCTATGCATTAAACCATAAATTATTATTCCCCTCTCTTCTACTTTCAGAATCTATACAAAAGTGATTACCTCAGTCATTTTTCAACATTACTTTCATACTTGGAAAATGCATTTTCTAAAAGTTATTTATTTTTCACAGCATGTCAGGTTGTTATATTGTACTAGTTAAAATAAAACTACTATATAAACTACTGTCTACTTTTGCATGCATTACATTTCCCTACAAATGCTGTGAAGCAGGATTTTCACAGGGCCTAAATATATTTATCTGAAATATTACATTATACTTTATTTTAGCACCATTCCAGATTTTAAGAAAGAAAGAAACAGGAAAGCCAGTTGTTAAAGTAACTTCGCTATTAAATAACTTTTTTATTTGGAGTTCCCCATTTCAGAAGAAAAATTATTTAAATATTAAAAGCGGTTTTGTCATGAAACTTAAAACCAACACATACTATTATTCCTTCTCAAGGGCCCTGGGAAGAGCTAAAAATGTCCCATTGGATTTGATTCATGCTCACCTAAAAGCAAGACTTGGGCAGGGAGTAAAACAAGTAAGGAATAAAATATCGAATGAGTACAGACCACCATTTCTAATAATGAGGTCCCCAGACCCTTGATATACACAGCTAGGTTTAAAATATTTTCTGGAGTACCTCTAAAAGGTGACAAAACTAAACAAAAGCTTTGCTTGAGGTAATCCTAAATTTTATGCGTAAAATTGTTTTTTGCTCAAATGTAATATTAACCATTCTCTAAAGCACTGTGAATTTCTTTAAAATGCCACCTCACTTAAAGACTCCACAAACACAAAAGGACGTAGATCCATTTGTAACTGTAGTGGTGAGGGTCCTGCAGCTGTGAGTGAGGGGTGCTTGCTTGAGCATCAGCCAAAACAAAGCTGACCCTGGCCAGTAAACCTAAGGAAAGTGCCGCACACCAGCACCACACTGGGCTTAGAAAATGCTGCTCTCAGGCTCTCTCTGTCGCTGAGTGAGAGGCAGAAAGAGGAAGCGCTTAAATATTTAATAAATGATTCTGCAAAGGCTTTTGAGCCTTGGCATGAAGGGTTTGAAAGCACTATCTACTTTACATCCATTGAGGCCACCACCAAAATGGCTATGATCCAGATTACAAGCGACTCAAGAAACTAGTTTTCCTTCCCTTTTTCTTCTTCTGAAGCTGAGTTGGCAGTGGCCTATCTTGAAATCTTTCAGAATTGCTTTAATCTTTCATTTTAGTTTCGTCTGAAGCCACACTCATGTCCACCCTCAGTGCCCTTGGTGTTGCCAGGCCTTGAGTCCTGGAAACAGGGAAAGCATCCTTGGAGAAATACAGAGAACAAGAATGGAGAAAAGAAAACAAAGATTTTTTTACATATGTTTTTAACACAGCCAAATTTAACCAAAGTGTGCTCCCTGGTAGTGCTTTTAACTAACAAGCAGGCAATATATTGCACTGTAAAATGTTTTATTTTAACACCTTACAGGTTTAGCTCTGTGGCTGTTGCAGGTATATCCATTAAAAGCAACACAGACTATAAATCAGAATTCCATACCTTTTCACAGCATATGAATCTATTCTCCTGCTGGTAAGCACATAGCTTTCACTGATGCCGATGGGGGTGACATATACTCATGTAGGGAGAATAGACCACTCTCTACATGTGAATTTATGCTTTTAGACAGGTGGCTGTATGTAGACAAGAGACACCAATAAACAGATTTTATAGTAGCTGTTTAGAAACGGATTCTGTGCTACATATCTACAGAGGAACAGTCATCTTTTCCAAAGAGAAATACAGAGGCAAACCCTTGGCAGACTTACAATCCACAGTTCAGTACACCACAATTTGGTACCCATCGTCACACACATCAATGGTCATTTGAACTGAGCTTGACCAATCCCCAATGCCTTAATAAACTAACAGTATTTCTGAAATTCCAATTATGCTGAATCTAACTCATCCCTGCTATGAAAACATAGCAAACACTGCATGGAAAAGGCAAACGTTAACTTTTTAATGTTCTGTGTCATATACATACCTACCTGAACACAGGGTGCAGATTCTCAGAGGAATAGGTTTTTCATGAAGTAGAAATCTTTTAGATCACTGCTAAAGGGACTCATACATTGGCTTTAAGGGAATATATATACTTCTTACGTTTAAAAAAATAAATACTAAAACAGCCTGTCGCGTATGGATTCTGTGTGGTTATTTTATGTATTTCATTTCTTTGAATGACATTTACTTTGATTTTCTTTCTGCATTTTAGTCACTTCTAGAAAGGGATCCCAGGAATAATGCAAATTACAAAAGCAGATGTAGAAAATATTTTTTAAAAGCAGCCTAAATTTCCATAATTTACATTAGATATTCACACCTGCACAGAGGTTGACATTCAGCACATGCATCTAGCTGTGTGTGATGAACACAGAGCTTTTACCAGAATAAAATGTCTATTTCTAGAGAAATCCATAAACTAGAAACAGACCAGCTCCTATATTTAGTTCCTTCCTGTACTTCATTTTAAAGACGCCTCCTAGAAGATATTGGAAGGGTCAGCTCACTGTTATTTACTGCACCAAATATTGCTTATGATTGACACTGTCATGTCCGTGTGTTGCAGAGACTTAAAGGCCATGACGAGATTTAACTACTCACTTTTGCTTGCATGGCTGTGGTGGAGGAAACCACAGAATACTGATCTATCCAAAAGAGAAAAAAATTAGAGAGAGTGTCACAGTGGAATTTATGAATGAGAGTGCTTTGGCTGCAAAGCATTCCCATTATAGCCCCTCAGCCACCACAAAACTGCTGTGTAATTGGAAGGGAACTTTTTCCCATGCAAAAAAGCTTGCTGTCGGCGCCAACCCATCAAAGCCATGGCATGGAGGGATGCACACCTGCAGGTAGCCTACCTCATTCATGGGGATCCTGGTCCCTGCCTGCATCTTCTGCTCACAAAGGGATCTGGATCTGAGAAGATCAGATCACAGAAGCAGGGAATGAGGACGTGGCAAACCTTGACGGTCCTTTCATCCACTCAATTCAGAGGTGAGGAAACTGAAGCTCCAAAAAAAGCAAAATAAACAAGTCCCAGGTACATAGCCCATCAAAGGCAAAGCCTGGACCCGAAGCCAGCCTTTCTCTTGCATCCCAGCCCATCCATATATCTAAAAGCTGACCCTATTTCAGTGTTTATTTACCTAAAACTATGATCAATGAATTCAAATATCCTAAATGTCATTCTGGCTGGGAAACAATAAACTTCCTCCAAACCAGTTTACACATATTACTGTTTTCCCAAAGGAAAAAAAAAATTCTTTGCCTGTGTGTGTGTGTGTGTGTGTGTGCATGTGTGTGTGTATGTTTTGGCTCCCCAGCAACAAAAACTATATTAAAGCTTAAAATAATTACCTCCTTTTTCAGTTACTTAAAAAAAATCCGTCTTCTAAAGACAAGTGTACCATAGCCCTCCTACTTATTAATATCTTAAATTTTAAAAAGTCTAAGTTGTTAAGTTCTGTAGAGTGTTCACAAGTTTGGATGACTTTATAGCATGTGTTACATATATTTTATTTTTATTTACCAAACATTCACAGTAAAAAAAAAAAAATAAAAAAGTTAAATAGGATGTCATGACAGGGAGCTACTAGGTAGCTGCTTAAGGTTAGGCTTCAGGAAAGCCCTCTTAAAAAATATCTCTGGAAAGGATAAGGCCTGATTCACATAACTTATATTTTATCATAGGTGAAATAATAATAGTAGCTGATATTTATGAAGCACCTACTGTCTAATTGAATCAGGTACCTATAGAATGTATTGTTTCAACAACACCAAGCAATCCAGCAGGATGGATGTTGCTTTCTCTATTTTGCAGACAAAAACTCCAAGTTCCAAAGAGATGAGGTTACTTTTCCAAGGTCTTATGGCTAGTTAGGAACATTGGAGGCTTGGAACCCTTGTCCATCTGACTCCAGCATGTATGTTTGGACTCTAAGGGGAAAATGCAGGCATAAGAGATTTGCTCAGTTTGATCATCACTTCACTGAGGACACATTTCCAGAACCCTCAATAAGCCAGTTCTTCTCCCTGGCATATCATATCATCCTCCTGCCCTTTCCTTCATAGCACCTAAAACAATTGTAATTTTACCTTTATTTATGTGATTCTTTGAATGACTGTCTCTCCCACTAGACTGTAAAGTCTATGCAAAGTCTACAACAGTCTTCGCTTGGTACATAGTAGGTGTCCACTGAATGAATAAATGACCCACTACTCCAAACTTCAAGCCAGGAGAATTGGTATCACTGTCTTATTATTCTAGCCAGATCTGATAACAACCACAATTTAGATTCAAATTATGTCTTTTATTTAAACATCTCAAAGCAAGATAAAAATAAACAGCTGGAAATAGCTTGCAATAAAAGAGAGAGAGACCAAAATAAGTTTAGGACTCTGCCAAAGGTCTTAATGGTAGCAACAAAACCATAAATGTCTCTCGGCACTTCATACGTCATGAGGGCTTGCAGATGGAAATAATATCAGTATCCATTCTCTGCTTCTGCTTCGGCTCACCAAGACACTACTCCAGAAAAAGGTGATGTGATTTATTCTGCATTCTATCATTCTGAATCTTCTATTAACTGGCACTTGTGCAGTCACAGTACAATGATAAATGATAGTCATAATTGTGACCCTAATTCACAGCAAGTCACCAAGGTATCTCTGAATCACAGAAAAATGTCACTAGGTGAGAAGTTCTTTGAGAGATGGGAACACTTTATACAATTCCCCCAGGGACCTTATACAACACCTAATTGTTGAATAAAACTGTATTGATCATAGCTATGTTATTATATCTAAAAATGATGTTCTGTGTATATCATATGAAGAAATTATCTATTAACCAGAATGTTTAACTACATAGAATACCCACTAATGTTTGTTAAGAGAAATTTAATTCATCTTAAGTGTAAGTGATGACAATCTTAGCAGAGGATATTGGGCCCAACCTCCTATTTATTAAGCAACAAATTACATTATTGGAAACACTGGGCTTTTGAAGGACCCCAAGTTAATGCAGGTGTTGTGGGGGTTGTCGCTATTGTTGTTGTTTTAATCTACTAAAAACTATTGTCTGAATACTTAAATTTTCATATAATTAAACAAACCAAAACTATAAAGTGTGTTCTGTCTCACAAGAGAATCCTAGCTGGTGTGTAGGAGTGGAGGAAGTGGACTCAGGACAAATAAAAATTCACTGCATTTTTAACATATAAACTAATCATTCCTCTCTCTTCCAGTGTAAGTCACGAGGCAGAAAATACATGTGGAGTATGTACATTGCCACAGAGTATTCATATAACATAAAAATTAAAAGTAAAATTATATTCTTCTAAAGTGCAGGTCCCCAAGATTTTTCTCTCTGAGTCAAATAAGTAGTCTATTACTCACTGTTGTTGTCATTTATTCAATTATACGTAGTGTTAACTAAGTAGTGTAATATAAAGAGTGTAGTTATTATGACAATATTTCCTTATCTCATCTATTTCATATCCCCTTTCTCTCATTCATGTATATTTGTATATTTCTAAAGTAACTTCTTAAGGATCACAAGGGAATTTGTTAATTTCTATAAACAAAACCACAGGAAAAAGAAAATCTTCAATGTACCAGAGCTAAAAACAAAGATTCAAAAGAAGGGGAAAATATTAAACAACCTTAAGACCTTACCAAATACATTTAATCCTTTGAATAACTGTATAAATATTTGAGTGTCTTTTATTTATGTTTTCCTCCTTTTATTATAAAGTAAGATAGGCTTTATGAAGTAGTCCTTTAAGAAAAAAGGAAAAAAAGAAACTTTGGTTCATTATTTAACTTCCGAAAAGCCAACATCAAAGGTTAGATTTTTGGCATTCAAGATCAGATCATTTGTAATTTCTTCTTTTTTTAATGTTTTTTAAATTTTCATGTGGAGAAGAATCAGAGATCTCAAGAATTCTTATCTGGAGGCCTCTCTTAGCCAAGCTGAGCTGATGGGAGCAACTTTTTTGTGCCAAAACGCAGAAGAGAAGTTATACACAGTTCCTCCCTCCCTCCTTTTTTCTCCCCTACGTACACCCACTTTCTGACTCAAAATGAATTTTTTTTTCCCCTTGTATTTAAAAGAAGAAGAAAAAAAAAAGAATCCTTGTCGTATTGGAAGTGTGACATTACAATTCATTGCATTAAAAAAAAGATCTGAAACTCCCAAATTTACTTAACAAATCCACAATGTTTATTTAGGACCAGGGTGAGGGGTGCTTCCTATTTGCATATGGTATCCTGTGAATTTACTATATGCATAATTTTTAGGTACTTAATGAATGATTCAAATAGAAACAGAATTAGAATGCAGACAATGACAGTCATGACACTCAGGGACAATGAAGTAGGATGGAAGTCCAAAGCTGTTTGGCTAAATCAAATTGTGCATCCTAAAATCCAATTTCTATTGAAACTGCAGGAGCTTGAGATAAAGTTGTCATAAAGTCTTATCAAGATTAGTCAAGATAACATGAACATTAGGAAGCCATATTTAGATCATTCCAATTCTCCCATCTTCCCACCACAAAAAGGACTGGAGGAAAAAATGATCCAGACAGTTCACCTTGATTCTCTTCTCCCTCAGCTCCCCATAGCCTATCTGAGCTTTGTTCCCTGCCCACTGCCTTCTAGCTCTGCCACCAGTAATGACCAAGACTTCATTATCTCTGGGCCATTACTATCCCAGTAACTTCCCAAATTGATCTCCTTGCCTCTGGGAACTGTTCCCTACAGCTCTCCGTATATTCCTCCAAGTCTAACTCAAATATCCCTTCTCTCTAGCTTTCCATGACCCCCACACAGAATTAATCAATTCCGATACAGGTGCCCCTGACACTCTGTCCCACCATTTAACCATCTTATCAGTTACTCTTGGTTTGCATATGACTATGCCTCTCAGTGCACAGACCCTCGAGGGTAGAAAATGTCTGTTTCACTAGCATATGAGCAATAGCATCTCCCACAAAACAGGCTCTCAATAATCTTGTTGAATTGAACCCACTAGGTCTACTGGTGAATTTTAGCTATTCCCATAATTGTGTCGACTTGTGCAATGACAAAAATCCTACTTATTAAAACATTCTACTGTAACATAAGCGGAATGTGTAAGAGCCATGGGCCTAAGTGGAGTGGTGGAAGGGAAGAGACCTCAAATAGGCCAAAGCATCATTTCAAAATCCTTTTCTCAAAGAGCACATTAAGTAGAAGAGACAGCATGCCAGGACTGGAGACTCAAGCTACTAGTGAGCGTCTTTCTTTTTTTAAACAGGTGCTTATTGAGTTGTACACTCTGCTACAGATTAATGATTCAGAGACTAATAAGATGTGATCTCTGCCCTCCAGAAAACTGGTGACAAAGACATAGTATGGAGGGGTAAATCTGAGAAACCTAAGATTGGATAAGATTCATGACTGGCAGGATCAACAGTGTTCTGAGTAAAGTGGGTGGAGGGAGCCCGGCTCTGTAGTGTTTGCCAATTTCTATGGTGTAAATATCCCCACTATGAATGACTTCAAGCTACCAATGTGATATCACTGAACAGAGCTGGGAAAAGATTCACTCAGTTGGTTCTCATGAGTCCACATAAGCCAGCTACAGCACAACACTGGACAGAATCCGTACCCTCCACAGCCACAAGCTACATTGCTTTTCATCCAATAACTCATTCAATAGATATTACTGCGTACCGAGTGTCTGGCACTGTGTTTATTATTGAGTACTGAGTGTCAGGAGGAATAGAATAGTAAACAAACAACCACAGCTCCTGGCTGCATGGGGCTTAGAGCATCCTATGCTGGGAACTGACCCAGCTGGGGAGTGAAGGTGTCTCTGAGAACTGAAGGGAAAGGGGCTAGAATCTGACGGATGAATTGAGCTTCTCAGAGAGGAAGGAATGTCCGTGACAGAAGCAATGGGAACAGCAGATGAGTAAGAAAGTTGGCTTTTATCCTAAGAACAATAAGGAGCCACTGATGAGTTAAAGGCTACAGAATGTCGTGATCAGCTTCGAATTCTCAAAAGCTTACTTTGGCTCCTATAAGGAGAGAAGGGTCTCTAGAGAAACCAAAAGATTGCAGAGACACCAATCTGGAGTTAAGGCAGGAGTCAGGTGGCAGAGTTGGGGTGGCGCAAAGGGGACAGAGCTGAGAGATAACTAGTATGGCTGACAGAGATGGGGGAGGGGCAACAGCAAGGATGACTCCTCGGTTCCTATAACTGAAGGGACAGAGAAATCCATCAATAATAAGGAGGAAGATGAATTCATGTTTTGACATTGAGTTTTCATCCACATGAATTTTATGTTCCCCTTTGTGTAAAAAGACTCCCTACAAAAGAAAACCCATACCTCTTCTCATGCCCTTCAAGGTCCTTCACACATCAGCCCCAACCCTTTTGTACCCATTGCCACATACCCCATTACTGCTATTTCCCTCCCACGGGGGTATAACCTTTCCAAAACTTTTAGTAAATTCATAGAAGCCTGTCTGAACTTTTTCTCTCACATCCCCCATCAAAGTCTGCTTTCTGATCCTTGCTTCTTGGAAGGACACATGTTCAGCATCTTACAGAGCTGCCCAACCCAGAACTGTCTGCATTTCAGACAGAAGAAAAACCTCCAATCATGTCTCATTCATCTTTGCATCACCTGGACCTTTCAGGAGATAGGCACTATATTTTCCACATGCTCCATGTGGAAATACCTTATTCTCCAGAGCAAAATCATAACACCTGGTCCAACAGCATGAACACTCTTAGGGAAGAAGACAGAATGGTCTCCAGACATACAATGAGCACTCAACAAACATTTGTGGTATATGAATTTGTGCACTTCTTGATGGACTCAATGAAGAATCACCAGATGCCTCCTACACCCAAGTACGCAGTAGGTACTCAATAAAGAAAAAAGGATGGACTATCAAGCTTCCCTCCCCATAGGAACTTTACACTCAGCTTCTATAACAGATGCATCTGGTGCCTACCTCACATCCCTGTGTCCCACCTCTGACTTCAGCCACATGTCTGACCCTGACCACAACCTGCTATGTCGTGGCTTCCTTCCACGGCATGCCAACTCTGAAGCAGATGCCCAGCCTGCACACCAGCACCCTGGGACAGCCCTCAACCAAGAGGGGACAGGTGCCAGGAGATAATGCTCTAGCCTCTTGTACTTCTGGAGCCTGGCTCTAGGAGGCACATTTTACTCTGTCCCTTAGAAGATTCCAATGGGACCATGTACCAGCCACAGCAGTGACTCTGATAATACATCACTGCCTTACTTTTTCTTCCTTGCCTTTTTTCCCTCTTCTCTCTCCCTCATTTCCTGCTTCCTAAGATCATGCCCATATAAACTACCTGCATCCAAATCCCTGCTGAAGGTCTAATTTCTGGGGAACTGCAAACTAAGAAAGCCTCTGATCTAAGCCAGCCATTTCAGGATCCACAAGAGACTCTTTCACTCTGGCTGATGAATTCCACACCAAAAACAGGGTGAGGGCCGTTCAGCAACTTTTCAGTTCTGTTGTTCTCTGAGGACATCTGTGGATGTTTTCAGTGGAAGCAGTACACAGTAAGTGCTAAATACACATGTCTTCCAAATTAAATCCAGGTAAAAATCCAGCTTCTTCACAAGTAGTAAAAAGGAGGTAATAATGTACATGGCATCCCAAATTATTCATTTTGTCACACCATTCCCCTGCATTCGTCAGGATTTCATTTGGCTCCTTTTTCCAACCTTAGCCCAGCATGCTAGCAGGTATTTATCAATATATTAAATGCTACTTAAACTTCCTAAAATGATCCCAGAACAGTAAAGGGGAAAAAAGCTTCTGATTTAAAGCTAAACATACACAGCTATCCATTAGCATGACAATGTCTGCATTTTACTTAGACATTGCCATTAATAATGAAATGATGTATGATTTCCACTCCAGCAGCTCTTCCTTCCTTGCACAATCAATTATACATTTAAGAAAATACTTAGTGGATAGAAAGCTCCTCTAATTAAGCATCACTTGAGGGAGCTTGTGAGATTCTTAAAACTAGAAAAGATATCTCAGAGAAGTAGGATGGTGGAGGGAAAAAAAATCCACTCAAAATGTTTGAGTCTTGATTAGACAAACTCTCAGGCATTCTGAACCACTATGAAAGGAAAAACTCACACACACATATATTTTAACCCAATAGACTTTGAGGCGAACTAAATATTCTGCAAAATGTAAAAACTTTCTCTTTGTTCCAGCTAAGAAGCCAGGACTAAATTGAAATTAGATATTTTGGTTGAGATCCAGCCCCAGCCCCAGAATTGCTGTCCCTTTTTTGTCTTCCCTGTCAAAATCATTGAGGAGTTAAGATAGTTGGTTCTTCAGAACTCTGGAAATTGTCCAACGTTAGAATCAAATAGAAATAGCATAAGATTTCCCAGAAGGCAAAACAAGGATGGTTTTCCTCACTAAAATTATTACATATCACATCGTGTTCTTGGGAGGGGTGCTTATCTGGTGATAATCTCCAGAATGATTTTACATCCCGGTTGTCCTACAAAACTAACTCTCTCCGACACAGCACAGCAAATTCATTCAATTTGGTGGGTCCTAACGCTTTCTCTTTCTCTCCCTCTAGAGGCAGAAAATGAAGCACTAAATAAGGTTTAATTTCACGGCATTAAAAACAAAACCAAGGATAAGCCACTCTGACAGGAACAGAAAGCAGGCCTTGGAAGAAGGCAAGGAGTATGTCAAGAAAGTGGATACAGGAGAACCAGGGGACAGCGGGGAGAGAAGTAAACAAGAGGTTCGTTTCTCTTTCTCTCTCTCTCTCTCTCTCTCTCTCTCTTCTCTCTTTTCTCTCTCTCTCCTCTCCTCCCTCTCTCTCTCCTCTCCTCCCTCTCTCTCTCCTCTCCTCCCTCTCCCTCTCTGCATTGCTCTTCCTCTGCCCCTGTATCTATGACTCTGTATCCCTGTCTGTCTCTTCCTCTTGTTCTCTCTTGACTTCTACCCCTCCATGCTTCCCCACCAGGACCATCAGTCCTCCCACAAGGGACTGTCTCCCCTCCTGCCCAGGTGGCTTCTCCTACAAGAGGAGACAACAATAAATTTCCAGGACAATGTACGTGGTGTGGGTGTGATAAACATGTCACCAGAGACAGCAGATGTCCCTTGACTTTAGTGACTTGGCCTTCAGAAGCCCCTCCTTTCTCCAGCTCCCCTGGGCCCCTGAGTCTCAGTCATAGCTCTCAGAACTTTGGTCAACTGTGCTAGGCCACCAGTTACTTTCTGCACACAGGCCATAAGCATGTTTGTAACATACTTGTGCATGAACTCCCTTATAAGGGTTGACTGACTCCTGCCTCCGTTCATCCTGCTAGCCAGTCTGGCTGGGTTCAGCCAGGAGCCCTCCTTCCCCGCCAAGGCTTAGAAGCAAACTCAGAAGAAACCCAGCGGCAAGCAAGAATTGCTCCCGGAGGGAGTAGTGGGTACAAAGCTGGGTGCCTGTGCTCTTTTTAATTCCCCATTCTGGCAAAAAGAAAACCTCAGGTCTGACTTTAGAGCCTTTGACACATAATTGGTAGCCAATTTTCCTAAGTGGTGAGTCAATTTTCTGCTTGTGAAATGTAACTTTACCCTGGTGAACACCAGGCCCCAGGGTTTTCAGTGTGGCTTAACAGCAATTATACGAATGTTAGGAAGGGGGGAAGTGTTAAAGTCCCTACATTTACATTTGTTTTTTATGTTTTTACCTCTTAAAGGGATAGGAGAAGTCTCCTAACCAAGTAACCTATGAAAAACTCACCCAAAGACAGGCACAGGATATCCTGGGAAGGAAAACCATTTTGAAGCCGCACCACAAAGGGTTCCTTTTTTTTTTATTTTAATTCTCAAATATTCTCACAAGTAGTGAGATGTCACGGGGAGGGCACAACATTTAGAGGTCAAGGCATCCTTTTCCTGGTTCCCCTTGGGCTACTTTCTTTGCTCCCACCCTGTCCCCTCTCTCCCCTCCCCAGCCCCCCAAACAAATCCCCCGGTGAGCGCTAGGCCCCGCCTCGGGCCGCATTCCCTCCCCCTCCCCCCCGCTCCCGCAGCCCCCCACCCCCCCACCCCGCCGCCCGGCGGCTGACGGCTCCCGCTCCACATGTGCGACTCGTGTTTCGGCTTTCGCTGGCGACAAACTGGAGCCGGGGCCTTTCCGCTTAGGAGGAACTCGCTACGTGTCGCTAACAACAACACAAACACCGCCGGCCCGGCTCGGTGCTCCGCTGCCCACAGTGCGCTCGGCACCAGGGCTGGATTTATAGCAAGGAGCCCCGACTGTAAGAAGTAATTCATGAGTCCCCACAATGCCACTACTGAGAGGCATTCAGAAGGGGGGGCAAGACACGGGGTGTTCCTGCTCCGTGGCCTCCATCCCAGCCGATCCCGCTTTGCAGTTGTGCACAATCACAATCGCAGCCAGCAGTTTGCCCTCATTCATTTTGCACTTTTTCTTAATAGAGTGGGAGAAAGTCATCTCGGCCACCACCACCCTTTTATCACAATTTGTTGAAACCCCAAGAGGCTTAAAATACGTTCTTTTGCCATTTATAGTTGTAACAGTATTACATACAAATGTGTACACAAATCTGCGTGGTGCACACATACGCACAGGCTCATAAGACACACGCAAAAAAATTATTATTATTATGGGCTCTTCTGGAAGATTTAGTATATTTGTTTCAGAAAGACGTAAGAATTTTAATAAAACTAAACCTTATTTGAGAAGTATCTACCATGAACGCAATTTTGGAAAGGTGCAATAGGAACTAAATAACTGCTGTTAAAAATCATTTAGCTGAGAAAAATATGCATGCTAAGAATTCCACCAAAAAAAAAAGACATTGTATGCCACGTAGGTATATGTGTATTGCTTAGCAGCCACAGAAAACCTCCTATCTCAAATCAAAGAGAAAAACACTACACGTGAAAACTATCCTTTGGACGATTAGACTCCATTCCAAAAGATATAGAAAAAAAAAAAAAACCACAGCAAAAATACACACATGGATCTTTGTACCAGATTCTGTATTAAAAGATTGCTTGTCAGGTCCTATGACTACCTCCCCGAAGTCTGCTCTGTGGTTACAAGGTTTGGTGTTCAGTCCTCTGCAAATCAGTTCGGGGTTTCTCTAAATCTGAGCCACAGCCTGTCAAGATGATCCTTTGCAATACCAGCCTTTTAAATCCCACACTTTTGTTTTTTCTCCCTCGCTCTCAGAGGAATTGTCCTGCCTAGGTCAGCCATTCTAAGCTGGAATTCAGAGACTGGACGGATCCTTTACCATGAGAATTTGGAGCTGCAAACCTTCGGCAGAGCCCTGGGGAGGGATAATTGTTTTAGTGAAGCTCACTGCCTCCTCAGTGGTCCGTGAGACCCTGCTGAGCGTGGCTGCTTACCTTTGGCAGGAACCCAGGGCAGGTTCAGGAAACGGTTCCGTGTTCCTGCCCTTAGCTTTGTGTCAATGAAGCCTGGCACATCTTTTTTGTGGTTGTAATTTAAATGAGACAACCAACTGCACAGCTGTCTCGGTCAAATTATGCAGGGCCATGTGGCCTTTCTTCCATCTTTAAAAAGTCTGGGGCACCTCTGACCATGTTTGAAGGAAGCCCAGGGGAGCAATGACCAACAAAAGGAATAGCGATTACGCCAGCAAAGGATGGAAATTTGCCTAAATGAATATATTAAGGGCTGCGCTTAGAAAATGGAAATGTTAGTTTTTAAATAGAGGCAGAATAGTGTTATGATTAAAACCCTGATCTTTGGGGTCAGACACTGCAAGGTTGGCATCCCAGCTCCACCACTTAATAGCTATGTTGACGTTGGGCAAGTTATTTAACCAACTGAAGCCCCAGTTTCCTCATCTGTAAAATGGGAGAAATAAGAATACTCAGCACATAGAATTGCTGTAAGGATTAAATGAGAGAATACCCAGAATTCAGCTAATATGTGGCTTCATAAATGGTTAGTTATCATCAGTAATTACAGTAATGACAATAACACATAGAACATGCAAAACGCCAATGCCAGTCACTGCCACACCAGTCATCTGTAACCAAGAAAAGACTAATTTTACTCTGCCTCTGGCCCCTTATTTTACATATTACAGGGATTTATTCTTGCAGGCAAAACTAATGTGACTGAAGTTTCTATCATTCAAGTTTTATTTATTCTGTTGATCTGGCATTGGGTATTTTAACCCCTCTCTCCCTCTCTCTCTCTCTCTCACACACACACACACACACACACACACACACACCCCAGACATGGGAATGTGAGTATAAGCATCTGCATAGATGCACACTACACCAATACAAGCCAGCAGATATGCAGACACAAAATGAGTATATGTACCCCGGAATAAAAGGAACATAATTACCAACTTTATTTTGACAACTCTTTTCAATGATACCCAATTAGGCATTGCATGGCAAAAATAAACTCTTTAAAATACTGAAAGCACAACCCATTGTATATTTGCTCCTAAGGGCCCTTTAAAAGCTGAGGTTAAATTACCATCAGATGGCAAGAGGATAAGGACCTCGCCTTAGGGCACTTCCTTGGGATAAATGGCCAGTTCTTGTCCTCTTTGGAAGGGGTTGCTGGCCCAAAGCACCATGAGGCCAGTGACCCCTTGCTGGTCATTAATCGTTACCGAATTCCCTAGAACCAAGGTCATTATTGCTAATATAAACTTAAATAAAAATTCCAGAGACATATGGATTTCTTTTAATAGTTAGTCTTATTTCTTTGCTTTTTATAGGGCATTTCTATAGAATTAATGTTCTATACATTAGCTCTGTAGTTGGTTTGTCTTAACACTTGATCCTGCTTAAAGTAAAAGGTTTATTGGACCTAAAATAAGAAGCGAAGGAAAGCAAACAAAAAAACAGGAAATCCTGAAAGGGCCTATTCTGTACCTGGAATTCTCAGAAAAATCATTATCCATGGGACTCACAATTTTATTTCTTTGGAAACCTGTCAAAATATTATAATGTTTATATTTAACGGTTGGATAATTTAAAATTTAAAAAATAGAGAGAGAGATCTGGTTCCCATCCTGGACAAAGTTTTCTGTTTCTCAGTCTCTCTCTCGTCTCCTCTGCACATAGAAAAAAATTTTTTTCAAGATTTTATGAAATTCCAATTTCTTCAAGCTTAAGGAATATATACTGTATTGTCACTCACAAGCAAAGGATATTAGCAGAGCATATAATTTCATAGCTTCATTCCAAAGATGCTCAGCATTATTTGCCTTAAAAGGAATTATACACCCTAAAAGTACAGAAACAAAGTGGATATGCAGAAAATGAACAATTATTTAATGAGCATGTACTATGTGCAACTTAGTGTAGATTCTCTGTATATCAACATTAGGCTGCTTCATCTGGAAGACAAGTCTCAACCAGATTAAGAGACAACTTGAGGATGTTGCACAGGCAACCTCTGCCCACAACCTTTTGGGGTTACTATCTCACAGAGACAAATGTGTTGGTCCACGTGCCTCACATTTTACAAGCCTACAATTTTCTTTTTACTAGATCCCTTCCCCATCTTGCCCAAGTTATGCTACCAATAAATTTAAATATAACAACTCAATTAGCCTTGTAAGGTGCATCATCTAAAGATCTCACCCACTAGCTTCCTGCCTTAAGGTAGATTTTAGCAATAGACATGGGCTGTACCTGCTGCCTTATCTTCTTATTACCTGGCTGATCCCTTGGATGAGGTAAGGAAGAAGAACTGAAAGTTGATTGAGAATATTGTTGGTTATTCAGTTCTGACCTCTGTGAGGTTGCTATTTACCTTATAGTACATGCTACTTAAGCACATGTTTAATAATAGGTACTGTCCAATGTCAGATATGAGAGGTAACCAGATTTATAAGGGTAGAGAGGATTAAAGTCATTGAGAGAGGTAACCTTAAAGATCCTAAGTGTTTACTTCTCTCGTTCTATAAATAAGAAAGCTGAAATCCAGAGAAGTTAAGAGACACACAGACACAGAGGCTCACATATCTAAATAACAGCAGGGGCAGTACTCAAAACCAGGTCTCCTGTGTCCCAGTTCAGCATTCTACATGAGGTTCCTTCTCATTTCATAATGAATGAGAAGTCCCATATCAGAATGAGCAATTTAATGTGTCGAGCCTTTAACAGAACCAAAGCATGCTTTCTCCTTAACAGAAGAATATGCACAAATTTGGGTTCATATTAGAACTATTAGTACCTTGAAGATGAAAATTATTAGCATAGTAGGGAATTAACCTACACTAAATCTGATGAGTAGTGAATTACTTTAAATCTCTTTTTGGAGGTGGGACCTTACCCTGGGAATGGCCAGGTAATGGCAGGAGAAAGATGAATGGCAATGGATTTGGTGGTGATTTGGAAAAGAGAAAGAGATTCTACACCAAATCCAATTTCCTTAATAGGTGAGTGCCCTGGGAGGACCACAAAGTGCTTCTGGGGCAGTCCCCAATCTGGGATTGGGGGTACAACTTATTTTATATAGTAGATGCTTCACGAACATTTATTGAATAAATTAACATGCTGGGTCCTTTGTTTCTCCTGTCTGAGGTCAATGAACTCAACAGCTGCTTGTCCTCACCACCTCTGTGAATGTAAACAATGGTTTCTAAAGGAGAGACTAACCCTACATGAAACCATTTTTTAATAGGTTTAGCATGATTATCCTTTCTGGCTTCTGGTATCAAACTATTTGGGAGCAGAAAGGAATCCAGCCTGTTGAATGATTTATGACAATTTGGGAAGAGAAAAAGAGAAGAAAAGAGTATACATAAATTCAAAATTCCACCTTTTAAAATTAATTTTAGTGGATTGATACTGGGAAGAAAGATTTAGTTGGTTGACTACATTCAGTCATATATTTCTGTGGAGACGGAAAAAATTAAATTTTTCCAAATCAGCACAATCTTTTCAGCCAGACCAGATAGTCAAATAATTCAGAGGTGAAATAATTGTCACTTCCTCCTTTGCCCCATACTCTGAAACAGTACAGAAGCTGCCAACTCCCCACCTCTCCCTCTAGCTTACCAGGCGAATGAATGCCCCTTTGCCTTCTGGAATCATTCTCCTGCAGTTCAGCATGAGACTATGCCAGGGGCTAATAATTTCTCTCAGCACCATACCCATGACTTCTGCCCTTCCTTGGCAATTCCAAATGTGTGACAAACCTCTTCGGGCTTAGGCAAAACTGTACACAAAAGTGGTTTGAGTAGGAAGAAATACAGTGTACTTTTTTCCCCTTTCACTACAATTTTTTCAGAATTATATTCTGCAACAATGCCTCACTTCCTTTATTATTATTTTTGGAAAGGGTACTTTCAATTTGTTTAGGTTTAAATAAAAGAAAAATTTTATTAAGACTTACTTTGAAAATTGCCAACGTCAATATTTATGTATGTCAGTACCTTCCAGAGAAAGATAATAGTCAGAGACAACTGCTCATGGTAAGACATCTGGAATAGAAAGACCTTTTGTAAAATTCCTACTGAAAGATGACTATTGATGAAATACCTCTGGCAAACAAAAACAAAAATTGCAATTTGTCGCACGGTGTTATATGACATAGTATGAACAAGCACAGTTGCAAATAAATGAAATATGTGGGCTTTTAAAAATAAAGTAATATTTTATGATGGGATATTCTGTAGCTTCCTCCTCCCTGTGACTGTTATAATTTCTTTCTTTTCTTTTCTTTTCTTTTTTTTTTTTTTTTTTTTGAGATGGAGTCTCACTCTGTCACCCAGGCTGAAGTGCAATGGCACCATCTTGGCTCACTGCAACCTCCGCCTCCTGGGTTCAAGTGATTCTCCTGCCTCAGCCTCCTGAGTAGCTGAGATTACAGGCATGTGCCATCATACCAAGCTCATTTTTGTATTTTTAGTAGAGACGAGGTTTTGCCATTTTGGCCAGGCTGGTCTCGAACTCCTAATCTCAGGTGATCCACCTGCCTCAGCCTCCAAAAGTGCTGGGATTACTAAGCATGAGCCACCGCGCCTGACGGACTGTTATAATTTCTGAGAAACAATTTAACTTGTGCTCCGTGCACAATGCTAGGCCTTGTTAGAGATACAGGACTTAGGGGCTTCCTTGGACCCAAACCCAGAAAAGACACGTTGTACCCTTCCCTAAGGCTGATTGCACACAAGGTGAAATGGAGAGCAGAGCAGGACCCAGATGGCCCAGAGTAGTAGTAGAAAAGCCACTGGAACCAGAGCCAGGGACTTGGCTTATGGTCCTGGCTCTGAGACTAATTAGGTCTTTGGGCAACATTGCTGTGCTTCTCTTGGCCTCAGCTTTCTCATCTTTAAAATGAAGGGGCTGAACTGTAATCTCTGAGAGTCCACTCAGCTTAAATGGAATCGTGGTCTCTTCCTACAGGAATCTAGATTTTTTGGAAAACCTGCCTTTGGGATCTAGCTAGGCTATGTATTAGCGTTCTTAAGCTATTCATTCTCCATATTTGTGAAATGATACAAAAAAATCCTGCTTACCTCACTGTGTTGTCATGAAAACTAAAAAGAGCTGAACCCATGTGAGATCTTTATGTCATTCCCTCGAAGAGGTATGTGAATGATAGAATTAAAGTGCTAGCCTTCCCTAAGTTTTGTATGTCTTGGTATACATTGAAGGTTCTTAGCTAAAGGGATGAGATTCTGACAGTGGAATTCCAAGCATCAGCCAGAATTGGGTGGGAAAACCTTTCCTGCATTCTCATGAGCTCTGCAGATAGTCTTTATTGTTTTTAAACCCAGCCGTTTAATCAGACCTCAAGGAGGCTTTTCTATTGGAGCTTACAGACTTGTCCAAACTAAAAAGAATATCTAAACCTGGAGGAGGGGGATGTAGGAGGGAGAATGAGTAAGAAAATGTTTTGTTAATGAATAAAGATCCTGTATTTCATTCCTGAAAGCTCTCACTTTGCTTTAGGACCATCAGCAGAAGCACAGAGCTAGCTTAATAAGCTGTAGGACGTGAAAAAGTCACTGGTAGGTCCAGGGAAGTTCTCAGCTGAAGGGGACCCTGGGGAATTGTCCAGTCCACCCCCAGCCCTACCTTGCAACCAGACAAATGAAGCTGTCTGCTAGAAAATCTGGAGATACCCTTTCACATTTCCACAATGACAAAGTTGTGTGTGGGAGTCCCCAGGAATCATTTATAACTGAAAGAAAAGGAAAAGCCACCTTCAAACTCCAGTTCCAATAGACCTGAGATCTTTCCGGAAACCCAAAGGAACTGCCTCATTTGGTTTTCCCAGAGAATATGAACAACAGATCAAACTAATCCAACCTAGTGGAAGAAGGATCTGTAGAGTTTGGGCTAATTTCTTAGTAATATTCAGCTGCAGCCACTTCCCTTCTGTTTAATTTTCACGTATCTTAGTGCTTGAATTCGTAATTCATACCCTTGTTTTGAATTCCCACTACCAACAGATTCCATAAGGCCATTCATGTCAAACACCCTCCAAACAGTTCCAAGAAAAGGACTGAGCTAGAATTCTTTTCTGAACAGTCAGAGGGGCTATGGACCTGGTTTATATGAGTAGCATGTTCTCATAACCCCCAAATCCTTGACAGACATTCCAGGGACATGGCCACTTCTGCCATGTAGCCACCATTTCAATCAGGCCTCCTCAAACAACTTACTCCTAATTTCTACAATATGTAGGTGGCAACTGTAGCCCAACGGGTGTCCGTAGATACAAACCAAAGCTGGCTAAAACCATGTCTGGAAAGCTGACAAATTTCCAGGCAATCTACCCTGAGCAGCAGACAGAAATAAAAGAGCTGGTAAGAAGAGAAACAGACATATAATATAACAGAGTTTCCTGAAATTCATTATACCAAACTTCCAGGATAGATCAAGGAATTGGACCTAATTCTGCCCTGATTATTTTGGGTATGTCATTATCAATGTTGCAGAAACATTTTTAAGCCACTGTCTATCAACAATTTGATGAAAAAAAAAAAACTAACATTTCACGAGTAATGTTGAGTGCACAGTGATTTTGAAAGAATCACTATTAGTAAACTAAACAGCACTCTAAATAAAGAAAATGACTGCTGTTAAGACATACTGTCTGAGAATTCTCAGGAAGAACACCACAACGCTAACTCTGCTGTATATAAGAAATTATTCCAGTATGCATTTGAGTAATTCTGCATTTTAATTTAACCCTTTGAAACATTAATCAAACCATGGCTAATTATAGGAATTAAGGAATTAAACGATGGAATCTTCTAAAAGATATTATTTAAAAGGCAGTTTATACAATTACTTGTATAGATGTTTGCTTTAAAGAGGAAAACAGTTCTACTGTAATGAAAAGGGTCTTAGAAAATTAAATTAACAAGGGGGGACCAGGCTGATATGAAACTAAATTAGCATCAAATGCAAATTACAGGGTACTTAATGGTAGAAACAGGTGCAGAGAAGAACCCTAAATGAGATAAATGAATAAAACATCCCTCTCCACAAATGTGGAAGCTGACACAAAGTCAATGATATGAATAATTCAGCAGCCTCCACACTGCTGTTGAGGTCAGCCTGCCTTGACCTTTGAAACAGGAAGTAAAATTCAGTTCAAATTTGAGTGACTAGAAATATAACAGTCATTTGTTTTTTATATTAAAAAATCAACAGAATTTTTTAAAAATACAAATACAGAAAATATAAAATAGAATTACAGTTTGAACTAGAGACATTATACAATCAAAGTACTTAGTAAACAAACAAAATAATTTGATAAGATTTTACCCAAACCATACTTCAATATGGAAATCCTAAAAATAAAAATAATTAAAAACATATATACCAGTGCTCAGCTTAATGAAACTCCCTGTGAGAATAAATTTTTAAATCGTTATCCTTTCTTCAAAGTATTTTGTTGTGTTGCTATCAATGTAAAAAAAGCATGTCATAATTTTTAAAAGCCACATATTCTTATTAGTAATGCAAAATAATTTCTCATATTTGAAAGATAAAATTTGGTTAAACTAGATTTTTAAAAATCTATGTAAAGTTGCTATTTTTTAATTCTTCAATTCCTGATTGAATAAATACTGCATCCTCCAAAACTATTCACCTTAGAAAAATGCAACCTAGGTTCTAAAAACAAACTATTCTCATAACCGAATATCTATTGTGGTTTTACGTGTCTTTTATCCTTTTTTTTTCTTTTTGCATGCTTCAAAAGTATTTTGTACAGTCAAATAGTGAAAGTACTCTCCTCATTTCAAATTGAATTTAGTGCTGTTAGAGATTAACAGGGTATGACAACAAACCAATTTCTACAAGCTAGAAAGACAGCAAAATATATATGGTATATCACCCTCGTCCTTATTTTACAGGATGGCATAAAAGATGTTTGATAATAGCAGTTATCTCTGCCCTCCAATTGGTTCTATTAAGGGGACCCACAACTTGGCTATCTACCTTTCATCTATCTACTGTGCTTGTCAGATAAAAGATTATGTTGAAAGATGAGCTTAATTTTATTTTCTAGATTTAGAGAGGGTTAAAGCTACATACACACACACACACACACACACACACACACACACACACATACCCCTCAGCCATCTATGAGAGAGCAGTGGTAAACTAGGTCTATGATTGTAATCACTGTAGGAAGAAGTTTGAGAAATGTTCCTTCCAAACCGGAGTGTTTAGTTGAGGCAAAATTAAAGATGCAGGGTGTGCTGGGTATTTCTTAATTATTATTATTATTATTATCATATCTGCTAAATCACTCCTCGCTCGACATTTAATACAGGGTGATAGACAAAACACTGCTGATTTGGGGTTTGCCATAATGACTGACCTGAGCAAAGGCTTTGTGTACAAAGTGGCTCCCCATTAAATAAGGGCTCTGTGGAACCAGCT
Organism: Homo sapiens; assembly: GCF_000001405.40. NCBI lineage: Eukaryota > Metazoa > Chordata > Mammalia > Primates > Hominidae > Homo > Homo sapiens. The sequence goes on from NC_000005.10 coordinate 159,061,290, forward strand.
GGTTCTCATTTTGAAACAACCGGTTTCTGTATCCCCAAGTGCTAAAGAAAATAATCCCTGCCATCTATGACTGCACACTTTCACAGAGGCAGCAACGAGAATTTGATTGTGGAGATAATTAAAGTCATTCCTGGAACTTCCAAGAAAAAAAAAAAGGTGGAAAGAGGTGGGGTAGAAAGAAAGAATAGTCAATGATAGTGTTTAAAATTAAACTATGACAAATCATTTTGAGTGGAGAAGAGGGAGGAGGAGCCCCCGCCCTTTATGGAATTCAGTTGAAACAGCTCTGTTTTCTTCCCCACTCGGCTGCTCCAGAGGGAGGTCCGAGATGCGATTAGTCAGGGCGACGGCCCCCAGTGTCCGGCTCGGAAGCCGAAGAATCGAAACATGGCTCAAGAAGCTACTTGTCACTGATGACACATCACAATGAGATTGTTTTGTTTTTTTTTTTTTTACGTTTCAATCCTAAATAAAATAGCCGCGGAGGAATCTAACTGGACTCTTCAACAAACATTCTTTCCTAGTTGATCTGAAATGCTGAGGTTAGTTTAATATAATATTAAGAAAAAAAAGAGTGTATCAGACATTCAGAGACACTCATCTTTCAATCTTGAGGAGAGCTTATTCTTTTATTATTTTTTGAATGCTACATTGTTCTACAATAAGAATCCATGTTCAAATAGCCTGAATGACATTCAGCTGAACCTACGTTCCCTGCCTGCCTACATTATTTCATAAGCTTTTGGGAAAAAACTAAAATATGTGTAATCTGTCTGTCTGCGCTATCTGCCTTTAACAGGAAGAAGAGATGGGCTCAATGAGGACGACTCACGGCCTCTCAATTAACCTGATTAGTTCAGCACATTGCTCTCATGAATGACACCTTATCTTAAAATAAGGGAGAACTTCCTTCCTCGAGTAGACACAGGAGCCCCCTAAAGCCACAAAGATGCAGCCTATCAAATGTGAGGGCCTCTGCTTCTCCTCCCTCTTCCCAGCTCGCAGGTCAGAGAGACTAGCAGGCCAGGCGCCTGATTGGATTTTGTGTCCTAAGGACAGAAGGCAAGCTCCCGTCTGCCCAGGTGGCCTTGGAGAAGGCTGGGGAAAGGGATGCCCTGTGGGTAACTTCAAGCCCCTTCTTTCAGAGTCAACCAGGCACATGATGGGATTGGGGGTGGGGGACAGGAAGATTGGGGAGGGGGAGGGAGGGAAAGAGAATTCATTAACCCTTCAATCTCCAGAGTATCAGGTCAATGCTATACCTGCCTGAAAGAAAAACTGGTGAATTCTGAAGTCTTCTAATAGTATATAAAACAAAGGCGCTGCTTGCACAGGGGTCTTTCTAACACTGATTTCGCGTTTGACATAATAGAGGATGGCTGAATTTTTGCCCTGCAAAAATCAAGCCTTCTCCCAAACTCTCTGAAATCTGGTGGTTTGCAAAGGATGCCACATATATATGTTTTTACAAAATAAGAAATTCCCATTATCATGTGTAATACACATAGTTAATAGAATATATTCTTGAAAATATGCTTTGTGAGAATGTCAACAGCAGAGATTTTCACTTGTCTGCTCTGTGATTTACTTGATCAATTAAACAGTTAGGCAATGAGGAGATTTGCATGGTAATCGTGTGAAGATTAACATTTTTAAGTGTAACAAATTTAATATTTTATCTTACATTTTCTGTTCCTCATCATTCTTTAATGGCAGTGCCATTTCACTTTATTGTGTAGTTATAACAAGCTTGTCTTTAGACAGAGAGATGAGACCACCAGATTCAACAACTGCATTTCTAGTTCCTGTCATTCCTTCTTTTCACAAAAACAAGCCCTAAGCATCTAGTACACAGGAGGGAGGCACTGTGCTCAACGTAGTCACTGCCCTCTTAGGCTTACAACCTACCCTCCAAAGCGCTCATCTACCTGCCTGTGCTCAGCAATACCACAAACAGCTAAAATTAGAATTCCATAGTTGGAAAGGGTCTTAGAGATCTCTTCCTTCAGTCTTAACCAACATGTAGACTGCCTCAGAAGAGTGCAATAAAGCCGTGGAATTTGCCCAAGTTCGATACCTCTGGGTATGAGCTAAAAGGTGACTTTAACCCGGGGATATTTTTCTTCTGCATCATGATCCCAGTGTAAAATGGCATTCTTCTATTTTTAAAACATATATATCAATATATTCTTTGTTTATACTTGCTATTACTATTCCAACTATTTTTGGGGGACTGGGGGCAGAGATCAACCCTGAGACACTGAGAAAGCTGCATGAAGCCAGGAACTATGTTTGTCTTTTTCACTGTTATACCCCCAACCCTGAAAACAGTGCATGACATATAATAGAGGCTTAATAAATATTTGTGGAAACAAAACAATGAATGAGTCTTTATCTAAGGAGACTTAGCTACCATGATTAACTTCAGTAAGGTAATTGTGCTCAAAGGAAGTCCCATGGCAATGATCACATTAAGAATGAAAATCCACATGGAATATACGATGCTCAAATTGCAAGAGCTACCTGATTTTAAGCACCTGTTATGTGCCAAGCCCAGTGCTAGGTGTTTCAATCCTCACAACGCTTCAAAATAGAAGTGACTTTTCCCATTTTGAAGATGAGAAAACTGAGCCCCCTGAGGCTCAGCTACTAATAAGTAGCTGTGGAGGAACTGGATCCCTTAGCCAATGCACTCCAAAATCTATGCCTTTGCCATCATACTGTGCCTTCTCCCAGATTTCTGTATGGATTACTGATGTTTTTTTCAAGCAAATACACAATCAAATTAAATGAGGACATAAGAACTCAAACATTGCTCCAGCAATGAGTACAATAAACAGTGTCACATATGTATATATGCATATATGTGTGTGTATATATATGTGTTTATATATATGTGTGTGTATATATACATATAAAATCCTGAAAGTTAATTGTGACATCAACTAAGAAAGCTGGCTTGGTAAATAGGTTTAGAGTAATACATGAAAATGTGCTGTGGATAGCAAGAAAAATGAAATAAAAGAGACATTATGAAATACTGAAAACAGTGTTTTTAGCTGAGCAATTGAGAAAAGGGAAAAAAATCAGTCTGGGAGATAGGAGATGTGGAGTTTCTAATCACTTGCTTTGTCACCAATAAAGTGGATAGTTCCTTAGGCTGTGTGCCTCAGTTTACAGATCTGTCAAATGGAGTCAATTTGTGCAAAGAGAATTTTCTGAGATGGTATACCCCGACGTGCTCTAAAACGCTGGAAGTGCCATTTAGGTGTAAGCTACTATTAAACTCACAGTGATCAGGGGTTTTGCTTGCTTTGTTTTAAGGTGCTCATAGACCAGGATTCAGATGCTGGTCTTCACGAGCCAGATCAGGGCACTCCCATTTCTACAGCTACAGGAAGAACAACTCAGTGTTTAAAACCATATTCTGAGACATATCCCATATATCTAACATTAGAATCTGGCTTTAGGAAAACAACAAGACTGTGTAGAGAAACATGGGTTTTCAACTGTTGGTAACAGCTTCAAAGATAACCAGGTGAACCCTTAACCAACTTTCTTTTCTAAAGAACTTTTTAAAAAATGAAAAAGAGACTGCTCTCTTTTCATCTTTTTTTTTTTTTTTTTTTTTTTTTGGTCTCTGTAGAGTATGTGCGTGTGTGTATGTGCGTATGTGTGTGGTGTGTGTAGCTAAACCTGATGCAGGTCCATAGTTCTTCAAATTAACTTTCCATTCTGTGAGGGGGCTTCAGCCAATAGTGCACCCAAGAGTGTTAAAAGTGATATTTTCAGATATTACTAACAGATCAGAATACTTATGAACGAGAAGCACATTAAAAACAGGTGGGGAAAATCTCAGTAGTTTACCTCTGGAAAACAATAAATAAATTGCAAGCAGCATGACTGTCTGATATTCAGGTGGAGTAATAAAGAGCTTTAGTCAAATCATGGTTGCTTCAGGAAGGTGGAGGAGGGAACAACCTTTTGACCATTAGAAAAGTTACCCAGCTGGGCTCCTGACTCCTCGGCATGCACCAGCAGAGTCTAAGTCGCGTGCACCACCCGGCAAAGGCGGAGAATTCACGGCACTGGCGGGGAGCAGCACCACATCAAAAAGCAGCAGCTGATGTCATGAAACAAAATACCCTATCATTTTACTTTGATAATTTTCAATTCATCAATTAAAAAAGAAAAGAAAAAAAGTTATTTCAGCCTTGAAGATGTCATGTCCTGAGCCCCAGTGTTCACACCCTACAGAAGGGCTCTTCCTACCCACACATGGTATCAATATTAAGTTAATTGAGCAGCAAATGAGCAAAAAAGTTCTTGAGGGATTCTTGATATTGATTAAAAGGACATTAAAAAAAAAACCCACCACAACCTTTACATGAACCAAAATTTGAGAATGTCGCCAAAGCCCCATAAAATATGTATAATAGTGACAGTGTCCAGATTAAAAATGTACATGGGCAGCTTGATTACTATTTTCTGGTTTTTTCCCTGCCCTGGCTCTGAAAGTGTTAAAGAAAACAATAAAAGAACAAGTGAGTGTACAGGGTAGGATTTACTGGCATTTACTTTTAATCTATGGCCCTTCACTCTGTAGCTTATCGGGCCTCTGTCAGTCCTTTTTCCCCCTTTATATTTCATGAGGAGCCCCCCATGCTGCTACTGAGAGACAGAGCCCAAGTGTCTATGAGCTTTTTGTCAGGTAAAAAGAGAAGAAAAAGGAAAGGAACAAGAGGAAAAGCAAAGCTAAGAGGCATCTATTAGATGTCACTAGGCTTTTGTATTCATGTCAATGATTCAGGATTAGAGTATTTGAAATAATCTTATTGAGAGGAATCAAAAGGCCCACCGAGTGAGAGGCTGCTCTGTAGCATATGGCAAAGGCACGAACAATATCTTATTAAAGATGTGTTGGCTAACACCATTACTTTATATTATATTACAAAACTATTGTGCCTCAAACAGTTAGCAGGATGGTATAGTTACCAAGTGCCATTTTGGAGGTTATTGTGTAGGATCAATCTATATAATTTGCCAGCATGTCTAGCTCAGTCATGACAAGTAGGGTTTAGGGCATGTTTGCAACTGGAACCAAGCACTTCACTTTCAAAAATAGAAATTCCCAAAGCACACAGAAGACCACTCTGTTCCCACCGAAAGTGGAGTACACATTTCATAGATGGAACGCCAATGGCCTGTCCTTCCCCAGAATCAGTTTAATTAAGTTTGCATCATTTAACATATGTGACACCCCCTGCCCCACCCATGAAAAATGTAACAAAGATTTTTTTTTTTTGCATGACTCCCCTCCCTATTAGGAATACATGCACAGACACACACACACACACACACACACTCAGCTTCACACTTTAGCAGGATTAGGGCAATTAAAATTCTATTAGAATAAGTACTGTAACGTTAAAACCTTCTTTTGCTTCTGGACAAAGACTTGTAACTGGAGAAATAGTTTGTAAGGGAGATTTTTCTTCCTCTACCCACACCTTTCAAGGCAGGGAGCAATGAAAGACAAACCTGTACTGTTCACCATATTTCATTGATTGCAATAGGAGTATTGAGGTCACTTTTATATTGTCCTGGATAGTATGTAGTTACGCGGTTTGTAAAGAGAGGAATGGGATGGGGGGCTGTGAGAAGGAAGAATTAGTGGTCGATTTCAGATAACATCTCATGCAAATTAAAGTGACCAAAATACCATCTCTTTACGCAGGAACCACTAAATGGAGTTTTTTAAATCTGGTCAATTTTTATTAGAGAGTTAACCGGGTGCTGGCAGGAGAGGGAAATGAGGAAATGAGGGGAATTTATCAATGGAGAGTTACACTTGGAGAGAGTTTTTCCCCCCATTCTAAGCAACTTCTTTTAGGAAAGTAAAAGCATGTTTAATATACTCATATATTCTCATTACAAAATGATTGTGCATAGTTACTAATGGGACACACAGAGGACTTCGTACTGCTTTTCTGTATTTTTCCAGAACTGTTACAAAAGCAAAGTTATGATGACATGGGATTAAAAACCTACACCACGGGCTGATACCCGGGCCATGCTACACATACACACTACTGATTCTCTGAAGCTCCGTTAAATACATTTCTTGGAAGTTGCTGCCATTATTTCCTTTACAGGAAAACCACTGTTGTTCATTATACAGTGTCTGCAATAGTATTATACCATGTAAAAGTACTTTGCATTATGATACATTGTCAGCGTATTCGAAATGCATTTTAATGCATCCTGGTTGTGTATTTGGGAATAGCTGATAGCAAATGGAATATAGACTGCGATTAGCTTATTGTATTAGTTATTTTCTTATCACGGTAGCAAACTGCACACAAATGTACGGGGCTCATCTCATATTCAGAATGGTATTATCTGATATGTGATAAAATTTAGAATGATACTCATTCACATAAGTCTCATCGCTAATAATCACATATGAATTCCCACTGAGAAGACAAATGTTTAAACACACTAAGGTTAATAAACAGTCTTAAATTCATGCTCAGTGTCAATGCTGGCTTTTCACTTTTGAAAAAATGCAAACCTCTCAAACCAACCAAAAACACAATAATTATCCTGCCTAGGGCAATTTTAGAGAGTGAATTCCTCCTCCTTTTATTTTAACCAAGCAGTCAAGGTTACAAATCAGGTGGTATAAAAGGTTTATCGGAACGCTGAGAAATGCATTTACACCTCTGGTTCTTCATACCCCACACAGCCATTTGTGTATAGTGCAGAATGATTATGCATTGGTGGTGGTTGGTCCTTCTAAAAACTGGATGAAGACCAAAATAAGAAGAGTTGAAAGGGCATTGAAATGAAATCATGAAACTAACTAAAAGCCTCATTTGCAACTTTAATAAAATTATATATTTATGTTCATGTTAATTGAGGACTTTATGTGGATGACAAAAAATAAATAAATATTGGAATTTACCTCTGATTATAAAAGACAGAGGAAAGCCATTGATTGTTGAAAGGCCCAGATGCCTTTACAATCCTTGGCAAATACATACCACACCCGACCCAATGGTAAAAAGTATGTGGGTGGGTGGATGGATGGATGGATGGATGGATGGATGGATGGATGGTTAGATAGATAGATCTCTCCTAACTCTAAAGTTTTTATATTGTTTTCCTATTATACATATGGGCATATATGTTATATAAATACATTGGTGTCAATTTAATGAAGAAAATTAGCTTGGTGATAAGGCAACACTGCACTTTTCTGAAAAGTCTTACCACAGAATTTACACCTCTTAGAAAAAGAATGAGTCTTCAATAAACTTGTTTATCTGAGCAACCATAACATGGTTAAGCTTTTCCGTTCATATGATGTACATCATATAAAATCAACAGGCAAATGGGCATTCTAATATTTTCATTACTGAACATTCTATTTCAGATAATCATAAAACAAACCCAATTCGTGTTACCTAAATGGAAGTGATCTAGATGTGGAAGATCTTTAGACAAATCTGGAAAAAAGAAATACAGGCATTTTTTTCCTTTATAGGAGACCCTTGCGTAAGTGTGACCCGAAGTAATTCCAAACAGACTAGGTTTTTCATTTTACAAAATTTGTGTATTTTTTTTATGTCACATGTCAAGGCCTACATCCCATAGCCATACACATAGATACAGGAATTCTTAAAAATGGGGGAAAAAGGCATGGTAATTCTGTTAATATTACAATAAACAAACTCAAAATTCTTACAGGTACATAAGTTGACAAGCTTTTAACATCCAAGTTTTAAATATCGGCTTTGAGGAACCCAAAACTTTTAGGTTACTGGAGCTACATTATATCCTTAAAAAACTAGGTCTAAATTCACACCAATAGGAGAACATAATTTGAGATGGAATTTCATCCTTTAGTATTTCTATCTACTAAAAAAAAAATCCACTTGTTAACAGATAAGGATTCATTGCACAAGGAATGATGCTCACATTGTCACCCTTACTTAATGGTTCATTTCATCAATTGCACTAATTCTAAATTCAAACAAACAAACAAACAAACAAACATTAAGCTGCCCCCTATCCCACCCCACTGCAAATAAGCAACAGAAATCTAGCCAGAAACTTCAGGAGTCTGTGTGAAAAGAAGCCTCCAGCATACTTTGGAGAAAGAAATGTTTTTATAAGACCATCTGTATTCATCCATGTCATTGCTCAAAGATAGTTTAGGAAAATAAAGAGTTTGGGGAAGCAAATTAAGAATGAATGGTCATCCTAACCAGATATGGAATAACAGTCTGCATACTTAATATATTCAGTTCCGACATTTATTAAAAAGTTTCCATATAGAAAGATTTTTTAATAGATGCAGAAAAACTGGGTTCCCAATTCAGACTACCCTATGTGACTTTTGTCATTATCATCTTTTCTGATTCTTACAAAGTAAACCTAATTAAGAACCTCCCTCATTAGTCTTCCAGAAAAATTAGCACAGCTTATGCTAATTACTCCTGCAAAATTTAATAAACTCGTTGAAATGGGAATAGTCTAATGAGGTTTTATTTATTGAACTAAGATAACTCCAAGGAAAAAGGTTAGGACACAAGGATATCCAATGTGGTAATAAAACTCCTATTTATTCAATTTCTAAACATGAAGTTTATTGCAAACCTTTTAAATTCAAATATTAGTTACTGTGTCAATATGTAAAATCAATCTCCACCTTAATTCAATAACTGGAAGTCATTTTTTGCTTTTTACTTTAACAATAATTACCACACATAGCCCTTTACCTCAAAAATAATGAAATCTGCTGTTATCAGTTCCTGGTTATTTGCTATTAAACATAACACATTTGACTTTTCCCATGTCTATGCAGCTCAAATATCTGGATCACTGAGTGCAGGCTGGGTTATGTGCTTCTTAATCAAGCTATTTGGCACCACACAGAAATGTAACCTGGCATTCAACTCCAGATGTGCACTTCCTGCATTTACAGCAATTTTTCTATAAACTTTTTTGAAGTGACTTGACAAATTGTCATGATTGTAAAAAGAATTGGGGTCATATGTTTCTCAGTCTGTGCATGCCATAAGGATGAAGTATAATAGAAGCCCCTTTTCTAAATCACAGTTTGCAACTGCTGATTTTGTTAATTCTACTTTTTTGATAGAATATGCCAGGCTGATGTCCCAAAGTCAGTGGCAGCAAATAATACAGCCAAAATTTAACACAGAAATAGCTTGCCCTGCACGATTGCACTATGACCAGAAAGTCTCTTCTCTCTACCCTATAAATAGTTTTCCTGAATAAACCACTGCTAAAAGTCTTTTGACTGATAAAAATAGTAGTGTTCTCCCAAATTCCGAAGGACAAGCAAAGAGAGCTAAAAATTATTGGTGCTCAAAAGTTGACTGCGTGTTAAAACTATGCTAAATCCTAACGCAAGGATGGCCTGTACCCTCAGCTCTGTAATTGCATATTGTATGCATCTTTTGAAAACAGTTACTATTGCTACTGAATGCAGGCCTCATAGCCTATTTTCACAAAATATTCAGGGATTTGCATCCATAAATCTGAAAGCAAATCAAACCCTAAGCACGTAACACAGATATTATGCAATCAGTAATATAGAATCAAATTGGAAACTATGAAATTCAAACACGGTTGCCATCATTTTTTCCCCTTTGCAGCAATTTTATGGAATTGAAAAATCTTTTCTATTTTGCCCTTTCTTGCATAAGTTCTTCTCTTGTTGTTATTCTCTTCTCTCGCTGTTAAGAATGGGAGTTTCACATATCAGCACAGACAGGACTGGAGCTTTTAAAACCTTTGGCAGCCTGAAGGACAAATAAATTCTGAAAACTCAGGTGCAAATAAAAATAGCTAAATGGGGTTTTGCATATCAACTGGCATCACTGCATGAAAAGATAGTTCATCAGAAACAATGGCAACAGCCAGCGAATAAACATATGCTGTGGGGCTTGTGCACATACACTGAGTTTCAGCTGTTTTTAAAGTACTCCTATCTGAAGAGACCAAGATTGGCTACACACTGTTTTCTACTTTGTCAAACCAAAAGGGAAAAAAAATGAAAAGGATAAATGTCATGAGTAATATCCCCAAAGCCACCAACAGCATAAAGTGCATACTTATTTTGCCTAAATTGTTTGAACTACCCCAGCCAAGAAAAGGTTTTAAGTACCCTTCTGGGACAGATGCAAAGCGGCAACAATAGAAGCCACACTAATGCAATCCAGGTAACACAATCCTGTTTCAAAAACAGGGGCCGGGCTAATTACAGTGCTGCTGAGTCAAGTTTCTTATGCCATCGCAACCCACAGGAACAGGTCAAAATCAAATGTTATTCAAACCACAGTCATATCAACCTTCTATATCAGAGTCACAGCTTCAAACCAAACGAAGAACTTAAAAGCTTAACCCATTCACAAGCGAAAAAAAAAAAAAAGTCTTTTCATTGAGGGTGGCAAGGTAAGGTTCTTGTCATCATCTAAACCAAAAGGAACTACATGGCAGAACAAAATGCTTATAGTTTCAAAGTTTTGGGGACTATTTGGGCTGGTCCTTTGATCCGTACACTTTCTTTTCAACAGAGGAGGAAGAAAAATGCTTAAAATAACAAATGATATTTTGGAGAGGTAAATTTAAATAAAACAAACCAGCATAAAGGTTAAATTTACTTGTGACCTTATTCATTTGGAGACTTATGTTCAATCACAGAAAAAGCAACTATATGAACAGTATATCTGCTTTTGTAGATAAACATGTTATCCTAATTCTATAGGTAGCACACACATCACCATATGTCAAACTTTCTCATCTTTTAACTTTGAATCAAATATACTAATACTCTTATATGGAGCAAAAATATATATATTTTAGTGAATACTAGTGAGGAATATTTAGTTAAAATATCTGATTGAAATGTAACCTTTATAAAGCTTCTTGGCAATCAATTGGGTTTATGCCTGAAGACTCACATAAGTCAAAATCAACAATCGATCTTTTGGCATAAATTATGTTGAAGCGAAGTAAACATCTTGTTTTTTGTTGTTGTCATTGTTAACTGAAAAATGATAAAACAAGCCCAAAAAAGGTAGAAAGAAAGATGGGTTTTTTTTTCTTTTGTTGTTGTTGTCAAAAATCAATATTGCTGAAACCCAAAAAGGGACTTGTGTTCAACCATTGGTTTCCTCAATGAGGGATCGGTCAGTCTTATTGGCAAGACTCTTTTTCCAGCTAGTACAAGATGCTAGCTCTTTTCCTAGCTGACAATTGACAGTATCTATAAACCTTCCAGGCCATTTAACTCTCAATGAGTAATGCTATGTAACAAATGGTTTATCATACATGTTTCCATACAATGAATTTCAATAATTAAAATGTAAAATGAATATTTGGAATGCGACTTTGCATAATGCGTGCACACTGACTCAAAATTACACCGAACAACTAAAACAGATTTATTGTTCTACGGTGATTTACTTGGTCATGTCAGATTAGTAATATGGATCTGTTTAAAAACACAAAAATTAAGACAAGCAGGATAAATTAATCAACTTACAATATGGTCTCATACTGCAATCAAATCCGGCAAATAACAGTAGAAAATCTTGGTTCACAGATCTCTTTAAACTGCTTTTATGCATAAATAAAACCTTAAAGTGTAGATGGATTACGTCCAACAGAACTACTGTAGCTAAAAGTGATAATGATTCAAACATTTTTCAAATAAAAGTTAAATATTTATAAGCACCCAACCACATTTCATAAATCACAAACTATTATTATTTTATTTCTGAAGCTTCCTGGCACAGCATGAGGATTGAGCCACAGAAAGTCAGGAAAGAAAAAATATATTCCTTTAGGAGCATGAATCAGACAAAAACCGGAGCAATCCAAGGAACAGGCCTCTAAAAGAACATTCCATATGGCTTTCCCAGGAATCAAAATCGCTCAGCACAGCGTAAGTCATGACCAACAGGCAAATTTCAGCCACATGCATTCCTAACCCTCGCCCATGAGCAACACAAGGGCAGGTGTTTCATTATAATGAGGAATAAGAATCCAGTGAAAGAAGAGTGGTCCCTACCTGTCAATTATCACTGGATCTGAGGGAGTCTCATTTCGGTTGCCACAGCTTTTCTTGTCACAACAGCGGCTATGGAGCAAAAGCGAAAGGATTTAGTACAACCATTACAATGTAAAATCATCATTTAGGCAGACAGAAGGCTCAAATTGCTGGGTTGCAAATGCTAGAATTACCACAAAGCCATACCTGGCAATCAACGGATCCCTGGGACAGATAATTCTATTTGGGTCACCTATGGGTTAATGGCCAGGCTTAACCTCTCCCTGCTCAAAGAAGGAGGTGGGGGAGAGGGGCTCTCCCAGAGCCAAGACTCAGAACCCCAAGATGGGGTCTCCCCATGACTGCCCGCGGTGCTGGCAGAGTTCACTGTGAAGTGCACTGTTATTGCATCTACCCAATGAGAATATTCAAGGTTGTGGGTGGCTCAAACGTTCTTCCCTCAAGATCACACTAATTGTGTGGAACGCATCAATAATGAGGTATGAGTGATTTCTCCCCCTCCAGTCATTTTGTATTAAATGGATTCCTTTTTCTTCTCTTTTCTCCTTTATGGGTAGCATTTCCTTCAACCACAGCCTTTCCAAAAATCCTACAGCTAGGTTTGCTTTTGAACCATTTTCATGAGAATAAAGGTAAAACACAATAATTAAGACAAGGAAGGGGCAAGATAAAAGAAAGTGGAGATTCACATTCCTCTGGCTATAAAAGCCTGTTCTGACCCTCACTTAAGTTTTCTGGGGGCATTATGGACATTGGAAGTAAAGGTTAGCACAGCTCTGTGAGAGGACGCTCTTTATGTTAGAGAAGGAAGAGCCTATGGGCTCGAAAAGTACCTATTACTAAAATCTCCCCTGCCAGTTGTGGCTGCCAGTTTTTTAAAAACTGAGATGCCTTCTAAAGGGTGAACATTTTATGTTTTTGAAAAGTACAATGGTCAACAGAAAACGATCCATCTGAAACTTGTTTGCAAATAAAAACAAGATCTGCACCAGGGGCATACTTATAAAAGCAGTGAAGTAGATGGGGAGGGAGGTCCTCCAAAACTTACATTTCACCAAGCACCACAAGCAAATATGCACTTCTTGCTCTTACACACACACGTGTACACAGAGAGAGATACACACATACGCGCACACTTACAACTTAGTGAATCATACAGCCTAAATTTAGAGGGCTGCTGGAGAGAACCAAATATTGAACTTCATCTTCAGGACCCAGAAATATACTCCTGCGTAGGGAGTCCTTCACCAAAATTGGAAAGTCTCTTTTCTTGCCATAACTATGCCTCTGAGAAGAGAATTAGTCTCCACTCTTAAGTGTCTTCTGTTTTTCTTTCATGTCTTCGGAGAGTAAGAGTAAGAACTGTATCTCCTTTGTCAAAGCCTCGGCTAAAACCACTCTGTCTACCTTATAGCCTTTCACCTTCTGATTCAGAGGGAACTATTTCCTCCAGGCCTGAGTTCTGCTATATACTGCTACTTTTGGGATGGAAAAACCAAAGTATCATGATATCTAAGAGACAGATAAAGTAACAAGTAGTTGAAGCAGTGGAAAGTACAAGCAGTTGAAATGCATGCCAGAAAATACATAAAAATATAACTCCTTCATCCCTGAACTCTGATCCCCTATACCTACATTTCATGGGCTTCTCAGAATAGTATAGTGGTTAAGAACACTGGTTCTGAAATCTGACAGAGCTGCCTATCTCAACTTGAGCAAGGTAATCCACCTCACAGGATCTCAGTTTCCTCATCTGTAAAATGGAGCAATTGCAGTATCTACCTCTAAATGCCAGGGAACAGGCTTGAGGCAATAAGGGTATAAAGACTTGGCTTCATGACTAGCCTCACTAAAGCCACAATGAAGCATCATTATCACCCCCTGCACCTACCCTCTTCAGTCCCTTCCTCCTTCAAGTCCAGGCAAATCTGCCCTGTGCTCTGCAGAAGCAGCAGGTCTCCAAAAGCAGCCCATCGACAGAGCCCACGTCTCCTTTACCCATGGAGGAAAACTGCCGGTTGAGAAAACCTATTTCTCCTTCATTTTCCTTTTCAAAACAGCAAGTAGGCAATGCAAGCTGCCCACAGACCTGCCTGGGAGAAATGTCCTCCAGGAACTCCTCCAACCTGCTTGCTGATAACCATGCACAAGGGTCTGTTTTTAAAGCCTATCTGATTTTCTCCTCCCCCACTACACCATCTCCATCCAAGTCCTTGGACTCTGCAGTGGCTGCCTACTTTTCTGTCTCCACTCTGACCCCCTGCAATAGCCAGAGTGAGCTTTTCCAAATGTCAGTGGTACTGTGCCATCTCACTGCCCAAGACTTTTTAATGGCTTCCCACTGCACTTAGAACAAATCCATGACATGACATGATACCAGACCACCTCCCAACCTTCTGCCCCCTTCCTCCAACTTGCCAAGCTCCTACCGCACTGGCCCATTTCAATCCCTCTCAGTTGTGCCCTGTTCAATCTGACCTCAGGCCCAGACCCTGGCCGACTCTTGCCTGGCGGGCCTCTCCTCCAACCCTTCCCTAGTTAGCCAATCTTTTCTCACCCTCAGAGCTCAGCCTATAGCTCCTTCCCCAGAGAGGTTTGGCCTGACACCCCACCTTTAATCTAAATTAGGTTTTTCCTGTTTTTTTTTTTCCTTTTAAGGCACTTAACTCAATGCAAATTATATTTTTACATATATGTGTGTGTATTTTTTGTTACTGTCTTTCTCCCTCTTCTTATTCTTCTCTTCCTTTAACTCATAGACTTCGTAGAGGAAGAAACTATCAATTTTACTTACCTAATGAGTGGCATAAGGCCTGGGGTAGAATAGAAAAGCTCAAATATTAATTGATTGAATAAATGAATAATTTTATGAATGAATGTTATGTATTGGGGGGCAAATACAATCCGGAAGAATAAAAGGGTGACAGATAAATCCAAGGCATTGTTGATGGAAGGAAGGTGCACCTCATCCCAACCCGTAGAACAAACCACCTCCCCCAAGCATGCCACACCAGGCCTGAGATTTTTCCTTTTCACTTAAGCACGGTCGTCATCTAAAAATAAAAATGTCCCTGAGAGCAGCCAGATGAATTGAAGCATTCCTTTCTAAGGGACCCAGGGAAATAGGCAGATGCAAAGAGCAGAAGTGTAGAAGGAAATATAGAAATGAAATGGGGAGAATGAAGAAAAGTAGAGAAAAAAGAATAAAGGGCTGGAGTTCACTCACCACTTACAAAAAAAACTTTAGGCCAAGTATGAAAAATAAGCCCAACATGTCTCCTGTTTCTTGGGTCATATCACTGCATCACATAGTCATTATTCCTGAAATGAGCTACTCCGGCTTCTGTTCTGCACCTCAAAATAATGTCTGCTACAAAATAATGTCTACAGTATGATTCTGTTAAATATATATATACACACACACATACATATGTGTGTACATACATACATATGAGTGTACATATATGGATGTGTGTGTACACATACATGTGTATATGGAATTCTGTGCAGCATTAAAAAGAATGAAGGTAGAGTTAGAAGCACTGGAATGGAAAGAAATGTACAGCATATTGTGACTTGAGAAAACCAAGTTGCAGAATACTATTCAAAGTATGGCCCCATTTCTGGGAGAAAAATGAAAGCATGAAAGAGTGAAAGGGAGAGAGGGAGGGGAAGAGACAGTTTTTACAAGTATGGTTCACTCCCTCACTTCATTCAAGTCTCTGCATAATGTCAACGGCTTTAGAAATGCCTTCCCCTCTGGGCATGGTGGATTACACCTATAATCCCAGCACTTTGGGAGGCCAAGGTGGGTAGATCACCTGAGGTCAGGAGTTCGGGACTAGCCTGGCCAACACGGTGAAACCCCATCTCTAATAAAAATTTTTAAAAAAATTATCTGGGTGTGGTGGTGGGTGCCTGTGATCCCAGCTACTCAGGAGGCTGAGGCAGGAGAATCGGTTGAACCCGGGAAACGGAGGTTACAGTGACCTGATATCGTGCCATTCCAGCCTGGGTGACAAGAGCAAAACTCCGTCTCAAAAAGAAAAAAGAAAGAAATGACTGCCCTAGAGCACTCTAGCTCCTTATTCTGCTTAACTTTTCTTCATAGTACTCACCATGTTGTATTTTATATTCATTTGTCTTTTATTGTCTCTCTCACCTGAATATAAGCCCCACAAAGACAGTCATAGACCCCAGCAACTAGAACTGAGCCTGGCACACAGTATGCCATCAGGAAATATTTTTTAAATGTAGGAACTTCAAAGAGTTAACCTATAGAGAGTGGAACAGGCAGTGGGGAAGAATGGAAGACGTGCATTTTATTTTTATATTTTTGCAGTGGTTTGCTTTTTTTTTTTTTTTTTTTTTTGCACTCCCAGGCTGGAGTGCAGTGGTGTGATCTCAGCTCAGCTCACAGCTGCCTCGACCTCCTGGGGCTCAAGCGATCCTCCCACCTCAGGCCCTTAAGTAGTTGGGACTACAGGCAGATGCCAACACGCCCGGCTAATTTTGTGTATTTTTTGTGGAGACTGAGTCTCACCATGTTGCCCAGGCTGGTCTCAAATTCCCTGGCTCAAGCAATCCACCCAGCTCGACCTCCCAAAGTGCTGGGATTACAGGTGCAAGCCACCACGCCCAGGCTAGTGTTCTGCTTTATATGGCAATATGCTTTTACATTAAAAATTAAAAATCAACCACAAGCAGTGGAAGGAAAGACTTCTTGTAGACTGAGCTGATATCAAGCCCCCTGTGGCTTCCTAGAGCCGAGCAGAGTGAGGACCTCTCCTTTGTTGCCACAATGCTCTTTCCTGCCCATGTGAGTTCTCCCTTTTCAGGTAGAACTGCCCATAGTTCTTTCTGCTAAGCTCAGAAGGACCAAGAGTGAGCACCAACCTCCACTATACACAGGAGGAAACCAGGAAGGAAAAGCTGAAAGGAGAATGAATTCACTTATGTTTAAGGCAGAAGAGGGCTCATACTGAAACAATTCCGTAGATGAAACAGATGCAAAAGCACTTAACGGAAAAAGTGACAGTGTTAATAAAAGAAATCACAATGATAATTAGGTCCTCATTACTGTGTGACTGATGGACCTTCATCCGTTCAAAGCACTATTTTTTAGGCTCCTACGATGTGTGTTGGGCACTGTACCAGGCACAGACTTGGGATTTGCTCTCTCATGCTGGCATCTTGCAAGGCTTGGAGTTTCCTAATTTGCTTTGCTGCCAGGGTAAGATTTTAAAAGCAGGCCACTGTTTACATCCCTTCCGAACCTGCAACCCCAGTGACATGAGAACAATGTGGCCAGTCTCAGGCGTTGGTAGCCAGCACCTGGTGTGGTACCTACACTACGGACCGAAATCAGCAGCCCTTTCCTCAGCAGGATTGTGTGTCTCCCAAACAATTCTGCACATCCAGAGAAAAGCGAACTTATGAGTCTCTTTCTTACCAGCCTAACACAGGTGGCGTATTTCTAGAGCTTCATAAACTAGAGCAAGAAACACCTAAATATTCCCAGTCATGGAATCGGCAGATCCTCATCTTAGGGACATGGAACTTTTTCCTATGAATAGTGTCTTTCTCAACAGGAGGAAAGCATCATTTCAAACTTGTAAAAAACAAGATGCCTTACCTATTTCCCTAAAGTGGCTAGAGACTGAGATCTATGATTTATCTGAATAGTCTTATTAATAGTTATAAAGATGACTTGATTTTAAAGAATCCATTACATAATAGGCTCTTCTATCCTCTCTCTTCCTCCCATGTCTTAAAGTAAGTGATCCATCCTCGTCACACTAACTCAAGTACCTGAGCTCACAGGTCCGTCTCATTCTGCCTTACCTGGGACCAGCCCCACCAAGGACTCCTCTTCTGTTTTGCATTTGCCATTCTTCCCTCCCTGGTTAATTCTTTCCTTCAGTTTGCAAACATTATCAAGTTTTCCCATTGTCTAAAATTTTAAAAGGATGCTCCTTCTTTTCTCTGAGTTAGTTTCTTCACTGCCGACATCCTTCTTATAAGAGTCCCTGTCACTACTTGCCATTTCAACCACATAATACGGGCATCCAGGCCCTCAGCATGTACTTGAATCTCCTCTTAAAGTTTACCAGTGACTGTCTGGTGCTTTCTCAGCCTTCATGTCCATCTGGATCTCTCTAGCACTTATTATATGACTCCCCCTCTTTGAAACACCCTCCTTTTATCTTTTTTTTTTTTTTTTTTTTTTGAGATGGTGTGGAGTCTCGCTCTGTCACCCAGGCTGGAGTGCAGTGGCGCAATCTCTGCTCACTGCAACCTCCACCTCCTGGGTTCAAGTGATTCTCGTGCCTCAGCCTCCCGAGTAGCTTGGACCACAGGTTCACACACCACCACACCCAGCTGATTTTTGTATTTTTTGGTAGAGATGGGGTTTCACCATGTTGGCCAGACTGGTCTTGAACTCTTGGCCTCAAGTGATCTGCCCACCTCGGCCTCCCATAATGCTGGGATTACAGACATGAGCCACCGTACCTGACCTCCTCCTTTTATTTCTATGCTCTGTATGCTCAAGCTTCTTTTTCTGAACTCTCTAACACACCCTGCCTTCTTGCTAAGCGTGATTATTCCCCCCAAGAATATAGCCATGCCTTCTCTTTCTATTCTCCCTCCCTTGTCAATCCCATCTAAGCCCATAGCTTCAACTCTCACCCTTGGGAAACGACCTCTGAAGTCAGTTATCTTTGACCATAACTTTATTTCCAGATCCAGAACTCAGGACCATCCACCTGCAGGACTCTCCACAGAGAAATTTTGGCTGGACTGAAACAGACGTGCCCAAACACTTCATGCACCCTCTAAAATCCCCCTCCCTATTCCTGCTACCCAACTACAAGTATTTCCTCCCTTCTCTGAATAGACATAGCCCTTTGCCTCAACCTCTCATCACATTCAACCCTTTCTAGAGTGCAGTCTCGTTATCTGCCAACCAATATCATCTCCCAGGCCACACCATAAGCTCCCCTACTACAGAACAAAGTCTTCCCTGGCTCTCCGTTTTTGAGTGTTTTGCACATAGTAGGTGCTAAAAGAATAAATGAAAACATCCTTAACTCCCACAACTAGAATGAACAAAGTGCATGAATGTTTTGGTAGACATTTCACTTTGATTCAAAGTTCTTTTATCCTCATTCACACCAAACAACTGCGCACCAAGTACTTAGCCCCACACTGCAAATATTGCTGTTACTGCTTCTATTAATACAAATACTCTTACTATTAATAATAACAGTAGATATTCAGTACTTACTGTGTGTAAAGGCACTGTGATAAGCATTTGTGGTGATTATTGCATTTAATCTTAATCACCAACTTCTGAGATAAGTAATATTATCCTCTATTTCAGAAATACGAAAACTGAAGACAGAGGAACACCCAGTAACTTCCTTGCCTTCAAAAAGCAATCAGTCCAGCAAAGGAAGACAGATTGTGGGCAAAAAGTTACAAATGTGCTGAGTGCTATGAAAGAAAAGCACAGCAGACAGTAGTCCCCCTTATCCATGGTTTTGCTTTCCATGGTTTCAGTTACCTGTGGTCCAGTACATTTTTTTGTTGTTGTTGTTTTGAGATGGGGTCTCGTTCTGCCACCCAAGCTGGAGTGCAGTGGTGCAATCAGGGCTCACTGCAGCCTGGATCTCCTGGGCTCAAGCGATCCTCCCACCTCAGCCCCCTGAGTAGCTGGGAATACAGGCATGCACCATGCCTGGCTAATTTTTCTTTCAGTTTTTATAGAGATGGGGGGTCTCACTATGTTGCCCAGGGCAGTCTTGAACTCCTGGGCTCAAACAATCCTCCCACCCTGGCCTCCCAAAGGGCTGGTATTCTGTACAATATTTGGAGAGAGAGATCACATCCACATAGCTTTTAATACAGTTTGTTTTCATGGTTGTTCTATTTTATTACTAATTGTTGTTCATCTCTTATTATGTCTAATTTATAAATTAAACATTATCATAGGCATGCATGTATAGGAAAAATATAGCGTATGTAAGGTTCAGGACTATCTGCAGTTTCAGGCATCCACTGTGGGTCACGCAACACATCCTTCATGGATAAAAGAGGACCACTGTTTACAGGACAACGTAACAATAGGACTTGACTCAGGCTGAGAGCCAGGGATGCTTCCCTGAAGAAGCCATGCTTAAGTGGGAATCTGAAGGATGGAATCAGAATAAGCCAGTAACAGAGAAAGGAAGAAAAGGGAACTCAAGGGAGCCCTGAGAACTCATGGTCCTATAAGAAACCATACACTGATGAGGGAAAGAGGTCTTTCTTAAACAGAGCTCTGGGAACTAGGTTCACTGACCAAGCATAGTTCTTATTTTCCATCCACATTTAAACACAGGATGTCAGGATGCCCTTTAATCAAATCTCTTCTAGAATCGTGCTTTAGAAAATCATGTGTGGGGCCGTATTATTTTAAGAGCGTAGCCAACAGGTATAGCAAAATGTAATGATGATTGATATGATAGATTCCAATTTACCAAACAGGCAGAGACTCTCTCAGAATTTCACAGAAAGAGCTCCATGTCCAGTCAAAGAGGCTTTGTCTCTGAGTGGTAATAATAATTATAATATGATCCAATGGTGGCCAGTCCCTTATCCAGCCCAGGCAGTGGGGTCACCTTTCAGACAGAACACAATGGATTTTAAAAATTTGCAACCACCTGAGACACAATTCTCTGGTGTTTCTCATTTTTTCTTTTTTTTTCCCCCTTTGCCTGCAACAAAACAGAATCATACCAAGCCTTGTCTTGTCGATCTAAATTCTCTGTGTCTCCTTCACCATAGCCAACATACTATAAATATACAGCTTTCATGACATCAACACAAAGTTTTATTGTGCCGTTAGCTTTGATAGAAAGCACTGCAGAAAGTTGTTTAGAAATTAAATATCTGAAACAAGCTATTTTAAAATCCAGGGCCCTCACTATTTCATGTCTGCAATGAAGAAATTTCATCTTGGGGAGAGCAAGCTGTCTTTCACACCATATGGCTAATGGTGGTGCATAGCAATTAGCCAGCCTGATTAATGGGGAACAGACTCTAATTTTATGCTTATAATTGAGCCTGCATTTGCACCCCTGGTGCAAATTCAGCACATCCCAACTTCCACTTAAAACAGGCAAGAAATCAAGAGAAATAGGATGGTGTGGAAAGTGAGAATTTTTTTCCTAAAGCCCCCTAAAGAGCATCAGATTTGCAATTTAAAAGACTGTTAGCCACACAATAGATGACAGGTTTGTGTAATAGGGTCATGGCAGCCTGGTAAACAAACAGTACCCCTTATACATCTATAGGCAGCCAGGAAAACCCGTAATCTGTAACATTAGCAGGATGACATTTTGAATACGGCTTTTCCCTCTTAGCCACGCAGTACAAACATCATCATTTGCCTTCAGTGGCTTCAGAATTTTATTTTTGCTATTTTTATGTTTCTGAAAAATAGAAAGAACATCAGCAGTAAAGCACACCAACCAGCATAATAAAGTACTTTGGACCAGTGAATTTTAAAAACAAGAAAAATATAAACTGCATTAATAGAGGGTAGGCCTGTGTGTGAAAGGCATAATATATCTTTAAATGTTTCAAGAATAGAATGATTTCTAGCATAGTCTAAACATGTGCAGATATGAGATGCAAATCTATGATATATAGATGTTATTTGGCCTATTGGTTGAGATCCATCTTCCTGTCTGTTTCCTATTTTGCTAGAATCACATGTAGTACAACATGGAAAATTCATTCTAATGACATGCTAATTGTAAGAAGCCAGAACAGAGATATGGTCAAAAAGATAGTAAGAAGAAAGAGGTCATGTTTTAACATTTTCTAAAATGAATTTTACTCACAATTCTGAAAGGTGCAACTCAGCTTTATTGTAGAATTGTTATGTACAATATAACATTAATTTTTGCCTAATAATATCTTATAAAGAAATCTATTGCCATATTTTGGGGGTTCTGCTACTGTTTTAAAATTAGAGAAAAACAACCTATTTTCATAATAGTTAACAAGTTTTACAAATCACTGAAATGAAAACTTGTGAAACTCCTATATATTTTAGAATAATATGTTAGAAATATTTTTAAAAGGGAAAAAATGAAAATTGTATATCCATACGTAACTGTAGACATACAAGAAGTTGGTATTTGGGATTTCACTCAGAAAGCACATTAAGCCCTTTTTCTTTCCACCTGTAGAGTTTTAAGGTTGCTTTCCCCCACAAGTCCACAAGCAGCAAATAAAGCCCATCCATGCTGAGGCAGCAGCTGAAGCCCTAAACGGATTGGTCAGTAATAGTCAGCAGCCAGGCCAGCATTGTGCCAGGAAGAGCCTGCATGGTTAACAAAGCAATTAGTAGCCTTTCTCTGATGCACAGTGGCATCTTCATGCTTTATCCAATTATTCAGAATATATTGGGAGCAAACTGCTGGTGTTACTTTATGCAGAATAAGAATGCAAGTTAAAGGGCTGTTCCCTGGCCTACTCCCTCACATGTGGAAAGCCTGGCTGAGGCCATGGAAGTTAATTTGGTCTACTTGCCTGTTTTCAAATGTAGCTTCAGTCTGATTACAGGCAAAAATAAAGACACTCATCTATGGGTCACATGAATTTTATGCCTTTTAGGGACTCATCTTTGCCTTCCTTCCAAAAGCTCACTACCTCTGCGAAGTATTGGCTACATTGTCAGAGTTATATATAGGGTAAATAAGAGGTGAGATGCAAGAGGAAGAAAAAAAAAACCCACATGCAATTTAAGAAGAAATGATGCCTAAGTGTGGACGTCATATTTTCAAGTGGGAGAATTAGAAAGGGGAACTATAACTTTCAAGTCTTACCCAAACAGAAGACTCTGCTGACATCAATAGAACTCTTACTCATTTTACTAGCAATGCAGTTGAGCGCATATATTAACACTAAAAGGGTTATATTGTTTTATTTGATTTTAAGAGAGTAGGGGAAGGCAGTGCTTTGTGCCCATTAACAGTGTGATATCAAAATGGAAATGTATGTCTTTCGGGATGAAATCTAATAAATAATTAAGAACTACTGTGATGCCTGACACTTTACTACCAAATACTCACATCTAACAGTTCTTTTTAGATTGTCTATAGAAGCAAGACAAATGTGTACCAAAAAAAAAAAAAAAGACCAAAGTTCACCAAGATTTGAAATGCAAATTCATCTTCTCTTTGCTAATTAACGGGAGAGACCAAGATATTTCTTACCTGCACATGATCTCATGTGTGAGCAAGACTCGGCACATTTCTGGGTTCTTGTCTTGGCCTTCATACACTATGGCCTAAAAGCAAAAGCACAGTTTTAGCTAAGAATGGAAAGGAGTAGCAGAAAAAAAAAAAAAATCACAATTGAGTTCTTAACCACTTCACCACTACTGAAGGCCAAATTAGCTTTGAGGAGCCAAAGACATCACTGGGTTGATCGTCTGAAGGTATGATATTCGGGATTAACCTGAAAGGCATGTTCCTCTCTGCCCCTTCAACCACCTTGCCATGATGCACATCTCTGGATCAGAGTATGAGATGGGCAAGACAGCCACAATTCTCCTTTTAATATAGAATACAAATAAATCTCATCAATAAGGAGGGAAACCCCAGAAGGCTTAGCAGATTGAGATACTATTTAGCGAAAATACAGAAAAGCATTTGGATTTGATTTTTAAATGATATGTATTTGCCTCCTCACTTTACTACTTCCAGGCTCAACATTTAGTCTTCCAGGGATGGGTAGTAGAAAACAAGTGTAGGTGAACTAAGGAGTCCATTCACTAACTGTGTCATGTTTGCAATGATTTATCAATCAGGGAAAATCCCTCTTCCCATCAACAGGCTGAGAACATGTGCTCTCACAGGGTGCACACCCACCCAAACAGGAATACTCGCTGGCATATGCTCTGTGTGTGGATTTAAGCCATAAAGTTATCTCCCTAAACTAAGAAGAGTTACAACTGACTCTCAAAATCTGGAGTCCCAAATCACCTCACCAGCCCAAATAGTTTTTTCTATTTTTTGTAATGTGTTTGTAAAACGAACATTTTACTCAAGGACACCAAGAAGATTCCCTGGGACCTCAGCTTTCATGGATCTACATGTTAATACCTGGACCAAAGCAATGCACACAGCTATTAGCAGAGCAGGGCTCTGCAGTGGGCTACATTTAGCTAATTTAACACTGTATCACGGCATAATACTAATATCACACGGCTTCAAATTGTTAACAAAATTACTTTCACACATTCCTATAGCCCTCAATTTCTTGATGACAAAACTACTTAAATTAGCCAGAGACTATCTTTATATAGTACATATATCTTAATATAGTATATATATCTTTATATAGTACATACAGATGCTACAAGACTAACTTGTAGTTGACTCTAACGTGCTTTGTTTTTGAACCTGGGACTTTCAGAACCTGTAAATGATGAATATAACTTGCGACCCAGTGTGTATAGATCCTCAGAGAGAACTGTGGTTATGGTATCTGATCCCGTTACAAAATGAACATTGCAGTAAAATAAAAAATGAGAAAATGTACTTGCATGAGGAAAAAATACTTCTCCACCATTGGCCCATCGAAACCACTTTTTATGGCTAACCTATAATACCTTGTATTTTAAAAATTTTTTTACTTTGACATACATGTACACCTACAAAAAGCTTTCAAGAATATGTAAAAAATTCCAAGATACTCTTCATCCAGATTTTACCAGATGACTAAAATGTTTATATTTTATTAAATTTGCTTTATTCTTTTCTCTGTAGTTTTTTCTGAATCATTTATTAAGTAAATTGCAGACATGCCCTAAATACTTCAGCCTGTATGTCTTCAAAATAAGGAATTCTCTTACATAACCACAGTACAGTTATCTAAATCAGAAAATTAACATTGATACAATAATTTAATCTACAGACCCTACTGAGATTCACCAGTTACCCAATAATGTCCTTTACAGCAAAAGAAAATCCAATGCTGCATCCAGTTATCACGTCTCCTTTAATATGGAACATTTCTGAGTCTTTATATTTCATGACATTGATATTTTTGAAGAACACAAGCCAGTTATTTTGTAGAACATCTCTCAATTTGGGTTTGCCTGCGTTTCCTCAGGCTTGGATTAAAGTTACATACTTCAGGGCAGGGATAACACAGAGGTGATTTTGAGTTCTTCTCAGTGTATCAAATCATGTTGTTGACTAGTTCCACTATTGGCAACATAAATTCTGACCATTTGGTTAAGGTAGTGCTTGCTATCAGAGATCATGAGCCAGGTTTCCCCAGGGTAAAGTTATTACTTTACCCTATGCAATTCATAACTATCTTCTGTAGACGTAATCCAGATTGTGTTAATATCTTACTATGTGTCAAATTTTCATCCACTAGTTTCAGCAAGCATTGATTATTCTTTGCTGTATTCTTAAAAGACCTTTTCAAAATCCTAAGCAGTTGCATTACTCAAGAAAATGCATTAACTAAAAATGTTTTGAAAACCAAAAATTACATCTGCCTGCTTTATTTCCTGCAATCACTCCTGAAAACATTTTAAAAAACACAGTAAATTACTTATTAGATCTCATACATGATGCTAAAAAACTCTAATGAAGCATTTCTTCTAAATCCTATTAGTACTACATGGTTTGTATGTTCTCTAAATACTCGTAATAATCTCTGTTTCAGCTTTAATATTTGTGATGTTTTGGTTCCACCACTCTTTAAAAAATAATATATTTGTCATGCTAAGCTAAAAGAAGTAAGCTGGTAAATAAATTCACAGATACTGATGGGGCTTTCCCTAATATATATATATATACACACACACATATATATATATACACATATATATATACACACACACATATATATACACATATATATATACACACACATATATATATACACATATATATATACACACATATATATACACATATATATACATATATATACACACACATATATACATATATACACACATATATATACATATATATATACACACACACACATATATACACACACACATATATATAGAAAAGCTTGGTTTTTGGAGGCAGGGGGAATTATCAGTTACATCAGATCTTTTTATTTCAATTCTTTCTAGATGACGCAAATATTAGTTTCACTAAGACTGCTGGTTCCATTGAAATTAGTGGGCCCATGATGATATTCAATGGATGCAATGCTGCAATACAAATACATTCATGGTTTTCCCAAACAGCAGATGATACAGACTTCCAGAAATCCTGTGTCACTTCTTTGGTGACTGAATATCACTTGTTTAAGGCCCTTTGCCTCCATGATACATCTCTTCACCAAATACCACACTGCCACTATGCTTCCAGCAGCAGAGTCAAAACAGAATCTTTCTCCAAATCAAGCACAGAAAAATGAAACCATCAGTTTGGATTTGCTCAGAAATAGTTAGGAACTCTAGGGAGGAGTGCAAGCATGAAGTTTCTTCTCTCCCTCTCCTTGGGGCCTCTATAGAACAATATTTTTCAGCACATAAAGGCAGAGAAAGAAGTGCTGCCTCCATGACTTCTGAAATAAAAGCAAGTGAAACTCCACCATGGAGTAGGACTAAAATCCTGTAACTAAAGTAAACTAAAAACTCAGTGTAATGAGGTTAGCTCTAGAGTGGAATTCAGTCAAAGACAGATCCACCTCTAACCTCATCAAAGCAGTTTTTGTTACTGAAAAGTATTGTTAAACACACATACACACATGTACCCCTATCATACAGAAGGTATGGGCACGGAAATCAACATCCTGATTGGATCCAGCATAGGAATATATAATAAATTCATTTTGATGAATGTCTCTGATGCAGAGTGGCAACAATAAGAATTTTCAAAATGCCCTAAAGTTCTCCCTGCAGCTTGCACACCCAACTGATAGCCCTACATCAATTTTACCATCTACATTTAGCATACACATCAACACTGGTCCACAGTTCAGCAAACCCAGACTTTAAGCCCCAAAGGACAGGGATCCTGCTAACACCAACTTCGGGAGAAGTTTCTGCGTTTCTTCCTAATTTAAATATGTGCCTCTGTGGTGTATGAGTAAAGCTGGTTGGGGTTGGATCAGCTGGGAGATCACAGAAGCATATAAACAGCATTGGCTATTTTAAGTGAAACCATTTTAATAGACAGCTGGTTTAGGGCCCAGACAATGAAACACCAAGAAGAAGGCTTATTTTCATCCTCCATAGTAAATCATGAGTCTGCTCACTATGAGGAAGGTTGTCTGTTGTGAGAGGGACAAAGACAACACTGGTTTAAATAAATCAATGTGTTTATCTGAAGTGAAGATGGGATGCCTGCTATATAGATGGGTGGGAGGGGGAGAAAAATCATATAAAATATATTATTTAAGTAAATCAATTGATAGTGAATCAAGTTGAGGTTTGTAACCTAAGAATCAAAAATGCAATATCAAGTAGAAAACAATGTTTAAATTAATCCTGCCAATGGCAAATAAATCCCTTAAGGTGACAGGAATGCTTGTATAAGAGGAAGAGTTAAATAGTAAACAACATTAACCTCATCTCAACTTTAAAAACCTGGTGAAATTGACAAACAAGCTGTCAAAAGTGGATATATTTGGAACAGATTTATTTTTGTGATATACTAGCCTACCTTTTCTGCTGTCATACTCTAATGAGTAGAAAGAAAATATCTCATATTATTTTTTGATACTCTCTTCACTTCAGATTAAGGGGCTTTTAAAGGATATTTAAAATAATTAACTAAAAGAAGAAGAAAACATCGAAATTGTTAAACTTGCATATTCTTATGCAAAAACATCTCTGGAAATTTCACTGTTATGAATAAAATATCATCAATTCTAAACGCTCAATTATAAAGTAACCTGTAATATCTTTGAAAATCAACCAATCAATCAATATACAAAAACCTGCCTGAGTTGCCACTGTTTTGAAAGACATACTGTGAAGCGTAGTTCATTCTAGCTTTTCTTAAATACTGCTAGGTCTTAAAAGTTAATTGAAACTTACTATGGGTAAAGACCACACAGTAAAATGAAAAAATACACAGTGAATGTACACCGGGATCACACTTCAATAGGATGCCAAAGGAAATACAGAGAATTGAACATGGTTTTTCTGTGTTTACTTTTCTAATAGTTTTAACTCTTTGTGTTCCACGACAAAATAAAGGCGGTGAAGAGAATACTTTTGACTTTGGTTCAGCAAAATCCAAAGGATTTTTAGAAACAAAATATTTTCATTAGGAACCTTTCTTGATTTATAAGCAAACAAAAGGAAACTTATCATCATTAGTTGAAGAAGAGGAAGAGGAAAAAGAAAAAAGAAAAGAAGAAAGAAAGAAAGAAGGAAAGAAAGAAAGAAGAAAAGAAAAGAAAAAGGAAGAAAGGAAAGGAAGGAAAAGAAATTAAGAAAAAGAGAGGAAGGTAGGAAGAAAGGATTGGAGGGAGGGAAAAGAAAGGTTATCAGTAACTAACAAAGACTTCTAATTTTCTATTTAAATCAAAACTGTACCTTGAAAA
Organism: Homo sapiens; assembly: GCF_000001405.40. Taxonomy (NCBI): domain Eukaryota; kingdom Metazoa; phylum Chordata; class Mammalia; order Primates; family Hominidae; genus Homo; species Homo sapiens. The sequence goes on from NC_000005.10 coordinate 159,089,989, forward strand.
TATGTTACTCCTTTTTCCCCTTACAAAATAAAAAGCCAAACCTACTTTGTCACCTAAGAGAATAAGTTCATGAATGCACAAAGTACCTGCTGTAACCAAAAGTGAAATGTCTTCTGAATGCAAACTGTCAACAAGCCTTTGGCAGCAAATTACCAAGAATTGAGCTAATCAAAAAATGATATGCACACCTACAATATCAACACACTATAATAATAATCATTACATTCAACCACCAATTTCTACTGTTTGTCATTAAAAAAAAAAGAAAGAAAAAAAAAAAGGTGCTAGCTAATCTGGTCTTAGAAATTTCCAGTAGGTGAAGGCACACTAGTTAAAAATTAAACCATGCCAAAGGAAACACTACAAATCTGACATTTCATAAACAACGTGTCAAACAGCAATCCAACATTAGTAGTGGAATAAAATAAAAAAATAATTTTGCTTCAATTAGCAGCTTGGCTACTGGTGAACAAATTACAAAGATGTAATTTCAGCTCAGCAGCTAAGCAGGCCCGTTTTCAGAAGTGAATTAGGAAAGTTGCGAAGGAATGATATCAGATTCAGTGTGCTGTTCAGTTACATCACAGCCCTGAATAAAAAGAGAATGTGTACCAAAAGCAGTTAGCTTTAGAATGCATCTTTTATGTCTCAAAGAGCTAAAACCCCTTATATTATTCAAACACCATAAAAAACTAAATCACTCTAACAATCCCATATTGTATTTCTTTTTCTAGCACAAATAAAAGATATTTCACTCCTATGGTAACTACATTTACACCTACATTAGTAAATACAATTGGCTTTGTCAACCCAATGGGGTAATAATAATAATAATAATAATAATAAAAGCATCTAATTTATTAAGCACTTAATTTGTACCAGTCGCTGTTCTAAGTTCTTAACATGTATGAAGTTATTTAATTCTCACAACGGAGCTTCAAGGTAGGTGCTAACATTATTTCCATTAGTCTGATTCCAAACATTGATGTATTTTAATTGCTCACTAAAACCAGATCATTCTTGCTCAACAACTATGTAGACAATTCACCAATGTCCAAACACTCCTTCATCGCTCTCAGCAATATAAGACAGAGAGAACAGACTATCTGTACAGTCATATGAGTTCAATAAATGCATCTCTACTAATATGTTCGTTTTTAATGCTGTTCAAACATTCACATGGAAACAGCTCTAGCGTAAATATCCCCGAACAAATGGCTGTATATTATCCAGGAGGGAGCAGTTGGCCCGCCAGACTGGGGAAGTACTAGGCCATCTGGCTCCGGCAATCTCTCCAAAACCATCAGCTTTGTTTTCACCCCCAGACTCCAAACAACACATTTTCCACTGTGATGAGTTTACATTTTCCCAAACACAGGTCCTGATCATGCATAAAAATTCCAAACTTCTTCATTCCTCTATGTGCAAGGAAATTTAAATCACCTGCATTTTTGACATGTTACCAAAGGAGAGAGAAAGCTGCTGAAATATGGCCTCTGACTATAAACTTGCTGTGTCCTTTTTTGTTTGTTTATTTCCCCAAATATATGAAAGAAACTCTCTGCTGGCCTAGTGAATTCCTTGGGAACTTATTGATATACTGAAAATGTGTTTATCTACCAATGAAGAACCATGAACTGAAAGGGTTGTTAATCAAATCTATGTAGCCATGGCAGGATATAATGAAACAATCAATAGGAAAAAAATACACTTGCATCAATACCTTAAAGTACGGGGAAGATCAAAACAAATATATCAAGAAGTCTAGCTGGGAAGAGAAACCTGATAGCATTTCTGATGATTGTACCTTGGACCCCCCACTGTCCTGGGAACCTTTTCACGGTCTCCTCACTACATCATCTACTTTCAAATCCATACATACAAGGATTATGTGACTACGATTTCCTGCTTCTCAAGCAGGCTTTTGTTTAGGGGAAGAGTGTTTTGTTTTGATAACTTAATACAATTTGGTATCTTTTCTTTGAATTATAAAATATCACTCTTTTAAAGCAAGATGGTAAGAGGGGAGATAAGCTAAACTTAAAAAAAACTATTTAAAGATATATAACTCACTATAGCAATCACAGAATGTAATCATATTTCAAATACTACATGAAAATCTGAAAGGATGCCCACTAAACCTCAGACCTCCCCCACTGGATTCATTTGAGCTTCTGCAGTAGATATTGTTTCTGGATGCAGCAGCCATAAACTTCTGGGTCCTACAGGGCATTCTGCATGCTCACTAATGGAATACCAAAAACAGTAATGACACGAAAACAAACTATTTTTAGTCCAGCTAAACTTGGTTTTGAACAACCCTTCCCAAAAGCAAGCCTCTTATTTTCTAGTTGGTGGGTGAATTTTTAAAATATTATATCCTGTGTGCTTTACAATGAAGGCATAGGGATAAGGGATCTCAGATTCTTATATATTCATTTCTAATGAAGCTTCATCTTTCCTGGTAGAGTCCAAAAATTAAGAGTCATTACCCAAAATAGTCTAATGAGACACTTTGAAAAGGTGTGAAATACTGTGTCATACCAACACATCTTGGTTGATTGAGTACATTTCTTTTCTATCTCAATGCTGCTAATCCCACCCAAGATCAAGAACAGTTTATGGAAATGTAGAATGCAAAAATAGTTTTAAATTTTGCTTGTCCAAAATTCCTTTTGAGTTTTAACCCCACTTTCTAGTCAAGAATATGACATCACTCACATAAAGCTGCATCTCTGATAGGAAAAATGTTATAATAAACAGGCAGCTAAGAAAAGACACTTGAACAGTGGCTAGGTATTCCTTCCACAATTGATGATGTTATCAGAACTTATCAGACCAGAAGTGTTTCATTCTGTACTCTAAATAATTATCAAAATCCATAATGTATGAGGAAGAATTTCACAGGAAAAAAAAATGTAATCATTTAATCCATCAGTTTATATCAAGACTTACATCTGATTTAAGGAGCCACTGTATATTAAACTAAAATCAAAGATTCAAGAAATTTTAAATCAGACTTGGTATTTAATTATGATAGAATAATTTCAAGCTAGAGGAAAATTAACTGTTTTACTCATTAAGGCTAAATATCAATTATTTTTATGTCACACCTAGGGAAAGTTAAGCTTCTTCACGCTCATCTATCTGCTTTTTGGAGGCCATTGTATTAACCCTGTAGACAAGAAGCTAACCTACTTCCAAAACTCTTGCAGCACATAATCAAAGAACAAGCAATTGGATAATGAGTAGGAACTGCCTTTCAAAGTGAAAGCTACAGAGAGGTGGTTAAACAATTATTATGAAAGCACACAGGTAAGCTTTGAAATATTCCTTTTCCTGATATTTTTTAGACTTAGATAATTATTCAACCTTTTCTCAGGCCACTCCCCACCAAAATATATCATTGCATGCATTTATAATTTTGACTTTTACTGAGATGTCATATTATGGCAAATGACTTTCTCATAAGTGCTATTATCGAAAATAAAACTAATCTTGTTCTTATTCCTCTCTCTCTCTTTCTCTCTCTCTTCCTCCCTCTTTCCTGATAGAATTTATGACACCAAGTGGTCAAAGAATGCCTTAAGCTGCAGTTTTTCTTAAGCTCTATGACCTTGTTAGTAAAATGATATTTGATGTATTGCTTTAAAAATATCAAAAGATGATTCTCCCCCATTTTTATATGAGTATAAGGTAAGTTCATCCCATAATGGGAAAATCAATTAGTAGTGGCACTTTTTGACTAGAGAGACTTAAAATAAAATTTTGAGGAGGTTTAATTCATAGAGCGATTAATCACTTCAAACATGTCTTAATTCTGTGCTTCTTACAATTGTTCATTTCATAGTGCTACCTATAATTTAATATTTCATTGGTCAATGTTGCACAAGCAGACAGGCCTTATGTACTGATTTGTGTATGTGTGCCTTTTATCTTTTAGAAAGTAAATCCTAATAAATACACATAGAGTATGTCTTAGAGTTCCTACTTTCCCCCTCTCCCTCCCAACTTTTTTTTTTTTTTTTTTCCTGTAATGAGAATGGCAGGAAAGGATATCCAGGGTATCAAAGGCAATTTTTGAAAACAAAACTCCACTTAAGACATTTTTATTTTGACATCGCAAAAGAAAAAAAGTTATTAAAAATCAGGCTTTTGTGTTTCTGCCTTGGAAGGCAAAAAAAAAAAAAAAAAAAAAAAAAAAAACACAGTGTCCAAATGAAAGTGAATTATCCTATGCAATTATTAAATCCATTAAAGAAAATAAAACCAAGACCAAAAATTATAAATGGTGATTTACTCTGAGCAATCAACTGAGAAATAAACAGATTTTTAAGAAAGCCAAATATTTTAGGCAAATAACATGAAATATATTTCAATCTTTATTTTTATTTTAAAAAATAGATTTCATACTCTTGCTTTCTACTTGTGTCATATCGAAATATGAAAGTGATCATCAAAAATAGCTGTTAATAAATTGGTTCTTGAAGATTAGATTTTTAAAATGCCCAACAGCTTATTAATGTGACATTTCTACCACATATTTAAGCCGTGGTGTATCTAAAAATAATTTTTAAATATGCATATATACCCTAATTTGAAACTTTCTCAGCCAATATCTATGAAAGAAAATCATTTCTCTTATTTTAAAGGAAACATTCTAAAATCA